>NC_000007.14:69779506-70082536 GCF_000001405.40 Homo sapiens
TAATCCCAGCACTTTGGAAGGCCGAGGAAGGCAGATCATGAGGTCAGGAGTTCGAGACCAGCCTGACCAATGTGGTGAAACCTTGTCTCAACTAAAAATACAAAAATATAGCTGGGCTTGGTGGCACATGCCTATAATCCCAGCTACTCAGGAGGCTGAGGCAGGAGAATCACTTGAACTCGGGAGGCGGAGGTTGCAGTGAGCCCGAGATTGCTCCACTGCACTCCAGCCTGGGTGACAGAACGAGACTCCATCTCAAAAAAAAAAAAAAAAATTAAAAAAAAATATATATATGGAAATACATTTTCTCAGTGTGTATACTAGTCATAGCTACCTGTGACTTATTCTTTATTTTGTGTATTTTTTTCAGACAGGGTGTTGCTCTGTCACCCAGGCTGGAGTACAGTGGTGCAATTAGAGCTCACTGCAGCCTGGACCTCCTGGGCTCAAGCAGTCCTTTCACTTCAGCCTCTGCAGCAGCTGAGACTACAGGTGTATGCCACCATGCCCAACTAAAATTTTCCATCTTTTCTAGAGATGGGGGTCTTTCTATGTTGACCAGTGTTCTTGAACTCCTGGCCTCAAGTGATCCTCCCACTTTGGCCTCCCCAAATACTGGGATTACAGATGTGAGCCACCACAGCTGGCCTTACCTGTGATCTAAAGAGGTATTTTCAATTGATGTTTGGCCATATCAGATTTTAGTTGCTATTAAATTTTATTCTTAATTTATCAAGTTTAATTGATTATTAAAAAATTGCACTCTAAGAATAAGCCTGTGTTTTATTTCTTGGAACTACTAGAGCCTTCGTTACAATACATTTTAGAGGGCTCCAAAGTTATAAAATAAATACTGGAGATTTGGTGCTTGTTAAAATTTTGACCTTTTCTATTAAAGCCCATTGGAGTGATGTACAGAGAAAAGGCTGTCTTGTGTTGTGATAGGGCCATGCTCCATCCACAGGTCCTGGGAAGGATGATGTAACTGTGGTCTAACAGCATTGTCTGAATTTTTGGCCTAGGGCAAAGAGGAGGAGGGCGGGTAAAGAAACCTGATCAGACCATTTGATGCTAATTTCACAGGTGACTGGTCACTGTGTGCCTGGCTGTTGTTATTTATAGAGCTGTAAGTGGCTGGAGCTACACACAGGAACCTGAAAGGATGGTCTGTATTAGAGTGTGGTGGTAGATAGAAGCACAGCAGTAGAATCTAGGGACAAATGGTCACTGGTGAGTGTCATTGCTGGAGTTAAATGAGACTCATTAGTGGCTGTTATGATTTCCACTCTTACTTCATTGCTATTCCTGAGTCTTTTTGAAAGCAAACAACAAAATAGACCGAAACAACCTCTGATAGACTCTCCGTTATTTTTAATTGAGGTTGATAGGATTTTAATCAGGTCAACTTGCATACTGATTTCAACCACCATTTAAAGAGCTATCCACAAAGCTATAAATTAGAATTATAGTTCAAAAGGTCTGACTGTTTTAACCTACTGCTCCTATTCCCCAAATTATTGATGGGGAAACTGAGATCTAGCAGGGTTAAAAAACCAGCCCAGTTTCACAGTTAGCAGTGATGCTGGAGCTGTGATCTGGATCTTAAATCTCTCAGTTTAGCCTTTTCTGTTTTCTACCGTATTAGTCCTACAATGAAAATGCACTTCTCTGTCTTTAAATTTCAGACGTTGTCTCCATGGCCTAGATGAAGGTTATCCTTTGTTATGATATTTTCTCAGAATTACTTTGAAAAATGGTTCCATTGTTATTTCTTAAAATGAAAGTAATATGAAAACAAATTCCTTCTATTGATAATACATTTGCCCACTACTGATAGTTTTAGGAATAATGAGAAAAGAGGGGGCCAATTTATGGTATTGGCCAAGAAGGAGCGCTCAGCAGCACTGGACTGCTATGTGTGGGCTGGAGGTACCAGCAGATAACACTCGGAGGCAGTGGGTCCTGTGAATCACAGCTTGGCCTCGGCATAAGCTCTGGAGACCAGCTCTCCTAAGGAGAACTGCCTTCTTTGGCCCTGCCCTCAGCAGCCTGTTGGCAGAGGACTAGAATAATTGTTTGTTTAAAAGTTTTACTAGCTAATTATACTGCACCGAATTGACAGGCATCTCTATTAGAGTCTTTCCAGTCTCTTGAAGGCTCTTCTCCACATTACTTGTAATCTTGCCTCAGTGTAGACTGCAGTGGCTGATTTTTGTTTGTTTGTTCTTCTCTCCTTTCCCTTCCCACTTGTTGCAAAGGCCACACACCAAGTCTGGAGAGAGAGCTGCCTGTGGGCTGGGAATTGGCTGCCTTCATCTGGTCAGCCATATGTGGCTACTGGAAAAAGTGCCTTTGGGTCATTCATTCTCAGGTCACCAGGCCCTAGAGTAAAGCCCTAAACATGGGCTCTCTAGCAGAAAGACTTATTAATTCCCCTTCTCTTAAGTGGAGGCAAGGAGGTGTTTCTGAACCTTCAGAATAACCCGAGGGAACTTGAAAGTACAGATTCCCGGATGCTATCTCCTGGATGTGGGTTCAGGTTCAGTAGGTCTGAAATGGGACCAGGTTTTAGAATCTTCTTCGCGGCCCGGCTCACACCTGTAATTGCAGCAGTTTGGGAGGCTGAGGTGGGCAGATAGCTTGAGTTCAGGAGTTTGATACCAGCCTGGGCAGCATAGTGAGACCTTGTCTCTACTAAAAAGAGAGATCAGCTGGGCGTGGTGGTGTGTGCCTGTTGTCCCAGCTACTTGGGAGGCTGAGGTGGCAGGATCACTTGAGCCTGGGAGATCGAGGCTGGAGTGAGCTGTGATGGTATTACTGCAGGTGGGGTGACAGAGTGAGACCCCATCTCTCTCTCTTGTTTTTTTTTTTTTTGTTTCTTTTTAAAAGAACCTTCATTACATTAATTGACTTCCAAGGTCTCATCCAGTCATGATGGTTTTTGCATGGTCCCTACCAGTAGAAGATGGATTTCAGACCACAGGGAATTTATTTGTAGCTACAGTCAATTTTCAAATTATTTGCCTTACAAATGTTTTCAATCCCAGAGACCTTTTTCCCAGCTGGTTCCTGGGTTATATTGCCAAAGTCCCTGGTTGGTATGCACTCGAGAACTGAAAGATAATTTTCTTCTTGATTTTAAGAAAAGATAATTAAGGAGGGAAATCTACCATTAAAAAAAAAATCAGACATTACAACCAAGTATAACTTTTAGAGCAGATCCTCTATTGGGAAGGAGCAATATGTTATGTTACCTTGTATTTGAGCAGTTAATTAGGGTCAGATGTAGTTAGTTCTCATGCTTTGGCCTTGCAAAAGTAATCCCCTTTTTGGAAAGGCTTTGTTGAGTCCCTAGGAATTATTTTAATGGTCTCTAAGTATGTTTAACTCAGTCATAATATTCTAGTTGTTTGGATTTGTTGTGTATTGACATTGACTTAGATATTCTCCCCTGCTCTGGGCTTTACCTCTTACTCGTACCCAAATCCATGGTCCACATGCTGTGGTGTCCCCTGGGCATGCCCAGCCTTGCCATGTGTGCAAGGTAATCCCTTTGACCCTCTCAAGAGGGTGCTGCTCATCTTTTTTTTTTTTTTTTTTTTTTTTGGCTTCACTTATCCCACTTGACATTGCCAAACGTGCTTTGACTTGAAGCACCGCTGCTCCTGTGGCTGTCTCCTTTGCTTCTCCTCTTCGGCTCATTGAGAATCTGTTTGAGATA
This sequence comes from Homo sapiens, assembly GCF_000001405.40. Classification (NCBI taxonomy): domain Eukaryota; kingdom Metazoa; phylum Chordata; class Mammalia; order Primates; family Hominidae; genus Homo; species Homo sapiens. Next base: position 69,783,228 of record NC_000007.14, read on the forward strand.
CTTGTCATCCTTTGGAGATTAGAACTCACTTTAGAGGGAGGAATGATTTTACACTGGGACTGTTAGGATCAGTTTAGGAGGAAACAGGCCCACGATGATTTTAGGAGGGGTTTCTACTGTGGTCCTTGTAACCACATAGTTTGTACTGAGCTGGACACTGGCCATTTGAGTAGATGCTTGTTCTCCAGTTATAGAATGGTTCCCAGCTGGCAGATTTCCCACTGGGATTCAGTTTCCTTGGCCGCTGCTGTTTGTTGTGCTCACACTGATTTTTGCGGCATCTTTCCAGGCCCTTGAGTCTTTTCCAAGCAGAAGAAATAGCAGAATGCCTTGCCCTCCCCTTCTCTTCTCCTTTTGGGTATTCCATGGCTATTAGGGAAGGACTTCCTGTGAAATAAAATGAGGGCAAAGGAAAGTAGCATGCCTGTGGCATAAAAATGCTGTTAGCAAGCTTGAGGCATATCAGAGAGATTGGTCCTAAGAGTAACATTTACTGCCTTTCTGCTTTTGAACTTTTCTTTCCCCCTTCCTTTGCCTGTTTCTGAGGTCTGGGATTTATCCAGAATTTAAGAACGGACTGTTTTTGATCATTTGAATAGGTATCATCATTCAGCAGGGAATACATGTGCAGACTGAGATGTCTCTTAAAGCCAATTTATAGTATAAGTCATTTGAAATGATTTCTTGAGTCAGTAATGCATTTCTGCTTCAAATTCTCTGCCTGGATTTGTGCATTCATCTCCCATTTTACCAGGTGATTTGCTTTATTATGCTGCTATGACAGCCCCCCTCCCCAACCTTCAACTGCTATCCCCAGATACGTGGGCATGCTTTTCAGGGTGAGTAGCCATTAAACTACCCAAAATGACACCGAACGTTGTCTACACAGGCTTGGAAACATGGAGGGCCTGGATTCCAGTAAAATTCTCCAGGCTGCTTCGTCAGGCTATTGCAGAAAAGATTACAGGGTCCTTTAAGATTAGTTTTGGAGAGATCTAGGCAGATGGATGGGTGAAGTCCCAATGGGAAGTCAGTACCCAGTTGCCACTTGGAATAATCTAAAATCCTGGCATGATCTTTCCTCTCATAACTTGAAGTACTCAGCTAGAGGAGAGCCTCTCCTTCGCAAGACCCAGCTATCTCTTTGAGAAGAAAAGGGGGTTTGGATGGAGTCCAACCTTCTGGTTTGTTTTGCCCGTCTGCCATTTGCCTTTTCCTTGTTGGTGTTTGCTGCTGTTTGTTCTTTGGAGTCTGAGGGGCTTCTGACCTTGGCTGAAGGGCTTCTAACCCTGGACAGGTCCCGAAGGAGTGGCATCAGATAGTTGTGTTTTAATTTCACAAATCTGTTATTTCTTTAAGAGGAAATGAGCAACTGGTAGACCCAGAACAGTACCAAGGGGAGCTGGGGAGTTGTTATTTGTAAGTGTAGAGAAAGAAAGGAACAGTTACAGGGAGGTTTGGTGCATGATACACAGCTGATGCCTTCAGAGAATAGGAGGTTTTCTTTCTGTGCTTTTTCTCATAACATTGGAGGAAGAAGAAAGAGGAGGCATGTGGCTTGTTGGTGGTTGAACTCCAGTGCAGAAGTTAACATTCCACTCATTTAGCTCACTAATTTATTAATTAATTTCACAAATACCTATTGTGCTACTATGTGCCAGGCACCCTTCTAGGTACTGGGTTTACAGTGGTAAACAAAAAAAGGTCCTTGCTGTCGTGAACCTTATACTCTAGCCAAGGGGGTGGTGGTGATGAGGACATATTTATAATGGTGGTGGTGATAGTGATAAATACTATGAAAGGAAAAAAAAACAAGAAAGGGAAGAGAATGGGATAGGGAGCTATTTTAGTAAGTGTGTTCATGGAAGGCCTTATAAATGACTATACAATACATAAATAATCATTAAAATGAGATTTTATTACCTAAAATATTTTGAACACTTCAGTTGTTCAAATTATTATGGAATGCTAGCATGCATAGGGACTGAAAATATTTTTTTCTCTGAAGTTTTGAGGGTTTTCCAAGGATTTAGCTTCTCTTTGTTTCTCTGGATATTCAGACTCACATAGCTAGATTAGAGTTCACCATCACAGTTGCTTTCAGCATTGATTGAGACAGTCTTATGTTGTAAGGGTCTGCTTTTTACAAAATTGCTATAAAATTGTTCTGTGTGATTGAGAGGCTCCCTCTCACTCAAAGTAGATGTTTGGCTGTTTTTGTTGTTCTGTTTTAAACAGTAATGAGTACCTTTTGGTAATTAAAGTCCCCTTCACAAAACTGTAGTGAGTGATGAATAAGACATAAACAAAGAATCCCTTCTGCGGAGCAGAGTGCCAATGGCCATAGACATAACTCAGGGGCTGTTTGACCACATAACTCAGTGCAGTGGCTTTTCACCATTGGAAGGGTGGAATGGTCTGGTATGGTTTTCTGGATTGCTCTGATAAACAGGAGTTATATTTGCTGTCAGTTTCTATGAAAGGACAGCATTATATGAGCCATGGTTTGTCAGGGGCCTACTGTGTGCTGGGCTCTTTGCTATAGGATCAAATGCTAACTACATCTATTCCACAAGACACCCTATCACAGTGATTGGTTTTTTTGTTGTTGTTTGTTTTTGAGATGAAATTTTACTCTTGTTGCCCAGGCTGGAGTGCAATGGCGCAATCTCGGCTTACTGCAACCCTTGTCTCCCAGGTTCAAACGATTCTCCTGCTTCAGCCTCCCAAGTAGCTGGGATTACAGGTGCCCGCCACCACGCCCAGCTAATTTTTTTTATTTTTAGTAGAAACGGGGTTTCATCATGTTGGCCAGGCTGGTCTCAAACTCCTGACCTCAGGGTGAGAGGTGAAGCCAGCTGGACTTCCTGGGTTGAGTGGGGACTTGCAAAACTTTTCTGTCTAGCTAGAGGATTGCAAATGCACCAATCAGTGCTCTGTGTCTGGCTAAAGGATTGTAAATGCACCAATCAGCACTCTGTAGAAATGCAGCAATCAGCACTCTGTGTCTAGCTAAAGGATTGTAAATGCACCAATCAGCACTCTGTTAAAATGCACCAATCAGCGCTCTGCGTCTAGCTAAAGGATTGTAAATGCACCAGTCAGCACTCTGTAAAAACGCACCAGTCAGCGCTCTGTGTCTAGCTAAAGGATTGTAAACGCACCAGTCAGCACTCTGTAAAATGGACCAATAGCACTGTGTAAAATGGACCAATCAGTAGGACATTGGTGGGGAAAAATAAGGGAATAAAAGCTGGCCACCCCAGCCAGCAGTGGCAACCCGCTTGGGTCCTCTTCCATGCTGTGGAAGCTTTGTTCTTTCACTCTAAATCTTGCTGCTACTCACTCTTTGGGTCCGTGCCACCTTTAAGAGCTGTAACACTCACCACGAAGGTCTGTGGCTTCATTCTTGAAGTCAGCGAGATCAAGAACCCACCAGAAGGAACTAACTCTGAACACAAGGTGATCCACCCGCCTCGGCCTCCCAAAGTGCTGGGATTACAGGCCTGAGCCACCGTGCCTGACCTGTCACAATGATTTTTTAAACTGCATATCTTAATCCATTAGTGGGTGACAGTCAGAATTTTATTTTATTCAGTTTAAAAAATAGAATCAAATAGATGACATCAGAGTATACTACACTTAGTGTGTGTATTGTTTCAAAAAAACTTGTTTTAAGTGTATGTGCATGCAGGCAGACATCAGAAATTTTTATGTGTCATGCTCTAAAAAGTTTGAAAACAAGCCTATCAGTTGAGGTTTGGTATCATTTATAGGCAAGTAAACTGAAACTCTGAGGTTAAGGACGTTGCCTACTATCAGAACTAAAATTTGAACTCAGCTCTTTCTGGCTTTCAGCATTTGATCCAATTATGTTTCTCACAGAGCTTTCCCTCTCTAATGGTTTTCCAAGACTCTTGAGATCACAGAGACACTGATTTGCTCCTGACGTTGTTCTAAAATCAGAGGAGGAACATGCACTCTGATGACCAGACCCAAGTTTGACTGGTTTCTCAAAACATCTTTACATAACATAGTCTATTTCAGGAGAAGGGAAAAGAAAGATGACTCTAGAACTTGTCTTTATTAAGAAACAAGGAAAATCTAGACACTCTTTTTCTGTCATAGAAAGATAGCCTAGTTTTACCAGAGAGGAGAAATTCTAACCAGAAGTAGTATCAGGATCTTTCTCTCTAAAGCACTTAAAGTCTTTTGTTGGCGAGACGAGTAGAGCAAGAGGAATCTGCCACCTTGTGTAAAACATTTTGGTTTTACTAGTCAGGCATATTTTTGAATAACCTTCACTAGCATTTATTATAGTAGTTATTTTATTTTATTTTGACACAGAGTCTCACTCTGTTGCCTAGGCTGGAGTGCAGTGGCATGATCTCTGCTCACTGCAACCTCCACCTCCTGGGTTCAAGTGATTCTCCTGCCTCAGCTGTAATCCCAAGAAGCTGGGATTACAGGCGTGCCACCATACCCAGCTAATTTTTGAAGCCTCTATTTTAGTTTCCCCCAACTTTACTAGAGATGGGGTTTCACCATGTTGGCCAGGGCTGGTCTCGAACTCCTGACTTCAGGTGATCCGCCCACCTTGGCCTCCCAAAGTGCTGGGCTTACAGGCGTTGAGCCACTGCGCCTAGCTGTTACAACATTTTGGCACCAGTTTTACCTACTTCCCCAGCCTCCTAGGAATGAAGTGGAACTTTTATTAAGGACAGATTTTTCAGAGGGGCATTATTCTCACTGGCATTCCTTCCCTCTTGCCTGGAATCACCCTTGAATGAATTCCTGATTGGTTCAGCTAGACTTTTTCTTTTACAGAAGAAATTGCTCTTGGTGAAGATGCCAGAAAAATATCGTAAAAACCTGCTCTCTTATCCTCTTCTCTGTACTACTTTGTTACCCCACCCCACCCCACCTCAAGCCCCCAGTAAAAAATGACCTTTTGGCCCAGGGCCCTATCTGAGTATATTGTGTGGCAGAGTTGTCTCTGGCTGACTCCCAGGATTGTTAATGACTTCCTTCTCTGTCCCTAAATAATTGCTTGAAAAGACAGCTGTGGAGAGACATTGCCCCCAGCTTGCAGGCTCATTAATTCAGCCCTATGAAAGAGGGTGCAAAGGAAGAAGGTGGAAGTTACTTTGCCAAGAGTAGCAGGCTTGGGGGAAACTAAAATAGAGGCTTCAGGGGAAGGGCAGCAGCATGGTGTCAGAGATTACACTTGGAGTTTGTGAAGTCTGGGCAGGCTTCAATCTAAAGAAACTTTATGCACAAAAGCCCAAATCCAGGGAAATAAATGAAAGTGATTATTCACTTTTCTAAAGTCCTTACAGTAGCGTTCCTCTGGTATTGTTTGAATACAGTTTAACCTGAAGGGCACTTGGTTTTTGTGCAGCTCTTCAAGAACAGAAGCATCTAAGTAAGTAGAAAGTCTGAGAAATTAACAGAGAAGATTCCCTAAAAGTCAGCCTTCATTACTTGACCATTATTCATAATTCTGCATTTGTCTATTCCTCCAGTGGCCTTGAAGCAAAATTAAAAAAAAAAAAAGACACTTCTATGCCCCTTAAAAAAAGAATAATCAAAACTTGCATAGACAGAATAAGAATCAAATACACTGGGGAACAAATACTCTGATTAGCTGTCCGGTTCAGCTCTGACGCGTCTAGCACTCTGAGTTATAAGGGAAACGATAGGACACTTGGTTTTTGTTTTCCAACAACAGGAAACATATCAGGTTTCTAAGAAGATGTAAAGTCTTTCTTAAAACCCAATTATAGAAGGAATTTATGCAAGTCTTTAGGCAAGGAGTATTAAAGAAATTAATGTTTAATGCCATCAACAAGTTTTCAAGCAGATGCAGAACTCCTAGTGTGGGTGACTTTTTGGTGTTTACCTTATATCAAGAATGCAGCATTTAAGGCCACTTTGACAGAGTGCAGCTAAGCTTTTTGGGTTTGCTTGTGTGGACAATTTCCATTCAGCAATGGCTCTCAAACTTCAATGCACATCAGAATTACGTGGGGGCACTTAAAAAAAATGTATGCCCAGGCTGCATCCAGACCAATTCAGTCAGAATCTCTGATGGTGAGCCCCAAGTATCAATATTTTGTAAAACTGATTCCAAAGGTTAGCTAAGTGTGAATCAGTGCGTTAGATGATCTTTAACGTTAATTATCTTAGCTGGATTTCTCAAAGGGGTAGTCCTAGAATGCTGATATTCCCTGTTATTAATTTAAGTAAGTCCCTGTTGTTTCTGTTAACATTCTCTTAGAACTCTGAGACTTGTATTTCTGCTGGGACCCAGGGCTACTGCACCTTTCTTGGCCTATAGGAGTGTTGTCAGAACCAAAGTACTTGTTAAGCAGCAGCTTAGGATCAACATTAGCAGACCTCATTGTGGCTGTTGGAGAATATAGAACATCAGATGAAGTAGGGGCTTGACGTTTCCACAGCCCTAAATCACATATTTCAGAGTACGTTAAGATTCCTTTTGGAACTCAGATCTTTTTCTGGCCATGGATAGACTGTTGTCTTGGGGGGATGCCAGTTGTCTCTCCAGTGAGAAAAGGAGATGTTTATGTATTCTCTAGTTCCCTTCTGGAAGTTAAAAATACCTGTCATTGTTAGATTTGGTTTCTGAACTCTCTGCCCCTAACAAAGCTGAAATGATGACAGTGAGTGAAGTATTTGCTTAAATAAATATCTTTTTTTTCAACTTTGAAGAACTAAATATATCTCAACGTGTTGAAACATCAGAGAATTGGCTGGGCCCAGTGGATCACACCTGTAATCCCAGCACTTTGGGAGTCTGAGCTGGGAAGATTGCTTGAGCTCAGGAGTTTAAGACTAGCCTGGGCAAAATAGTGAGACCTCGTCTCTACTAAAAATAAAAAATAAAAAAAAAAATGGCTGAATGTGGTGGCACGTGCCTGTAGTTTCAGCTATTTGGGAGGCTGAGGTGGGAGGATCACTTGAGCCCTGGAGGTCAATGCTGCAGTCAGCTTTGATTGTACCACTGCACTCCAGCCTAGGTGACAGAGTCAGACTCTGTCTCAAAAAAGAAACATCAGAGAATCATTGATTTTATGTAATCTAGATTTTATCCCATTCCAAATTGTGCTTCTGTGAATACACATTATGGAGGATAACGGAAAGGGTGTTTAGGGAAGGGGATGACAATGGGAGGAGAGGGAGAAAAGGGTGGTGGGAGAGGTAATATAAATGATAATTACCATGACTTGAATCTTGGTAAAATCGTATAATAGGAACCATGTGGTACTGGTGTTCTGATTAAAAACCACTTCCTGGCTTTGTGACCTTGAGTAAGCTATAACTCTATTTTTCAGTTTTCTCACCTGAAAAATTATAATGATACCTGCCTGTTAGGATTGTTTTGAAGATTGAGATTGTTCGTAAAATACTTAGAAAAGTGCCTTGGCACATAGCAAGTACTATTTAAGTGTTTATCAGAGCATAGTCTCAACTTGTCCCATTAAGAATATTATAAAACTGTAAGGTCCAGATGATGCTTTATTCTGTAAAGGCCATTAATGGAGATGCTTGAACATCTCTAAATTACCTTTCCCTTTGCTTGCTCAGGAAGTTTGCTAATCTAAATTCTTCATGCTGTGCTGCTGAGTGTCATGTGTGATTGCTTGTGCAAGGAGACCCAACTGGGTTCTATCCGCACTTAACTGAAACTCAAGTTATTCCCTCTCTAGCCTTAATTCCTGTCTTCTAACTCTCCAATCGATTTCTTGGCTCCACTAATTGAAACCTACCCCAGTTTTCTCATGCTGTTGAGCAGGGATCTTCTTGAGACTGATTATGATGGGAGAATGACCTCATAGTTTCTGATGCCATCTTCCAATTTATGTAACTCAGCCCCAAGCATGCTTTTTAAAAATAATGGCCCTAAATTGCTGACATCTTGTCATCTGCTCAGACTCCTAAATCTTTTTGTGTTCCCTCGACTGAATGGGATTCACTGGAGCAAGATGCCTTTGTGCAGTCTGCATTTAGTGCACTTGGCGAGTGACCTCCAATAGAGCTGTGTGTTCCCTTCGAGCAACATGGGTAATGATTACAGCGACAATGCTGCTATTGTGTCCAGAGGTTTGGGGCTGTAATTTCATAATGAAATTGAAAAACATGAGATTAAAAACCTGAATATAGCACAGTAATTATATTTAAGTATCACAAATCATCTCCCTGTATTTAGTTAGGTGTTTGAGATTTGGCCTCTTTGTGGAGTGCAGTCACGTCGTTTCATACATCTGCAAAATGGAAGGCTTCTAATTTATGGCTAAAATGTGGGAATTGCTTTCTCTTAATGGGAAGGTGAGGAGAATGGTATTGAATTTGAAGGAGCTGGTTTGCTTCATTGACTAGAGTCAAGAAGGGAGGTTGTACAATAGCTGCTTAAGGTAAAGAAATGTTTGGGTCTTTTCATGGTTTAATTCCCAGATACTTACACATGACTATAGTCTCTCCCTTTAGAAATTAACTGACATAGGCTGGCCTGGGAAATTCTACAGTCCTGCAGCAAATGGTGCAGTTGCAGAAGTGTGAATCTTTACCTAAGGCAGGGTTTCTGGTATAGATAAAGACTTAACTGGGGTTTGTTTCCCACAGGTAAGTTATGGATGAGCTGTGCCTGGCCCATTTCCATTTACTGTCTGAGAATCTGCATGTGGCCTGCAGGCTCTGTAGTTGGGCTGAGTCCTCCTGGAGTAGGAGGCTGGGGAAGGTGTTGGTGGTGGCTGTCGATAGGCATTCCTGCAGGATGGTGGGTGGAGAGTTAGGGTGAGGGGTGTTCTTTAATAAAGGAATAGAAATTAGAGTGGAAAGTGGTTTAAAGCTAGTGATACCTCCTTCTCCTTGATTTCTAGGAACTATCAAGTATGAAATGAACATAGAAGGAAGTTATGAAAGGAATCATTATTATTGTCAGTGATTCTTGATTATCTACTATAGGCAAACACGTTAAGTTGTTGTTTTTTTTTTGTTTTGTTTTTTTTTAAGACGGAGTCTCGCTCTGTCGCCCAGGCTGGAGCGCAGTGGCGCAATCTCTGCTCACTGCAAGCTCCGCCTCCCGGGTTCATGCCATTCTCCTGCCTCAGCCTCCCGAGTAGCTGGGACTACAGGCGCCCACCATCACGCCCAACTAATTTTTTGTATTTTTAGTAGAGACGGGGTTTCACCATGTTAGCCAGGATGGTCTCGATCTCCTGACCTCGTGATCCACCCGCCTCAGCTTCCCAAAGTGCTGGGATTACAGGTGTGAGCCACCATGCCTGGCCAACACTTTCAGTTTTGGTTACCATCTTTAAACTTCACAGTAGACATTGATACAGAGGTATACTTTCTCTGTGCACATATACTGCCTCTCACCCCAAATAATTTTTGATACAGCAGTGCAGAGTGTCCCTTTTTTTCCAAAGCTTTCCTCCCAGATTCTTAGTGAATCTACGAGACTGAGTATCTGAATTGCCTAAGGCCTTTTATCACAAAGGCCTTAGGCAAATGTATGCAAGTGTACATACATTACCAGGCTTCATCAACATGCCCTACTCAGAGACATTTCGGTTCATTAGGTAGGGGTGGGAGAGGTTGTGGCCTAGGAATCTGCATTTCAACAAGCACCAGGAATTTTTATATACAATAAATTCTGAGAATCATTGCCTTAGGACCTTCTTTCTCAGGGGCCGGGCTATTCCAGTGGGTGTGTTATGTTGAGATTTGCTTTGTGGAGATGTGAACTTGCTGTTCAGTCCCTTTTCCTAGCCCCTGGCTTCAGTATATCTTTCACAAAAATACCTACTTTTATTCTGTTTCCACTGGATACAAGGAGGGCTGGGCTTTTTGCTGCTTTACCCACTATTACAGATAGCAGGTTGGGAGACAGTTTGAGTCCTGTGTTTGCACTCCAGGCCTACTAGGGAAGAGGTGGCCTGCCTCCAGCAGTAAACTGGTAACTATCTAAGACCTATGGTGCTCTCTGTTTCCACTGGAAACTCATTGAAAATGCTACCACTATTCATGTTTTTGACCTCTCAGAGCAAAGTATATAAAAGCAGCAGTTCAAGTAAATTCGTCAAACATTTATTGAGTGGTGGCTGAGGCTAAAGTATTATTTTAAGGGGCCTGGGACAGATAAGTAAAACACAGTTTCCATTCTCCATCTATCCTGTCTTTCTTTCTAATGATGTAGACAGTCCTGACACAGAACTATGGCAGACTTAGTGTAACCTGTGACATGATCGTGTCTTTGAACAAGTGAAATTAAAGTGCTATAGGAATGTCTGGGTGGGAACAGTTAGTTTAGGTTAGGCAAAAGGCTTCTTAGGGGAAGTGGCTTTGGGCAGGGTGTAGGGCAGAGGCTCTCACCTTGGCTGTGCTTTACAATCACCTGAGAGAATTTTGAAAAACCCCAATATTTAGACCAAACCCTATAACAATCAGATCAGAACTTCTGGAATTTGGACAGAGACAGCATTTTTTAAATGTTTAAACATTTAAAAACATTAAATTTTTTAAATGTTTAAACATTTTTAAAGCTTCCTACATGATTTTAATGTGCAGCCAAGACTGAGAGCCACTGACAAAGAAGGATAAATAGGCTGTCATTCAGATGGGGGATAGTCAGAGAAGGAAAGGTATTCCAAGCTTGAGAGAATAACATAAGCAAAGCTGCAGAGGCAGCAGAGTGATGGCTTAAGTTGGAGAATGCCACTCAAAGCGGGGGTGATTGGAGCATGGGGCTCCTGGCATGAGCGTGGAGGGAAAATTATGCTGATTAGGTAGGATTGGATTAAAATACTGCATCAAGGAATTGGGAGACATGATTTTGCACTGCCTTTGGAACCCCTTTTCACCTCATATTAGGATGGAGAATTGAGGTTCGGAGAACTTCTTGCTTGCCCAAAGTACTAGTAAGCCAGCAGGCATGCTTGGTTCCCTTTGCAAGGCTCTTTGCCATAGACCTGCTGTCTCAAGCTGTGCAGTACTTAAGACTTCTCTTTTGGCATCTGTCCTATAGCACTTTTCTTTCATCAGAGCACCCTAAAGGTAATTTAGGGTCAGAATGGTAGGAAGGTATTGGTGTTAGGCAAGAATATGGCACGATTTCTTATCTTTTTGCTGGGCCCCTGTGGGAATGATATGGGAGAATTGCTGGGAATACTGGGGGCAGATGTTTGCAAGTAAAAGTGTATATGTTTCTGTGTTCTTGCAGCTGCATTCGTTTTGTGCCTGATTCCACTAAGGACTGTACTTTATCTGCTTATTGCTGTTTCTAGGAAGTTAATTTGCAGGTGCTATAAGTATGCATGCTTCATATACTTCATTTATTCTTTCTTCCTTGAAGCCTCTCCTCTTTATTAGGCACTATTCATTTGTCTACTTGGTACCTGTATTTTTTTAATGTCACTATTTTGACAGTACCAATAAAGGTAAAGCCACTCAATTACGCAGGGCTCTCTCTTTATGCTTTGGGTAGGTGCACCTGTGCAACTGAGGGGACGGTCAGTGTTATCAAGGTTACCTGTTATTACAAGTAGAAGAACCCACAGAGATCAGGAGAGAGCTCATTTTCCTCCATTAGTAGGAGGTAGGACTATACATTCACAAACACGAACCTTAAAATAGCTCACAAAATAGTGTCATACATGTACCCAGCCATCTTTCCACTCATTCCTTCTCAAAAGGAATGTAGTACCATATAGTAGTTAAGAATATAGACACTGGAGCCGATCTTCTTGAGTTCCAATAGTGGCTCTTCTACTTTTTAAATCTCATTTTCCTTCATCTTTAAATTGAAGATAGTAACAATCTCATGGGGTTGTGATAACTAAGGGGGTAATGCATGTAAAGTGCTTAGAAAATGCCTGGACATAGGAAGCTCTAAGTTTGCTGCTACTACTGTTATTATGGTTACTATTATTAATCATTGCAAGGAAAATGTATCAACAGATGAATTTGGTTCAATACTGCCTTCTAGTTTTGTGACCTTAGAATTTATAGGAACAAAAAAGATTTGAAAGGGAGGTTGGGCTGGATCATAGAGAGCCTTGATTCCATGTTTTAGGATGTATACACAGTGAGAAGTCCTTCAGGTTTTGGTCTTGGTAAGAGTTGTGAATCAGAAAGTTAACTCTTGTAGCCAGGCGGAGTGGCTCATACCTATAATCCAAACACTTTGGGACATCGAGGCAGGAGGATCACTTGAGGCCAGGAGTTTGAGACCAGCCTGGGCAATGTAGTGAGACCCCTGTTTCTGCCAAAAAATTACTCTTGCAACTTCATGAAAAATAAATGATTAGCAGAATTAGAGCAGTTAGGAGGCCATCTTAATAGTCCAAGGCACAATAAGGCAAGGAAATGAATGAGAGCAGTGGCAGCAGACATGAAGATGAGCAGTTGGATGCGAAAGGTTTGTTCTATAGATAGATTCCTCTTGGCTTAAGAAGGGGAAATAGGAAATTAATTAGTAATCAGAAATATTTGCATATTAGTCTTCTCCATCTTCATCCTTGATGAGAGGAGAGCTTGTTATGTATGTACCATTGCTGGGTACAGGAGGCAGAAGAGCTAGCGCCAGAACAAGGAGCTCAGCTTTTTCTGGTCTCTGCTTTTACGTGGCTCGTTATAAACCAGGACCCAATTAGTTCTTTAGGCATGCCTGCCTGTTCTCTTTCCATGTAATTACTTTGTGGAGCTTGGGTTCATGCACATAGTTACCTCGATTAAAAAATAAGTTTTTGGAGCTATAAATTTTCAAACACTGCTTTGAGAGGGTCTGTCAGGCATTAACATTCAAGGTTTCTGTGGTGGGCTGACGATAGCCTCTAGCCTCTGGATGTTTTTCACATTCCAGGAAATGACACCTGAAGTTTTCAGTTCCTTTTCGCATCTTCAGCAATCCATAGACAGTGGGGTGAAAAGATGTAACCTAATTGAAGACGGATGGAGTGGAGTAGAAGTTGAAAATAGGGAAGAGGCTGGGTGTGGTAACTCACTCCTGTAATCCCAACACTTTGGGAGGCCGAAGTGGGAGAATCACTTGAGGCCAGAAGTTTGAGACCAGCCTGAGCAATACAGTGAGACTTCGTTCTCTACCAAACAAACAAACAAAAGCTAGTTGTGCATGGTGGTACCCACCTGTAGTCCCAGCTACTTGGAAGGCTGAGGTGGGAGGCTCATTTGAGCTCAGGAGTTCGAGGCTGCAGTGAGCCATGATTGTGCCACTTCACTCCAGCCTAGGCGACAGAGTGAGACTCTGTTTCCAAAAAAAAAAAAAAAGAAAAGAAAATAGGGAAGAGACTGCATGAGTCCTGCCATGCAGTCTTTCCCAGAATTGGACATTTTTGTGGTGTGGTCTGGAAGAAGGAAAACATTTATGGTCATACCTCTCCAAATTGAACAATTGTGGGAATATGTACAGACAGATTTGCAGGGTAGCTGAAAAGAAATGCAGTTCTGTTATTTTTTTGTTATAGAGTGGTAACTTGAGTGAGGATTATGAAACATTGCCTAGCAGAACTGTTTTTTTAATTGACCTTCATGTATAATTAAGAATATCAATTATTAATGTTAAATATATTGGAATTTTAAAAATTGTGATTATTTCTTTGTAATCTGATTTGTGCTATTTGCCCTGATTATCAGAGTGTTGTTTGAGATTAAAGTGGTCTAGCTTGGGTTCAGTTTGCACCAGGAGTTTTGAATTAACTAGGCTCCATCTGAATGTGGAAGATTTTCGTCGTGAGGATGCAATGGAATCGTAAGTGTAAAGGGCCTAGTATAGTGGGTAGTAATTTATTTTACTCCTTTTTTTCCACTTTAAATGAAGAGTGGCTAAACTTCAACTTTTGGGACATTGGTCTCTACCTGCACCTCCAGAATGTAACCTCTTGGGGAAGATATTTGGAGACCTGGGGACTTTTGCAGGTGGGTAGTATTACGCAGAGCCCAGATACCCCTGCCTTCTTGTCTGGAAATCAGTGATTCTCAAACTGCTTTGTGCTTGAGTATTACCTGGGGGGACATGTTCCGTTTTCAGCTCCCCAAGCCATAGAGTTAAGATTCAATAGACTTGAGGAGCTGCTCTCAGTCCAGGATTATGTGCAGATCCCGAATCTGATCTTGGGCTGCTGTGCTTTTCCAGTGCCCACTCAGTATTTCTGGGGCTGCAAGGAAGGCAGTGGTTCCCCTTCACAGGTACGTGAAGCTCTTAACTCCATTTTTGTCCTTTTAAATTCACATTAAAGAGAGTTTTAGATATGCAGGAAAATGAGAAGGGAAATTGACCTTGCCTGTCTCTGGGTCTTGTGAATAGAAAGGAAGAGCCTGCGCTTGGAGGCCACTGGGAATTTGTGGTGTTCCAGAAGACCTCTGCTCTCATGTGGGCTCTTGGCAGCCTCACTGAGAGCCACAATGGGCTTCCTTATTTAAGATGCTCTTAAATTTTCTTTTCTAACACTATAAGGTTATGTCTTCACCAGTTTCTCAGATTTTAAAAAAAGAAACAGGGAGGTAAAACAAATCCCAAAACATTTTTTTTCCTTCTTGTAAAGGTTACAAACATAAATCATATTTGAGAACAATGAATGGACCTTATTTTTTATCTTCAGAATGCTGGGCCTCTGGCATCTTAGAAAGTCTCTTTACTTTCGAAAGGAAGGAGACTTGTATAGTGAGAGCATCACACTCTGGGGATCAGGTAACTTGGCTATGCTACTGGGCACCTGGGACTTCTTGGTCAGAACAAGTCTCCACTGTGAGCTTTTTTTTTTAATCCATGAAATGTGGGGGTCCTGAAGCTATCAAAGCGTTAATGTTTTATGATTCTAGTGATGGGCTTCTGTCTGCGTGACAGGCATTTTCCAGACTTTGTTGATCTATTTCGAGCTTGTGAGGAATAGCATGTACCACCCTTCATTACCTCACTCATGGTTCCTCTTCATCAGTGCTTTATAAACTGTAGTGTGTTTGTGCTGGGAGGAACGTAAGAGAACATGTGGATCACCCCTTTACTCATTTTACACATGAGAAAGATGATACCCCAAGTGATTTTCTCTAAGGTTGGGACATGACTGGGGCTCTCCTTGCGATTTGCCTTTCCCTTCAGTGCGTTCGGTAAACGTTGCATTACCCCCTCTTCAGGGTATTATTCTTTCAGTTCCATATGCCTTTCCTTTCCCCTGGGATGCTGGAGTATTCAGTTTTATTTCTAGGCAAAAGTACTCCTAACTGTGGCCCCTAATTTTTTTTTGTTATGTATCTTTTCTAGAAAGAGAATTTGATTATGCATTGTCCATATGTTTACATACTGTACTCATAAATGAAGTTATAAAATATATGTAAGTTAAAAATGTGGAGAAAAGGGAAGTCTTGTGCACCATTAGTGGGGATATAAATTATTATTGGTATTACGGAAATTAGTACGGAAGTTGCCCGAACAATTAAAAATAGCTGGGTGTGGTGACTCACTCCTGTAATCCTTGCACTTTGGAAGGCCAAGGTGGGAGGACTGCTTGTGGCCAGAAGTTTGAGATCAGCCTGGACAACATAGTGGGATCCTATCTCTACAAAAAATTAAAATTTTAGCTGGGTGTGATGGTGCACGCCTGTAGTCCCAGCTACTTGGGAGGCTGAGGTGGTTGGACTGCTTGAGCTCAGGAGTTCGAGGCTGCAGTGAGCTTTAATGGCACCACTGCATTCCAGCCTGGGCAACAGAGCGAAACCTAGTCTAAAAAAAAAAAAGTGTGTATATAAGTACACACATACACACCCCTCAATAAGGCTAGAGAGAAAAAAATTATATGTAAGTATGGTATTTTTTTTTTCCTCAATCACAGTGGATCAGTTTATGCCTTCCCTGGATCCAGGGTGAACTTGTTTTGAGGACCACTGATCCAGAAAGTGGTGGAGTTAAGTCTGTACCACCAGCTTTAGAATCTCCTGTGGCACTTATTAAAAATACGAATTTTGGTATCTCAACCCAGATTCACTGAATGAGAATGCCTCCTGGTGGAACCTGGGAGTCTACGTTGTCTTCATTTTTATGTTTTTACCAATAGACATGGGGTCTGTTGCCCAGGCTGGTTTTGAACTCCTCAGCTCAGAGTCCTCCCACCTCTACCTTCTGAGTATCTGGGACCACAGTCACAATGCCCAGCAAAGTCTCCATTTTAAACCAGAGGCAAGTCTCCAGGTGCCTCTGAGGTCCAGCGAGTTTGGGGAACCGGTATTTTAGACAGGCAGGGAAGTGTCATTCATGGGTTCATGAGCATGGGACTTCTTACACTGACATCTCAGAAATTGCTCAGCTGTTACTGTTAAATCTACAGTGATACAGTTAGCACTCTGGAAAATCAGATGGGCAGTTTTCATTTGAGTTACATATGAGGGACTATAACCTGCATAATCATACATGGAATTTCTTAAAACTCCTTGGCATTCTCTATGTGGTTTTTTGATTTGTAAATCCAAATATTTGCTATTGTGCCTCAGTCTTTTTTTCCTCATTAGAAATCTAAGCTCTCCCCGCCCCCTCCTGGTGCTGTTCCTTGAGGGGCTGTGTTTTTATTTCTGAGCTTTTCCCATTTGTGTGTGTTCCTTTTGTCTGGAGTATGCCCAACCCCCTCACCTTTTTACCTGGGCAGTTCCTACTATCTAAAAAATTCCCTATAAATGACATTATTTTTCATTCTTAAAATCTAAAGATAATGAAGAACTAGCTGATAATCAGCATTTACCAAAATAGATTTAAGGGTTATTATTTGTAATAACTCATGTGTCAGTAACCTTATGTATGTAAGGATAGATCAGTATCTTGGTTATTAAGCATATACTCTCTGAAACATTCGAATCAAACCAGTGTAAGTCAGATAAATATGTAACAGGAAATTTGTTTCTGACTATTCACTCCAGGTCAATGTATTCCCAGCTGCCTTGTGGGTATCAGGGTTATCTGTTCCAGGATCAGCTTTAGGAAAGCCCCTACTCAAATCTCCATGTAGCAAGAGTGCAGGCTAGTTGAGAACATGTGATAATTAAGGTTAAACAAAAAAATCAAGGCAGAATGACTAGAAATTAGGACAGCAGGGAAAGCAGGGGAAGCGGTTGAGCTGGTAGAAATGGGTAATACCTATGATTATTTCTGGGATCAACAGATACATCCCTGTTGTAGAAGTCCAAAGCAGTCCTTCTTTTTGGTGTCTTTTCCTGCCTTTGGTATGATAAGCCCCCCTAACATCTGGCACACTATTGGGGTGACATTGTGAAGTTACCTCTGCCCACAGTACTTACTCCAGTTTGATATTTTTAAGAAATGCTCACTTTCCACTAGCCATAGTTTATTGGCTTTCAGAAAGTGTCTGGCAGTGAGTATGCCAAAGGTCAAGAATTCTGGCAGAGTTTGATTTATCTCTGCTCCCTTGATAGCAGCTAGCCTTGGAGGCATAGAAGCTCTTGACAAGTACTATGAGTCAGAAGGCCACATGTGACTAGGTCCCTGCCCACCTCTCCAGGGTCAAATAGATCTTGCCTTTTTCCCCAGCCCCTCCCTGCACTGTTCCTGAAGAGGGCTGTGTTTTTCTTTCCAAGCCCTCCCATTTATTTACATTCCTTCTATCTGGAGTACTTCTTACCCCCTCACCTTTTTACCTGGCTAATTCTTATATATCTTTTAGATAATTCTACATAAATAACACTTCTTTCACCTTTCCTAAACTAGAATAGGTATTCCTGCTGTATGCTTCTATGGTCCCCTCATTTCCCCTAGAATAACTTACTACAGTTTTTCGTTCATACTTACTGTTATCCCCCTGGACTGTCTGTTCTGCTAGGATAAGGATTCTTGCTCACCATTTCCTCATTGCTAGGCATAAGGTATGGGACATAGCAGGTTATCAATAAACATTTTT
Organism: Homo sapiens; assembly: GCF_000001405.40. Taxonomy (NCBI): domain Eukaryota; kingdom Metazoa; phylum Chordata; class Mammalia; order Primates; family Hominidae; genus Homo; species Homo sapiens. Next base: position 69,801,167 of record NC_000007.14, read on the forward strand.
TGACTGAATAAAAGCATAATAAAACAATATGTTAATTAATGGGGTGACTGGCAGGGATCTAGTTGCCAATTTCAGCATTGGTAATTAACATGGCTAGATTTAGCTGCTAGGTTCTATGAGAAAGAATGATTAAAAATAAACAGAAAGGAGATGGAAGTTGATACGATTAAAAACATTTTATGTGCCTGCTGATGGACCTAAAACTGGGCAAACCTTTCTGCAAATAAAGCTCTACCTTGATGGTCTTATTGATATACCATATATACATATATATGTATGTATATAAATAAGATATACCTATATATAAAATATTTATACCTATATATGGTATATAAATGAATATAAATATAAGATATATAGGTATATATATGTGGTGTATATATACATAAATATGTTTGTGTATGTATAATAAAAGACATTACTCTCCATTGAAGTGTTTACTACATTATGTACTATCTTAAAACAAAACTTCCCACAGGTGTCAGTACAAACATGCATTTGTTCATTTATTCATTCATTCAACAGTTTTGTTGATTGTTTGATATATGTCAGGCACTTTTCTAGGTGCTCAAGACACAACAGTGAACAAAACAGACAACAATCTCTCTGACTCAATGGAACATGCATTTTAGTGGAAGGGAATGTCAATAAAGAAACGTCTAATATCTAGAGTATTAGAAACTGGTAAGTGCTAGGAAGGAGGAAAGGGGGCCAGGAAATGATGTGATGTGTGCTGTTGTGGTGGTGGGGCATGCAATTTTAGATTCAGTGGCCAGGAAAGGAGTCACTGAGAAGGCAACTCTTGAGTAATTACCTAAAAGGGGGTGAGGAAGTAAGCCAGGTGGGTATTTGGGAGAAGTGAGGTAGGACAGTGTGCATAGCTCTTTGGAATGTGCTCCTCATCCCTCATGTTTATTACGTTGGCCAGACCAGCAGGTTGGGCTTTCAGTGGCCTGTTTGATCAGAATCTGCAAATGTTTCCTGTCTTTGGATAGTTTCCCTGACTAAATCTTAGCCTGAAGACGTATGTTAAGGGGAGAGCGTATGTTTCTTCTTGCCAACTTAGTTTTATGGAAAAGGCCCTAAGGAAAAAGCCTGTCTTTTCCTTTTCATGGGTCAGAATTTGTGTTTTGTTATTTTCTAAGCTCTAGTTTGTGGTGGAACCACCTCTCTCAGATCTTGTTTTTCCTTCAGGGCACAGTGTATTTCTCACTTAAGTAGTTTATGCAGTCTTATCACAGTGTCCCCTGCATGGGGACCTGATAACTTACTCTGATTGATAACGGAAGGGCTTTTCTGTCTACTTCTGTCTCCTTGATGGCTTCCTTATCTGTTGTCCTGTAACACTAACTGTGAACTCATTTCATTAGGTAATGAAATGTTATCTTCTGTAATTGCTTATTTGTGCAGCAGTCTTGTCTCTGCAACTGGAGAGGAACTTTAGGTTCTTTCTGAACCTTAGAGTACTGGCTCATAGTGCCTGTGCTATAACCATCATTGATTGCTGTTGGTCAAAGCACCTGACTTTTTGGGGTAAGTAAACCAACATCTTGCTTTTCAGTGTTTTGTTTTTCTGGATTACCCATCTATGCTTTGGGTTTAATGCTCCTTAGGACTTGGCCTTAGTATGCTGCTGGAGAGCCCAAGGGAACAGTATATTAGTAAGGGATGAATTCTTTGTGAATTCTTAAATCTTCCATTGCGAAGATCTTTGTACAGAATACTGGTTCTGTTTATATTGACAGTTCTTCAGAGAATTGTGTGTTGACTGTTCATGGCAGAAACACCATAAGTTAATTGCTGTTTCAAATTTCATTGACACTTTCCCCCTCATTTGGAGGTCATTTCCTCAAAAATGTCGTTGTCCACATGACAGTTTGTGTATGCTTAATAAAAGAGAATGACAAACCCAAGTTCAGCTGTTGTTACTGGACTGGGTGGTTTTTAGCTCCTCCCACAATGGGCAATAATCAGTTTGGGGTCTCAGCAGAATTATAAATACCTGCATTTCATAGTCTTCCTGAAGGAATTGCTTTACTTGGAATACTGTAGTTCAGACTGCTGATGTACCGTGCACTCCTTTCTCTTTGATGATCAGCTCTGAAGTGCACCAATTGGAGAGAACTCTTGAATAAATGCTGTCACTTGTCACATGTGGTCACTTTCTGGGGACTGTGCATGTGCCAGTGGGGGCCATCTAGAAGCCACCGATGCCCACTAATATAACAAAACTCACTGGGTTTGCTTCTCTATAATGATGTTGGATTGCTTTGCTGGAAATCCTTACCATCTTGGTTTCTCTCCTCTGTTTCCTGTAAACACCAAATAAAAGTCCTTGCATACAAATGTTACCATCTTTGGAAAAAAAAAAAGTCCTTGTAGTTGTTAACAGTTACAGAAAATATAACCTGAAGACTTGGAGTCAAAAAACAAATCCCTGCCTTCCCATACAGTCAGTACCAGCTATAAGCTAATTAAACTCAACTGTTCCCACCTGTTCCCGGGGAGGCCTCTAACAGTGGCACATGCTTTTCTCTTTGGGACTTAACATTTTTCAGAACTCTTTAAATTTCATTTTCTAGGCCAGGCATGGTGGCTTTTGCCTGTAATCCCAGCACTTTGGGAGGCCAAGGCAGGAGGATTGCTTGATTCTATGAGTTTCAGACCAGCCTGGGCAACATGACAAGACACTGTCTCTACAAAATAAACAAACAAATTAGCCAGGCGTGGTTCCAGGCACCTGTGGTTCCAGCTACTCAGGAGGCTGAGGTGGGAGGATCATTTGAGCCTGTGTGGTTGCGGCTGCAGTGATCATTGTTTGCACCACAGCACTCTAGCCTGGGTGACAGAGTGAGACTCTTGTCTCAAAGAAAATTTTTTTTCATTTTCCATTGACACCATACTAAACAACGTGTATTTCCAGAATCAACCTTTATTTCCCTAAGAAAATGTAGATTGTGATGTCCCTGGTGAGCAATAAGTTAATATTGGCTGATAGTATTTGAGCAGCAGTGACAGATAGGAGGAAGACAGGAGGGAAGAGATGGGAGTGTTGCTGGGGGAGTGGGTGTGAAACCATAACACACATATATGGTCACGTACACATCTGTAGTTTACTCAAATGGCATTTTCACAAAGCACAGTAGTGTTGCAGGTATCCCCCAGTGGGCACACAGAGCTTTCAGTCCTCACTGTGTGAAACTTCTCATACCTTTGATGTTGAATTTAAGTTCATTAGTGGCTCCTATAGCATGTCAGAGGTTTACCTCACTTGGTTCCTGACTCAACTCTGAAATGCTGAGTTTAGGGTGGATTTGAAGTGTCACCTTCGTCTCTACTTTCTAAGAGTCAGTAAAGAGCTGCCATGATAGTTAATCCTATAGTGCCTCCAATGAAGACTTAAATATACTTACTAGCCCAGACTTTGCTTTATCATTCTCCTGATCTATTAGTTTTATTCCTGTTGACAGCCAAAATGTAGGATCATGAACCCCACAGTTACATGGATGGTGACAGACCTGAGTTGTTGTCGAGAATCGTGCTGAGTTTTGTTATCACATTTCTTGTCTCGATTTGTAGCATCTCTGGATTTTACTTCTTTACCAGAATAGTGGTTATCAAAGTGTGGTCTTCGAAGCAGCAATATCATCATCATCTGGGAACTTGTTTGCAATGCAGATTTCCAAGGCTCTACCATGACTTCCTGAATCAGAAACCTTTGAGGAGGAAGCCAGCAATCTGTGTCTTAACAAGCCCTCCTGTGATTATACCCAACTTTAAGAATCACTACACAGACAGACGTTGCTTTCCTTTTAGTCTCTTGAGCTTGTAACAGTTGATATTTTAACTTTTATATGAGAGAGGACAGTTATATCTTCCTTTAAACTCTTATTTGGTGCAGTTGATTGTCAGATGCAGAGTGCTGATGTGAGGATGGACTGTGAATATGATCCACTGTGGCAGTGTTTATAGTCTCAGCCCAATGCCTTGTTGACTTAAGTAGCAGCCTTGATAACAGGAGATAAATCTGCAAAGATACTGTGAGGTTACATGGCAAGGCTTTTAAAATACACCAACATTACATTTGTGGCAAGTGCTTTGCTCAATGTTGGCATTTTTGAAGTCACCCTTTACCTCTGCCCCCTGCCCAGAAATTTCCTTGTGAGAAATGTTTTTACGTTAGACAAACTGCCATGGGGGAGGATAGTCAGAAAGAGGAGACAAATAATACGCAGAGGCAGACTTTTTTTTACATTTGTTGCTCAGAAGAAAAAAATTCCAATGAAGAATGAAAGAGGCTTCATATCCTGAATAAAGTAAATGATCTGGGTAGGATGGTACAGGAATAGAATGTGACTATAAAAAAGAACCAAATTGTGCAGACAAGAAAATATGAAGGAAAAAAGAATAGGAAAAAGACAGGGAAAATGCAAATTCTTATGGAATATTTTTGCAAATCTGTGTACAGAAGGAACCAAGCAACGCAGATCAGTTCTTCTGAGGCTGGGAGTTCTAAAAATTATGCAGTATCAAGGAAGGCTTTCTTCCTGAGTCAAGTGTAGGAAGCAGAACCAACCTTTATTTCTCTATGAAGATGTATATTGTGATGTCCCCAGTGAGCAATAAGTTAATATTGGATGATAGTATTTAGGCAGCAGTGACAGAAAGTTTTCTTTCTCCTGACTGAATCTCACACCAAGGTCCCTTTTTATTTTTAATTGTTTAGTTTAATTTTTGTTTTTTGTTTTTTGAGACAGGGTCTTACTCTGTTGCCCAGGCTGGAGTGCAGTGGCGCGTTCATAGCTCAACTACATCCTCAAACTCCTAGGCTCACACGATTCCCCCACCTCAGCCTCCTGAGTAGCTGGGACTATAGGCACGTGACACCACACCTGGCTAATTTTGTAACTTTTGATAGAGACACACACGGTCTTGGTCTTGCTATGTTGCCCAGGCTGGTCTCAAGCGGTCTTCCTACCTCCACCTCCCAAAGTGGGATTACAGATGGGAGCCACCATGCCCAGCCAAGGCTTTTTTTTTTTTTTTTTTTTTTTTTTTTTTTAAACCAGCGTCACAACCACAGAAGAAAGACAAGAGGAAGATATGAAGACAAAACTCAATTTTTTTTACTTAGTGTGTCTAGGTAAAGGTTTAGTAGGAGATAATGTAGAAATGAAATATGATAATAGCTTATTTGTGTTGAGTGCTTTGATGTATGAGGCATTATTCTAAGGGCGTTATACTTGTTGAACTGTCTACTTCTTACAGAGTCTGATGAGCTACACTCTGTTTGTGTATTTGTTTTTGGTGGCTTTTTTGAGACAGAGGCTCACTCCACTGTCCAGGCTGGAGTGCAGCGGTGCCATCACGGCTTACTGTAGCCTCGATTTCCCAGGTTTAGGTAATTTACCCACATCTCAGCCTCCCAAGTAGCTGGGACTGCAGGTGTGCACTACCACGCCTGGCTAATTTTTTTGATGAGCTAGACTCTGTTACCCTCATTTGCTAGTTCATGAAATTGAGGCAGAGAGAGAAAGTAAGCAATCTGGCCAAGGCCACACAGCTAGCAAATGGGATTTAATCCCTAGCATTTTCATTCCAGAGCCTTGCCTTTAGCCATCACACTCTACTGTTTCTCTTCCATAGTCGTCTTCTTTCTTGTGATTCCAAGTTAAAGAATTGTCATGGATGAGCTTTTTCCAGGAGTAAAGGTACTTGTTGGACTCTTCATCAGATTTGGTCGCGGGAAAAGAGGTTGTTGCTCTTCCTTAGAGACCTGTTCTTTCTGCATTTAAAATCTGAGTGTAAATTTTTTTTTAGCTGGAAATTTTAAACGTGTAGCAAGTGTGGCCAGCTTGCTCTTGTAATGTTTAGTTTCCTGGACCTCATGTTGCCTCCCTAAAACTTAAATGGGGTTGTGGTTGCACAACAGTATCATGGAAATGAAATGAATCTTAAGCCTAATGAGTTTGAATAAGATGAGCACAATCTAATTTTGTTTCCAGTCGTTTTTCCTCCTTTAAACAAAGAATATCATGCCAAATTGGAAACATTGGATTGTGTCACTGTGGGTATTTATTTTTTACTACATGTCACCAAGATCCAGATTTGTTGAGTGTATTAGTTACATATGGGGTAAAATTCTGATTTTTTAGGTGTATTAGTTATGTATGGGGTACAAAATTACCACAAAACTTACCATCTTAAAACAGCAAACTTTTACTATCTTAGTTTATGTGGGTCAGGAATTTCTGAGTGACTTATCTGGGTAGTTCTTGCTTGACTTCTCTTTTGAGATTCCAGGAGTAAAGGTACTTGTCAGACTCTTCATCAGATTTGGTCCCGGGAAAAGAGGTCATTGCTCTTCCTTAGAGACCTGTTCTTGTTGCATTTAAATTCTTAGTGTAAATTTTTTTTTAGCTGGAAATTTTCAACCTGTGTAGCAAGTGTGGCCAGCTTGCTCTTTTAATGTTTAGTTTCCTGGACCTGCAGCCGAAATGTTATCTGGGGCCACTGTCATCTGAATGTTTGACTGGAGCTGGAGAGTCTGCTTCTAAGATGGCTCATTCATATGGCTTTTGGCAGGAGGCCTTGGTTTCTCACCACATGGACTTCTTAACATGACAGCTGGTTTTACCAGCGTGACTGATTCAAGAGAGAGAAAAATGACCTAATCTTGCAAGTCAGACACTGTCACTTCTGCCACATTCTGTTAGTCAGAAGCAGGTCATTAATGGCAGCCTGCACTCAAGGGGAGGAGAATTAGGCCCAAGCTTTTTTTTTTTTTTTTTTTTTGAAATGGAGCCTTGCTCTGTTGCCCAGGCTGGAGTGCAGTGGCACGATCTCCCAGGTTCAAGCAGTTCTCCTACCTCAGCCTCCGGATCCTGAGTAGCTGGGACTACAGGCTTGCACTACCATGCCTGGCTAATTTTTGTATTTTTAGTAGAGACGGGGTTTTACCATGTTGTTCAGACTCATCTTGAACTCCTGACCTCAGGTAATCTGCCCGCCTCTGCCTCCCAAAGTGGGGATTACAGGTGTGAGCCACCGCACTCCGGCCAAGGCCGCACTTTTGAAGGGAGGAGCATTAAATTGTGGACGTATTTTAACCACCATAGTAGGCCTGACTCCACACCTACTAAATCAAACTCTCTGGGTATAGTAATTTTCATTTTTAAGATTCTCTCAAATGATTTTTATACACACTTAAAATAGAGGACAACTGGGTATCTAGAAGTAAATGAATGCTATCATGGCACTATACTAGTTTATTTAAAAGGCCAGATGTTTTTCACATGTTTAGCATTCTAAATATTTGAGGTTTGTGGATGAGGTCACTTGGAAGTAAAAAAAAAATTTTTTTTCAGGTTTGCGCTTAGGCACTAAATCATATACTAGGTAATATAGTACACTCTGCTCAGACTGCATTTTATCTGGATGGGCCCTTAGCTTTTTTTCTGTTGCTCATTCAGGCAGATGAGCCCCACTCTAATGTAGCCTGTGGTATCTGACCAGCTGCTCTCAGTGCATATAGCCCAAGCAGGAGCTGTAGCTCCTGATTAGAAAGAATGAAGTATATGTCTGGGCAGGGCAAGCCAAAAGGGATTCTGAGGTTCTTGTCTCAAGATCCAGGGTGAACCAGGCACCATCTGATGATGGTCTTTGGCTCATTGGCTCCTACAGCTGCATACTTTGTTAGGAGACATGAGGGGTACAGAACCAGGAGTTTGCAAAGAACAATCATTTGCCTTCTGGAGCCCTTCTAACCTGGACATCACACCCTTTTGATGTTAAATGACAGACGTCTGGCTCTGTGTGACATCATACCTATCTTATCTTAGTGTACCTCAGCTAACCTCCTGAGGCTTTTGGTGGGGAATCAGGCCTCATTCCCCATCATAGACATAATTTCCTTTTTTTTTTTCTGAGATGGAGTCTCGCTCCGTTGCCCAGGCTGGAGTACAGTGGCGCGATCTCGGCTCACTGCAAGTTCCGCCTCCCAGGTTCACACCATTCTCCTGCCTCAGCCTCCCCAGTAGCTGGGACTGCAGGCACCCGCCACCACGCCTGGCTAATTTTTTGTATTTTTTTTTGGTAGAGACGGGGTTTCACTGTGTTAGCCAGGATGGTCTCCATCTCCTGACCTCGTGATCTGCCCGCCTTGGCCTCCCAAAGTGCTGGGATTACAGGCGTGAGCCACCACGCCTGGCCGATCATAGACATCATTTTCTTACCTTCCCATTCACATTAGCTCTTAGCCATCTGAATGCATGCCTACAAGGAATGCAATTGGTTGCTTAAGAACGGAGGAAACATGTTATGGAAATCTATACTTCTCTTCAAATGTTTGTACCACTCACCTACCCAATTCCCTTCCCACCCCAATCAAAAGACAAATACCCATGCTCAGAACCTGGGGGCTCACATTTTACCTGAAATTCCACAAGTAACAGAAGCACACATTTAGGGGATAAAACCCTAGAGAGAGAGTAACACAATCCTGGCTGCCATCTCAGAACAAGAGAGCATTGTACCCAGAGTCCATGATCACATACTGGAATGACTGTGTGACGGAGCTGACATGCCCCAATAGGTACAACAGATTGTTCTGCTTGTAACCAATCAATACCACAATTAACAAATATTTATTGAACACCCCGGAAGCACCCTGGTATATACTGTCCTCATCAGCTATTTGTTAGAATAACACGAAACCTCCTGATCCTCTGTCTGCCTTCAGGCTTGCCTCTGCCCCAATAAAATCAATTCTCTACATCAAAACCAGAGTGACTTTTCCTAAAATATACACATTTGACCAGGTCATTTACCTTGAAATGTTCTGGTTGATGTTCAGCATCCAGATAAAGCCCACACTTCCCAGCATGACCTAAGAACCTGACCGTGTGACTCTGCTTCCCTCTTACAGCTTCTCCACACATGTTCCAGCGTCCAGGCACTCTCCACTCCTCGTGCCTCCCACCATGCCCACCTCTCTTGTCCTTCCCATCTTTATGTGCCACATAACAGCGGCTAAGAGTGCCGGCGTCAGAGCTCATAAGGCTTTGATTCAAAACCCAACTCTATGACTTAATAATTGTAGAGTCTTGGGTAAATTACTGGATGTTTCTGAGCCTCAGATTCTTCGTATACAAAAATAAACCACCAGCCTCACAGGATTCTCATAAGGATTAACTGTGATCATATTTAAAATGTTTAGCACAGTGCCTAGCCCATAATTAAGACTGAGTAAATATTGCTATTGCTATATTGATGTATGGAAAGCCCTTGGCACACAGTAGTTGTTTAATTAAAAAAAAAAAAAGATCCTTGTCTCCGGGAGCCTCAGTTTTTTTTTGATCATTGGAACTTCTCAGTGTGACATTCAGAGTTTGATATAGGAGTGGGGATGGCATTGGTGTGGGTAGAGAACTAGGGTTTTGAGGGAAAGAGAGAGAAAGTTGATAGGAGGAGCATAGATGTAAAAACCATTGTGTGTTTCCATGTGATCTTCCTTCCGTTTGAATATGACTAAAAATGTCATTCGTTTTGGGGCAGGGAAAAATGGTAGACTAGGATTCGGAAGAAACTGACATTCTGACGTTGAGTAAGTCACTGCTTTGCGCCTTTATTAGTTCATATGTAAAATTGGTTCATCAGATACTGTTTTTGAGAGCTTTTTAAAGACTAGAAAACATAACGTGAAATAAAATGACAATATTATACCCCTAATTCTACATTTACAGCATATTCAACATTTTTTTGAAAGCAACATTTTTGTTTACACATAACAGATGCTGAAGCACACAGCCCCCTAGAAATGGAGGTTGCCAGGAGGATAAAGAAGATCATGAATGCTGCCAGTGTCTCTAATCTTTGCCCTCATTCCTTGTGTGTCTCTCATTTGAGAAGTTCTCACCTTTCCTGGGGGTTCTCTGGCCAGAGTGTTTTTACTCTGCACCACTCTACCTGCCGTTGACTGGGTTACCTTCATAAAAGAGGAATCTGAAGGGCCTTATGGGAAGAGTACTGCTGGTGGACACATGGAATCAGGAAGCATAGTTTGAAATCTAGCACAGATTAAAACTTGACCTAACACTCAAAAGGTTTTCTTCTCTGTGATCTAGGGCTCTCTGTGGTCACCATATTGCATCACTATGAGGTTTAAGATGAATGTGTGGGTACCTAGCAAAGGTCTGGCATGTGATGGATACAGGACAGTCTTGTCTTTTCCTACTTGGACACCTGAGATAGTTCCCCAGTGTACCCTGAATATCTGAATCCAAAATCTTCAGTCAAGAAGGAGCCTCTACGGACTAGATCCAAGCCTCCCTTTCTGATCTTATTTCTATTCATTACCTTCATGCTCCCCCTCCCGTCCATAATAATTATCCTCCAGACTCAAGGCCCTTCACGTGATTTTTAGTTTATTACACCTTAGCTTTTCCTTTCTTCTGTATAGACTTTGCTGTACCTGCAATAAGTGATACCTTTCCCAGGTCCATGGGACTTGAAAATCCTGTTTCCATCAAGCTTTTCCGCAAACCACCCCTCCTCACCAGGTGGGAGCCATCGTTCATTCCCTGTTCCCCCAATGCATGTTGTTTTGCTTCTATTATAGCTCTTATCACAGTCTGCCTTGTAGCATAGTCATTTCTGTGTGTTTTCCCTCTGGATTCGGAGCCCCTGGAGGGCAAAGACTATGTTTTATTTTATGCTGTATTTCCCCACCCCCACAGTGCCTAGTGCAGTAGGGGTTTGGTAAATACTGCTTGAATCAATGCATGAATGAAATTGCCTCTCCTAGTTCTGTTTGCAAGGCTGTAATGCAGACCAGGTGAATGTAGAATTTTGGCTTACTGGATTTAGTTTAGCATAGGAAGGGAGTTTTCCAAGAAGCAATAGTGGTTTTGAAAACAGAAATTGCCTTTAATCTTGTGGAAAACATATGCCAGCCCTCTCCATAATAGTCTCAATTACAGGAGAGCATCGTGTTACTGTAAAAACACAAATAAATAAACCCATGACAATACTGTGTTTGGGAGATAAAAACCACATAAAAGCCATCTTTCCCCAACTCTCCAGCATCATAATTAGGGTATTTCTGGGAGGAGAAAAAAAAGACACCAGCAAAAAACAAGTGATACTATGTTTAAGAACACTTCTTGCTATTGGCAAGATGGGAGTAGGGAGTTAGATTTTCCATACAGCACAAATACAAGGGTTCTTCCCAGCTCCTACCAGGCTTGATGCTATATAGATTACACTGCATGATAAATTTGGGCACTAGAGGTGCCAAAGATGGTGGCAGAACCTGGAGGGCAGAAAATGTCACCCAGAAGGTGATGCTGTGAAATTTATTGCTCTGCCACACTTTACCTAAACATGTCCTATTATTCTGAATGCTGGGTCTTCATTGGCTCAGGGATGCCCTTGGTGCGTCCGTTGCCATGGGCTACAACTTTCAACTGTATTTTGTTTATTGCTGGTCATTTAAGTCTCTATCTGGTTTTTTTTTCTTTTAACTTGAGGGCTCCAGATTTAGGTTCTTTTGAGGTAAGAGTAGGAATGACTTTGAAATATTGCCTACTTTTGTCAGTATTAGTTAACAAGCACTGAGGGCTGAATGACACTGAACAGAACCCAGCCATTTCTCAGCACCTCTGTTGCCACTACCCTGGTCTGAGTTGCCATCATGTTTCACCTGGACTGCCTCAGTAGCCTCCCACCTGACCTCTTTGCTCCTACTTTGCCTCCCTGCAGAGTGTTCTTCACTCAGCAACCAGAGTGGCCCTTTTAAAATGTACTTTAGATCATATCACTCCTCAGTTCAAAATCCTCCAGAGTGCCTCCCATTTCACTAAGAATGCAATTCAAAGACCTTACTTACCATGGCCTACAAGACACTGCACGGTCTAGTGCCTGCTATCTCTCACCCCATCTCCTACTATCCCCTTAGATTAATCCTCTCTGACCCTTCAGCTTGCTTGCTGTTCTTGAACCTGGTCAAGCATTTCCCAACTCAGAGTCTTTGCATTATTGTTCTCTTAGCCTGGAACATTTGGTCCCAGATATAAACACATGGTTCATACTCTCACTTCCTTCAGGCCCCTGAGTGTCACCTTGTTGGGGAGGTCCTGTCCACCTGTATTTCTATTGCTGGAGCAAGCACTTAGGAAGTCTTTGTTGGAATTGTGAATAAGCATTGCCCAGAGATTCTAGCACATTTGGAAAAAGAGAGTGTGGTTTAGAAGGACAGTGGCTCTGGAGTTGGAGCAGTTGGGCACTGCTGGGTTTGCCTGCCCCCCATTGGATAGATGGCTGATGTTGGGAAAATTATTTAACCTTTCTAAGCCTAGGTTTCTCTACTAGTTAAATGAGATTATGTCTATCTCTCAGAATCGTTGTGAAGAGTAAGTCAGATAATGACTGCAAAGTGCTTGGCAATGAGTCTTGTACACATACTGGGAGGCTTCCTAAATACCACTTCTCACAAATCCTACTTCCTGCTTGTGAAATCATGTTATATGGAAGAAGGGGAGTGTCTGAAAATGGTTTGAATCTTGTGTGTAATTCTCAAGTACCAGCAAGTAGTTGTGATTATATTTAAAGCACCTAGCCCTGTGCTTGGCATATGGCAGGCCTTAATAAATACCCAAGTCTTCCTGCTTTTAATCATCAGACTTAGACTCTGGGTGTGAACTAAGGTAGCTCTGTGGGCACACAGGGATTTTGGTAAACAGAAAAAGAAGTCAGCAGCTGAGGTAGGGGTGGTTCACAGTCTTGCTTGTGGTTCAACAGGGACTGCATTTATGAAAATGGCAAGTGAGCCCAGGGCAATTGGAACTTTGGGCCTTGCCAGCAAGTGTGGTATTTCAGTTTACATCCTCAGAGTAAGTACAATTTCACCATTATTCCATTGAGGCTCTCCTTGCCAAGAAAAACCCATTGTAAATTTCTGGTTTAAAGGTTCTGCAGTTTTAGGGAGTTGTACTTTTTGTTGCTTTAACATTTTCTTGGCACCACACATTTTAAGCTGCACTGGCTTACCTTGTAAATAGTATACACATTTTGTGAAAAGCTGAACCACGTCATTTGTTTTCCTATGTTCCTTATGGGAAATGGTGATGCTTCTGCCCCACTAGTTCCCCTGGGTTTCTGATCAGGCAGTTTGGAGTGAGAAAATGAGACTGAGACAAAATATAGATTGTCAGCAAGAGATTGGAGCTGTATTCACAAAAGCACTTTGTGGACATGGTAGAGCCAGGCAGGAGAGAAAAGTCTGTGGCCGGCAGGGTGTCTGTGTGACGTGGACCCATTGTGTGTATGGGCTCCTCCCGCTGTACCAGTGGCCAGCTCCCAGCCAGGCCACCCGGGCGAGGGCCTCTGAAGCAGAGAGCCCTGCACAGTCTGGAGCCGCTCTAACCCAGTGTACTGAATAGGACTCCAAAGAATAGGAGCTGTGTTCCCTTTGTCACCTGCAACCCTGCTTTCAGCCTGCACAGTGAATGTGCACTTGGGGGCTGAATTGGCACTTGGAAAAATCTGCAGGAACTTTGTGTGTGCACAGCGTGTGCCCAGCGGTATGGGCGAATGGAGCGTGCACGCTGGAGATGTCTGGGGGCTGGGTGCTTGCAGAGGAGGGCTGACCTCTTTATGCTGCAGGGTTTGCCAAGAATGCTCCGCCCTTGACAGTGTTGTGGCCAACAGAAAAGCATTCGTGGCATCTTAATGAAAGGCAGCAGTTCCTTTTTTCAAGAATGATAGGCATTCTTTTCTTGAGCGAGGTCCCCATTTAGGGATGGAGAGAGAAGCCAATTATTTTTCAGTTAAAATTTATTTTTTAAAATAGTGATGCCTCAGTTGTAAATTACCCTGGCTTTGCCATGAAGACATTTACAGCTAGCCTTCTGACTTGGTTTTAAGTTGCTGCCTTGTAGAATAATAAAATAGTAGCCCAAACTGTGATAAGGCATCAAAGACTTTCATATCCTATCTGTGTAGCTGATGTGCGTTGCTCCATAGCTAGAAAATGGATATATTTTCTGAAAGGGAATGGGTGTATTTCCCTTTACCTTGCAGCTTGCACATAATCGAACACTTCTTTTATTGAAATTGGGGGTTTTCTCCCTTGGACTTAATAAGGAGATATAGATATCTATATATCTATATATCTATATCTCCTTAAGAGGGAGTTTCATAAGTTCAAAAGTTGTCAGGTTGAAAGGATTGAGGTATTGGAAACAACAATCTTAAAGTTACCTTTGGAATGATAGATCTTTGAAAAAAACAGGTAGTTTATAGTACATTGGAGGAAATGCTCTGTTGTTTTGCATCTTCTCCAGGCCTCTTTATGACTACTTTTTTTTTGAGATGGAGTCTCACTCTGTCGCCAGACTGGAGTGCAGTGGCATGATCTCAGCTCACTGCAACCTCCGCCTCCCAGGTTCAAGTGATTCTCCTGCCTCAGCCTCCCAAGTAGCTGAGACTACAGGCACATGCCACCATGCCCAGCTAATTTTTGTATTTTTAGTAGAGACAGGGTTTCACCATGTTGGCCAGGCTGGTCTCGAACCCTTGACCTCGTGATCCACCTGCCTTGGCCTCCCAAAGTGCTGGGATTACAGGTGTGACTACTTTTTTAAATGCTTCAATGAAACTTAACATGATGACCTACACATTTCAGCTGCGCATATGTTCTACCTGTTAATGGTGAGATACAACAGAGCCATCTTTGACTACTTCACGCTGTTTACTCTAAGAGGCCTGTATCATTAGATGACTTCCTGTTGGAAGCAGTAATTTGTGTTTGGACTTGGGTGACTGTCAGTATGAATCTAGCCAAGAAAGGTCATGTCACCTGCTACACAGTTTGCTAGAGGGAATACAGGCCAAGCCTTTTGCCTCTGAAATCAAAGTACTGTAGAAGGTGTAATAGAAATGATGCCTAGGTTTGTGTATTCAGGGCCTGAGTTTCTGATTAAAGCTGTTAACAATGGGGGCAAGCTTTCCCCGTGGGAGACAGGCTTCTTGGATCTAAACCTTTCTGACATCTCAAAGCTTTATTTCCTGATGATTTCTAAAAGGGAAGGAGCCAGCCCCTTGAAATTAAAATATCGACTTACATTCCGTTCTCCCCAGACGGAAGAATATTAGCAGATTGAATCAGTTGGGGTTAGTACTTTCTTTTATGTGTTAAACTCAGTTATTCTGGCTAAGATCAGATTTTTGTCTAGGACGGAGCTGAAACACATGCGGAATCTTGTTGGTTGAGGGCTGGAAACGAAGGTTGGCTTCACACAGGTTGCTTCTCCAAACCGTAGGTAAGCTCTTCGGCCCCGTGCACAGCATTCACAGCTGCTGTCTGCTGCGCTTTCTTGCTCCATCCTGTCTAGTCTCAGAAGTTTCATGGTACTAATATCTTGGATCCTTACAAAGGACTGACTTTTGACCCAGTTGACTGATAACTATAGAGTACTTTACAGTTTACCAAGAGCTTTCCTTCATGTTTGCTCTTTACATCAAAATTACAAGATGGGTTTTATTATCCACATTCTTTTTGTAGATATGAGGGCCAGAGAGGTTATGAGTTAGCCAAAGTCTATCCAGTAATTGACAGAGCCAAGATTCTAGGCTGGGACATCTGATTCCAAATCTACTGCTCTTCATGCTCCTTTATACTGCAGCTACTTACCTGCTCAAAGTATGTCATTCACTCATTCGTTCAGCAAGTTCTTGGTGGCATGGGCTTTGAAGCCAGACAGCTGGGTCCCAGTATCTGCTCACTAGCTTTGTGACCTCTGTTACCTCTTGGAACCTCAGTTCTTTCATCAGCAAAATGAAGATAGTAATAGTACCTATCTAGGAAGGCTGTTGTGGAGTCCTTTAAACAGTGCTCTGGACATAGCAAATACTCCATAAATGTTTGCCATTCTTCTTCATCATGGGCTCACTCAGTGGTACAGGGACTCCACACCAGTGACAGCACTGCTGTTGAGGATCACTTGTTCTGATGCAAATATGAAAATAGAAGACTGACAATTGCATAGTAAAGGGATTGCTAAGATATAAGCAGGATGCTGGGGAAGCTTGAAGGATGAACAGCTGTGTTTTCGATTGCCAAGAACTCGGCTCTCTAGCAGCTCACCCTTGTTGCCTCTACCCCTATTTGGTCACATTCCTGTCTTACTCATTCCTTGCTGAAGGCAGTATTTAATGTGCAGGGGTTTTATGGGTACTTTGTGTATAACCTCTTTGAGGAGGAAGAGAAGGAGAGTATGTCTGGCTAAGGGAACCTTAGTGGTCATTTGGGATTATAAGACCTATATTTAACAGTTGGAGGACTGTTCAAGACAAAATAGATTCCAAGGTTCTGGTGTGCAGTGTTCTGTCTGAGCACCACAGGATATCATATGTGAGTGGCTTCCAGTGGGTTGCTGAGGGAGGGGACTTTGTGGGGGAAGTAGGCCTTGAGTTGGACCTGAAAGAAATGAGGATTTGGATTATGAGTAGCAGAAGCGTGGAGAGCTGGGCAGAGGTGGAGTTATGATATTTAAACCATGGCCTGCCTTGGGTGGCGGGACAGCCCTGCCCGGGGATGTGGGTGGTCCAGGAGGCAGGTGCTGTCCCCTCCTGCATGAGAACCTGCCTCTGGACCCCAACAGGATGCACACAGCTTATCCCCACCCTCTGCAAAGCTACCTAATAATATCTTTGTGTTTATGGTAATGTTTTTTGCTGATTTGGTGGGAGATAAAACCTAGAGAGACCCACAGCATGGATGCTAGGTCTGAGTGGGTCTGTGAGCTGCAACCTAGCTGCAGCCCCTTTGTTTGTGAGCTGTTTGCCTGCATTTAAATGCCATTTACATAAGGAGCTGTCAGAGTTGAGTTGGCCCATGATTATTCCTTGATGTATGTTGAAAAAAGAGAAGAAAAGAAAACCCTGGCTAATGAGGAGCTGGGTTCCTTTTCTCCATTGATGACAGCTTCCTTTCTGATCTGATGGTCCGTCAGAAACTAAGGTGGTGTGTGACTGTGGGGTTATGTCCCCGCTGAAGCCGTCTTTTCCTCAGAGTTGTAATTGATGGGGAGACCTGTCACTTGTTATGCTGATGCTGTGCAGATTTTTGTGCAGCTGCCAGCCAAGAGAGTTGTAGGACAGCATCTGATTGGGTGCAGGTTGTGGCAAAAATGATAATAAATAGAGAGCTGGTGAGGGTAGATTTTGATTGACCCGAGATTGTATATTATTAAACTGGAGTCTGCATGTACATGTCAGTTTATGAAGAACCAGACCCATAATCCAACTTTAGGACTGTGGCAGTTCGGGTTTATTAAATGTGCTTTATATCACTATTAATATTGAGGAGCAAAGAGGAATATCTGTAATCTTTTAATCTATGCAATAATGGTTTGGAGGGAGATTACCAGATACATTGGACTATTGTTTGTCTATAATTGTATTCAGAACTCTCCGAAGCATTGATTTGTTTCTGGCATGCTGATTTGGCTCAGCAGTCTCATAAAGCTCTTTTATAGTCCTCTTTGCTTTGTGTTTTCCAAAAATAATTGGAGAATAATAATAATGTGGCTGGCGATAAAGAAGAGAGAGTAAGGTTGAAAGCAAATTTCTAGCCGAGTGGATAGCCATAAACATCTTCTATGCTCATAAACACCTGGGTCTGTGACCTTTGTGTTTATAAGATATTTATCGCCTCATGGGCTCTCTGTTTGGGGGTTACCACTTCAGTGCCTTGTAAAATTTGATTGTGTTTAGTAAGTAGATTCTGAATTTTTGCTGAGTAGGGAAAAAGTGCCCCTCACCTTTGTTTTCTTTGGAACAACCAATCTGCCAAGAGGGGCAGATCTCACCAAGGACAGGAGCAGAGAGCTTGGGTGTGCCTGAGTTTTGTGGAAATGGTACAGTGGGACCCAGTAAGGGTATCTTTTGTACTTGATTAAGTGGCTTGTGATGGAAATGACTTTTGAACGGAAGGGAATTGTGCAACACATCAAATAAACTCAAGCAGTGTCGATGGGTTTTCCTTTTCCAGTAGAAATGGAATTTTTGATTCAAGTCGAGGAAGCTTTCTTGGGATTTGGATTTTTGCCACTTCCTCACCCTTTCTTCCCATTTCCAAAACAGGCCTGAGGAAATGAGCCAGAGAAATGGTCAAATTCAGTTTCATTGACTTTAATACGAAGGTATGACTAAGTGCTGCAAAAGCACAGTTGTCTTCTATCTTCAGCAGTCCTCTAAACATTTCTTGGGGAAGTTTTAGGCACTTTGTCAACCTCTATTGTCCTCCTGATGGTGTTGCTTAATTACTCTTGAAGGAAACAGTTGGATTCCTGTGAACTGATGACAGGTGTATGCTGAGCTGCCTGTGTAAACTATTGGCTGCCTGTTCATGTTGTGCACAGTGGATCAGAGGCATATGGGAGAATGTGCCAAAACGGGAATCTTAAGGGAGTTTTTTAAAAAGTAAAAATTGTTTGCTTTTTTGCTGTGGTGCGAACATGGCTCACTTCCGCCTTGACGTGCTGAGCTCAAGTGATCTTCCTGTGTCAGCTTCCCAAATAGCTGGGACCATAGGCACATGCCACTGAGCCTGGCTAATTTTAGTGTATTTTTGCAGAGACAGGGTCCCACTATGTTGCCTAAGTGGGCTCAAGTGATTCTCTGTGCCTTCCAAATCATTAGGAATACAGGCCTGAGCCACTGGGCCCAGCC
Organism: Homo sapiens; assembly: GCF_000001405.40. NCBI lineage: Eukaryota > Metazoa > Chordata > Mammalia > Primates > Hominidae > Homo > Homo sapiens. The sequence continues at coordinate 69,819,899 of NC_000007.14, forward strand.
CCCAGTAAGCTTTATTATAACTCAACTAGCTTCATTATAACTAAAGTATGAGCCAGTCTTGAGGTGTATAGGACCTATATTTATCAAAGGAGACTGTTCTACCTAAGACTTAGTTTCTTGTCCTATGAGGTTAATTGCTGCTGCATTTCATGGAGTTTATGAGATGTGCTTCCCTCTGCCCTTCTTCAATCAGATGGTACTGCCTGGGAGTCATATACATGCAGGACTGATAAAGAGCGGCTCCCACAGTGGCAGTACCTACAGTGGACTGTGCTGTAGGTAAAGGGAAGCTCCATCACACTGGCATGTGGGAACTGGACTAAAAGGCCACGAATCCCCCAACACTTACTCTCTGCCCAGCTTTGTGAAATACAAAATAATTATGAGTTCCAGACTCCAGAGATGCTTTCCACCTAGTTGGGGAAGGAGAAGTTTAGGTCAGTGGTTCTCTAAGTTGGTCCCCAGACAAGGAGCACCCTAATTCTCTGGGGATTTGTTAGAATTGCAGATTTTGGGGCATCGCCCAGACTAACAGAATTGGAAACCATGGATGGTGTTTTACAAACTCTGCAGGTGATTCAGATTTATGCTAAAGTTTGACAACTCCTGCTTTAGGTTCATCAGTTCCAGGGGGAATAAATGAGTAAACAAGGCACATAGAATTAAGGGCTTCCTATAGGGCACAGCGAAGGAGAGAATAAGGTGCTTTATAGCAGGATGCTAAGCTGGACTGTCAATCATGTGGGAAAGGGGTCAAAGACTGGAAGAGCAGGGATCATCAAGGCAGTGTTTGCTGGGGAGAGAAGTTATTGAGCCAGGTTTTGAGGACTGAATAGGAGAGAAAGAGGTAGAGTAGCATGAATGAGCTCAGATGTGATAGGGAGGGTTCTGTTCCTTCAAGAGCTTAGTTAAGTGTAGTGAAAACACACACACACTCCGGACAAGAAAAATTAATGTAAAATCAACTATAGAACTTAGGCAGGTTTATGAAGAAGAAAATATATTCCTCACAAGTTGGATTCCTGTGAGTTCATCTCTTTTATTACCTCTGGCAATGGTGCAATTAATTGGGGCCAGGGCTCTGCACCTGGAAAGGCTTTATAACGTGAGATTCTCAAGAGGAAGATTTTATTTGCCTAAGGCTACTACTTTAAAAGTGAGAGAGGCACTCATGAAAATTAGGGGTAACTGTAAAAAGTGATAAGCTGCTCAACATAGATTCAGTGCCCAGTATGTATAAAGTGCTGTGTGTATACTGGAGAGAGGGAACTGGAATCTAACTTGGGGATGGGGGTGGATCCAGAGGAGTAGAGATATGAAGAAATACACATTTAAGTCCAGTAAGTTTTTCATGCACCTGTAGTCCTGAGAGGTGAAGCCAGCTGGACGTCCTGGGTCGAGTGGGGACTTGGAGAACTTTTCTGTCAAGCAAGAGGATTGTAAATGCACCAATCAGCACTCTGTGTCTAGCTAAAGGATTGTAAATGCACCAATCGGCACTCTGTAAAATGGACCAGTCAGTGCTCTGTAAAATGGACCAATGAGCAGGACGTGGGCAGGGACAAATAAGGGAATAAAAGCTGGCTACCCCAGCCAGCGGTAGCAATGCAGCACTGATCCCCTTCCATACTGTGGAAGCTTTGTTCTTTCTCTCTTTACAATAAATCTTGCTGCTGCTCACTCTTAGGGTCTGCACCACCTTTAAGAGCTGCAACACTCACCGCGAGGGTCTGCAGCTTCATTGCTGAAGTCAGGGAAACCATGAACCCACCGGGAAAAACAAACAACTCCAGACGTGCCACCTTTAAGAGCTGTAACATTCACCTTGACGTCCAAGGCTTCATTCTTGAAGTCAGTGAGACCAAGAACCCACCAGAAGGAACCAACTCTGGACACAGTCCAAGCTACTCCAGAGGCTGAGGTGAGAGGATCGATTGAGCTCAGGAGGTTGAGGCTGCAGTGAGCTGTGATTGCACCACTGCACTCCAGCCTGGGCGATAGAGTGAGACAGGGTCTCCAAAAAAAAAAAAAAAAAAAAAGTCTAGTAAGTTTTTGTTTTCCTTTAAAGGCAGAGGGGAGCCACTGAAGGTTATTGAGCAGGGAAGTAACAAGATTAGAGTTGTAATCATGAATCTAATTAAAAAATCAGTGACTGGAGGGAAGTAGATGGGTTAGAAGGCTAGTCTAGTTTTAATACTGTGAGGCAGATGAGAAGGGCTTGAACTAGCAGAGTTCTAGAAAAATGGTGATGTAAGCAACAATAGAGTCATATTAGTTAAGGGTGAGAGGGAAGAAATATTTACAATTCACTGTGGACCAGCCACTTATGCCTGTCATTGGTAGAGCTTAACCATCACAATTTTAGCAACACAGAGATTGATTTTTATAGAAGGTCCAAAGGATATGTAGCTTGGAGACATATTCAAGATTTGACTCATGCTGGGTGTTATGGCTCACACCTGTAGTGGCTCACAGCTACCTGGTAGGTCAAGGTGGGAGGACTGTTTGAGCCCAGGAATTGGGACCAGTTGGGCAACACAGCAAGATCTCATCTCCAAAAGCAAAAGATTTGATTCAAGCCTGCCTGCCTGCAAAGCCTGTACCCTTTTTGCTCTAGATTCTAGACTTTGGCGAATAGAATGATACATTTTGTTTATAATTGGACAGTTGTTGATCTTGGCAGAAGTGTTGACTGCTGGGAGGTGTTAAGAGAAAGGAAAAAGCAGCATAAGATATGGAAGTTTGTTTGATGAAACTGTATCTCAAAGAGTTTAAGAGTTTTAGCACAGGACAGATAGAATCTTGCCCCACCCAAGATGATGGAAGAACAAAACAAAGTCTGTGCTGTTTTCTTTGTTAACCAGAGTTGAGAGTGGAGTCCAATCCAATATCTGCCTAGTGGGAGTCTCTTGAGTCCTGATCCCATGAGATCATACATATGGCTGCTACTCCTGTTGTGAGGAAGGTTGCAATTTTAGAAATAAACCTGGAGCTTTTGAAGGTCCTATTTATTACTTCAGCCCACTTACTGCCGAGGTCCCCATGTTTTGCAAGTGACAAAAATAAATCTAAAATGGAAAACTAGGGAGAAGGTGAGAGAAAGTGTCCAGAGAAACTGGGGACTTTGAGTTGTTTGGTCTAAGCTACTTATTTGCATTTTTGTCTCCACTTCCTAGCAAGCATATTGGTACTTAGCAATGGTGGGAGGAAGGCAGAACTGTAAAAAAAACGAAGTCATCATTCTATCCTTACACTTGAGTTTCCTTTCAGCAACCTCTCTCTCCCTTGTCTTTGTCCCGTCTCATAACTTAGGCGTGATGTGCTGCTGTATCTGCCTTGCTGCCTTCTCCTGAGTGGAAGCTGCAGCTACAGTGTTGGTTATTACACCTGGCAATTAGATTGTGCAGGACAGTAGTTGGCTAGGAATGGCATAAGGTTGCATGCCTCGTTAAATCTGAACTCCACTCAGCATAGACTCTTGTAGAAGCAAGGGGGATTTGTTTAGGTAAGGAGCCCTTGAAAGGAGCCTGCTTGTTGAACTGTATGTTGAGCAGCAGTGATGAAAAGATGCCTAAACATGTGTCCCACAGCAGCTACAGTCCATCAGCATTGGACACATTGGTAGATCACCCCTGCTGTTAACACAGGTCTTTTCAGCTTACTCGTTTGTGTACTTAACTGTTGAGTGCTCTTTTAATTAGGGGCGACTAACATCAAAGTACTATAGTTGTGCCGGGCCTGCTAATCAACAGGTTTCACTTATACTGGGGATCACTTCAGCTTTACACCACCATTATCATGACATTGATTTTTCTGTGCACATAAAAGGAAGCACTTACTGAATACAGGAAAAAATCATGATTGCTAGGTGGAAAAAAAAACAAAAAACCAGCAAGAGGAACTCAGTTACCCAGGGAAAATGTAAACGTTTCATATGAACATTGACAGTGAAATGGATTTGATGAGTTTTGAGGTGATTTTGTTAGATACTTTGAGAGAAATTGAGAATTCTGTATTCCGAAGAGACAGCCGGACTTGAAACTCTAGAGGTATGATTTTGACCAAGACCTGAACTTCTCTTTGCCTCAGTTTTTTCATCTATAAAATAGGGTTAGTAATAATACCAACCTCACTGAGATATTGTGAGGATTTTGTGAGATATTGTGAGATTGAATGATTAGCTTAGTCACTGGATGTAAGTACTCAAATTATAGCTATTAATAAGTGTGATACGGCTGGGCACGGTGGCTCACGTCTGTAATCCCAGCACTGTGGGAGGCCGAGGTGGGCGTATCACAAAGTCAGGAGTTCGAGACCATCCTGGCTAACACGGTGAAACCCCATCTCTACTAAAAATACAAAAAATTAGTCGGGCATGGTGGCACCTGTTGTCCCAGCTACTCAGGAGGCTGAGGCAGGAGAATGGCGTGAACCTGGGAGGCGGAGCTTGCAGTGAGCCGAGATCGCGCCACCGCACTCCAGCCTGGGTGACAGCGCGAGATTCTGTCTCAAAAAAAAAAAAATAAGTGTGATACTTAATGTCATAAATCATTGTTATTATTTCTGAGAACTGATATCTTGTGGTCCATTGTTGTGGCAGAAGTATAATTTATATAGGAACCGAAACCAGCCCTCGATTTTTTTTTTTAATCGCCGATCTTGGTTGGGCTTCACTATCATTTTCATCAGCTTCACAACCCCTCAGTTCTGAGAACCCTCCTTGCCATACAAGCCACTGGAGTGTCTGCGTTTCCTTTCTGTGGACATTGTCACCTTTCCCTTCATTTTGGTAAGGCCATGGAAACAGAGCAATCAGATAAAAGACCTGGGCATTTGGCACTTTCATTGGCCATACTTCTCCTTCTGGCTTGAGTTTATATGTGGTTTGGGGTAGTTACTGGTGAAATTGAGCTTTGCAGCTGTCTACTTAATCTGCATTTCCTGATCTGCTTTGGCTGGCAATCAAAAGCTGTATCTATTTCGGAGATTGCGCAATAAGACTTTTAATGACAAGTTAAAAGACAAAGGGTTGGTGGGATTGAACCTTATGCAGAAAATACTTCACTATACTTCGGTGGCTCCTGTTTACTGGTGATTTTGTGTGGATAGTAACTTAAAATCAAGAAACATTTTTGCTAACATATTTCCTGGGCCATTTTAGAAAGAAATTTCTTTATTTAGCCAGTAAGTAGAGCTTTCTTTAGCGTTTACATAGTTATCTTTTTAATATTAATTTTTGCAATCCATATGAATGAGGCCACATGTCCTTTAACAATTTTAGACCTCTTCTGTTATGCATTACTGCCATCTGTCAGTATGAGAGAAAGCTTCCTGGGGCAGAAGGACTTAAAACAATGGTTCTCAACCCTGGGGTCACATTAGAATCACTGGCAGAGCTTTTAAGAAATTTTAGTGCCTGGGCCAGTTCCAGATACATAGTTGCTCTGGGATGGGGCCCAGGCATTGATGTTTTTAAAAAACTCCCTAGGTGATTCTAGGGTATAACTGGGCTGAGAGGCTCTCCTCCGAAAGCACTGTCTTAATGGAAGAACCAGTGGCATGAGAACAGTTCTGCTTTTTCTCAGCAGTAACCTTGTTGTCTTCCATTGCAGTGCTGATTTTGACAATGGAGCCATGCGGTTGTATTTGGGTAGCGGTTTGGAGGGTAACAAGTGTGTCTTTTGTATCTCTGAATCCTCTGCAGCCAGTCTAGTGCCTGGCATATACTAGATGCTCACTATCCTCCACTTCACTTCTTTTGGATGACTAAATAATGGAATGGAGCCCAGATGTACTAGCCTTTTTACTTAATCCCTGAGCCTTTCTCCTTCAGTGGTCCGTAAGGGAGCAGGTCCACAAGCATACACTTTTATTGTTCCAGGAGGAGGAAGACGCCCAGCTTCGGAATGCTTGAGGCATAAAACTGATCCTTGGTTAAGATCAGCAGAGGCTTGCTGTGTGCAACATAAATTGTCAGGTAAAGAAGCAATTAACGTAGTGCCATTTATTTCCTCTTTAAGCATCTAGTCCTTATGAGTGTTGTGGTTCTGCACTCCAACTGGAAACAGGTTCTCTATTGCCCTGTTTTGCTCTTAAACACAGACACCTTTTTCAGTCAAGAGAATTAGGGCCTTTTAAAAACTCTTCTTTCTTTCTTTTCCTTTTTAGGTAGCCCATATTGAATCAGGTCCTGCAGCTATAGTTATTCATGCAGGGAGAATTCTATGAACACAGGGGAGAATGGCCTGGGAGTTTGATAATTTGTTATTTTTTGGTTTGTAGATTGAGAAGTATATTAAGTAAGGATAACCCCTTATAGTTAGTTAGTTATTTTATAGTTTTCCTGTCCAGAAGGTTTTAATCTCTCACACGGCTGTGGACTGGCAAAGTAACTAATTATTGTCTCCAGTTTATGGATAAAAAAATTTAAGATGCGGCAAGGTTAAGTGACCTGCCTAAGGTGATAGACCTGGGCCTTGAATCCACAGCTTTTGACTGTAAATCCCTTCAGTACACTGAGCTTTGGATAGTACTTTTGCTTGGATTAGAACACCCTATAAATGTGACTAATGGCATCTCAGGGTTCTGTCCTGGCTGTCATAGTTGAATCCTTTATTTGCATTGCATGTGCTTGCTTGTGTGTGTGCGTGTGCAACTATTAATATTAAGCATCTTGCCATTTGCCTCTGTAGAGCACAGTTGATAGACGGGAATATACACTTGATGTAGTCAAGAGAGTGTCATCTTTTATTAAGAATTCTGATCTTGCCTCTCCAAAATGCCTACTTTCACTTTTAGTCTATTGTAAGTGTGAATATTTGTGTGTGGTATTTTATTCCTAGGCAAGGTGTTTTTCTCAGTCTATGTTGTGTGTCTAGGATGATAATGTTAAAGCTTAATATATTTAGTTTTGGAAGACTACATTTTTCTGGGGTGGTTTATGAGTTGTTTTCCTTCCTCCAACAAATTATTGAGTGTCTAGTATGTGTTCTATGCTGTCTACCTTTACTTCCATCTCAAGGAAGTCTAGGATAAAAATAACATTGTTTATCTGTGAAGGGATAAAGAGTCAACACCCATTTCATGTCAGCTCTGTCTTTATTAGGCATTTGGCTATTGAGCTTTCTAATTTCTTGACTTTTGGGAGTGTTTCTCCCAGTTACCAGACAGGTCCAGGGTGGGAAATGCTTTCCTTGGGCCCCAGAACTAGCTCATGGAGAGGTGGTTGTAGCTTCTGGGAATTTTGAAAAGAGCCACACCCAGGAATCTGCTTGGACTATGTGTTCTTTCTGTCCTGCCTTTACTCTCCTCTTTTCTCCCTCTTATAAGCAAAGCGTCTTTTTGCTTCCTTGCCCCCAATCCCAGAGAGACTGTTAACTTATGTTTGCATGTAAGGAGAACAGTCAGAGTTAAGGATCTCAAACTCAGGAAAGTGGTTTTTGTACTCAAGAGCTCCCTGTGTGTTTGCGCAGCACACTTACCTCCATCCAGGATGCACTTATCCTGCGTAGATGGATTGTAACCGTGATAGAGGGGGAAAAAGAAGAGGGGAAAAAAAAACCCCTAAAAAAACCCTGGATTCTGAAGATGGCTGCAGTATATTCTTCAATAGAAATTTGAAGCATGAAGTGGATTTTAGAACACCACATGAAGCTCTTCTTACTTAAAACACAAGAACTTAAAACTTGGCCAGGGGAAAGGTGTAGGGAGGTGGAGAAAAGCACTCCTTCCATTTAAGGGGAAGTAAGCACTTGACTTCATCAATTGTGGTTAAGATAAACAAAGCTTATCTTTTTGGTTGGCATCAGAAGGGGCATTTAAAGTCTCATGAAATGAGAGAAGGGTTGTTCTGTTCCTTATTTACTGTACTTGAACGGAGTCACTGAAAACCTTGATGGGATGTCTCTATGACTGCTCATTCCTAGTTGTCTGCAGCACTGTGGCCAGTGAATATGCTGGTTCCCACAGAGGAAGGCCCACAGCATGGTTTCCTTCCTCTTCTTTTAATTTTGCCTCGTGTCTTTTGTAGACGAGAGTGCTCTGCAGTAATTCTTTTGTAGAAACTGCCATGCCTCAAATCACATTACATAATACAGGCTGGGGACCAGCATTCCGTGAGGACTTGATCAATGGGTTGGGAAACAAGGTTGATAGCATTGCTGTGGAGGAGATGTCAATGCGAATTTGTCAGCTCACCTCACATCCTTGCTTGCAGAACTTTGATTTTATTTAGGTGTTCACTTCCATGTGGACTTGAGTTCAGGGGGGTACATCTTGATTAGTCTATTCCAGTCATTATATTTCTACTCCTTGTCAGTGATGGGCTTAGGAAGGTCCAGGTCTGGCTGGCTGGACATGAGGGGAAATCTTGTGTGGGCACTTCTAGAAAACGTTTCCTTGATTTTGATGAAGAGAAGTATAATTTCTATCTGGTTGTTGTCTGCATGTGGTGCTTTGAAATTGGCAGTTGCCATCTTTGAACCGTGAGCCAGCGTAAGAGGACAGGCCCACATGCAGGGGACAGCAAAGCTGTACAAAAGATAGATACTATCTTTGATGATATTGTGGAGCTGTTGAATTGATCAGCCTGAGTCCATTCCATTTTGGGACTTCTTGTTATGTGTGAGAAAGAAAAATCACGTTTTAACTATTTTGGCTGGATTTTCTGTTTCCTTCAGTCTAGTGTATTATAACTGATAACTATCTTACCCCATTCATACAGGATGGTTTGAGATAAAATTAGAAAATATTGGAAATGCTTTTACACAAGTATGACACACACAATTAACATAGACATTAACATAAATATTATATTGTAATGTCCAGTGTTCTCATACTTTGCTTCCATATCACTTCTGCTAGCATTTTCTCCAAAGCAAGGGGACAGGCCATGAGGATGAAAAACAGCCATTTAAAAACTGTCTTGGGGGTTTTCAGTATTCTTTCTGTAAGAATTGACATGATACATAACTCCTAAAACATAGTATAAGGCAAAAATTATTCTTTCCTGATGAACTTGTATTTCTTCTTATTGGAAAGTGGCAAATAAAATAATCCAGTATAGGAGGCATCATGCTACCTGACTTCAAACTATACTACAAGGCTACAGTAACCAAAACAGCATGGTAGTGGTACCAAAACATACATATAGATCAATGGAACAGAATAGAGACCTCAGAAATAGGACCACACATCTAAAACCAGCTGATCTTGGACAAACTTGGCCAAAACAAGCAATGGGGAAAGGATTCCCTATTTAATAAATGGTGCTGGGAAAACTGGCTAGCCATAGGCAGAAAACTGAAACTGAACCCTTTCCTTACACTTTATATAAAAATTAACTCAAGATGGATTAAAGACTTAAATATAAAACCCCAAACCATAAAAAACCTTGAAGAAAACCTAGGCAGTACCATTCAGGACATAGGCATGGGGCAAAGATTTTACCATGAAATCCCCAAAAGCAATTGCAACAAAAGCTAAAATGGACAAATGGGATCTAATTAAACTAAAGAGCTTCTGCACAACAAAAGAAACTATCATCAGAGTGAACAGGCAACCAACAGAATGGGAGAAATTTTTGCAATCCATCTGACAAAGGTCTAATGTCCAGAATTTACAAGGAACTTAAACAAATTTACAAGAAAAAAACACCACCACCAAAAAGTGGGCAGAGGGTATGAACAGACACTTCTCAAAAGAAGACATTTATGCGGCCAAAAAACATATGAAAAAAAGCCCAACATCACTGATCATTAGAGAAATGCAAATCAAAACCACAATGAGATGTCATCTCATGCCAAGTCAGAATGGCCATTATTAAAAAGTCAAGAAACAACAGATGCTGGAGAGGCTGTGGCGAAATAGGAACGCTTTTACACTGTTGGTGGGAATGTAAATTAGTTCAACCATTGTGGAAGACAGTGTGGCGATTCCTCAAGGATCTAGAACCAGAAATGCCATTTGACCCAGCAATCTCATTACTGGGTATATACCTAAAGGATCATAAATCATTCTACTATAAAGACACATGCACACATATGTTTATTGCAACACTATTCACGATAGCAAAGACAGGGAACTAACCCAGATGCCCATCAGTGATAGACTGGATAAAGAAATGTGGTACATATACACCATGGAATACTGTGCAGCCACAAAAAGGAATGAGATTATGTCCTTTACAGGGACATGGATGAAGCTGGAAGCCATCATCCTCAGCAAACTAACACGGGAACAGAAAACCAAACAGCGCATGTTCTCACTCATAAGTGGGAGCTGGATAAGGAGAAAGCACAGACACAAGGAGGGTAATAACACATACCAGGAGCAGTGTGGGAGGAGGCAAGGGGAAGGAGAGCGTCAGAACAAATAGCTAATGCATGCAGGGCTTAAAACCTAGATGATGGGTTGATAGGTGCAGCAAACCACCATGGCACACGTATACCTATGATTACATAGGTATACCTGTACATTCTGCACATGTATCCTGGAACTTTAAGTTAAAAAATAAGTAAATACATAAATACATAAAAATTCAGTATGTTTTCTTGTTGTCTTATTTCACCAATGAGCTCAGATCCAACTTTAATGGTTAATAACACTTTGTCTAAAATTCCTAATATATCTTCTAATATTTTCTAGTTGGTTTTATTTATTTTAGTTATTTTAACAACAGTGAGTGATCTGTATCACATCCTCCTGGAAGTACCTTGGATTTCATTATAACTGAGGAAGCGTTTGTTATTTGTTTAAATGAGTGTCCCAGATAGCTTGCAATGGAGCATATTTATTTGTTTACTCTCTTATCCATTCACTACACATTTATTGAGCTCGTACTAAAAATTAGCCAGACACTTAAATCGTTTTCTTTGGCTTGATTGTAGAGCTCATAAACAAAAGTACTAGGAATTTAGAATTGTAGATCACAGAGCATTAGAATAGGGGAAAGTCATTTTTCATTGTTGAGCCTGAGGAGAGTTTCGAAGGTGACTTGAAGGTATTGATTTGAGGAATGCCGATGGTTTTCATCTTCTTTTCCCATCACTAAACTAAGTATACTCCCTTCAGAGGTAGAGAGCCAGGAGACCTTTATAGTAGTGAAAGGACAGGAAAGGAAGGCTTTCATAGACAGCCTGGTACTGGAGTCAGTATTCAACAGTGAAATTCTGGGGTATAGAAAATAGTTAATTTATATACTTTAATTCCCACCTGATCCCCACTCCCCAAGAAGGTTGGAATCCTTGTTTTTCCTCCTTTTGGAATTTGCTACTTTGAAGGGTTTTTTTCTTTTGAAGGAATAAGAACAGTCTGTTCATTGTGCTATTTAGTGCAATTAGAATTAGGGAGCAATATTTGTTCTGTGAGTTATCTACCCTGACAGAAGCTCTGATAGAAGCTCAGAATAGTTAACTGCCCTCATAGAGGCTTGGGGCATCATTGCTGGAAATGAGATGCCTAACTCCAGGACTTCATCCTGTGGACTGCAGAATTAAACGGAACCAAAGAAAATAAGCAACAAAAAACAGTTGGAACAGCTTCTCAGTGGACTTACTGCTGCCAGTCTTGGTGGGGAAGCACCAGTGCTTCTTGGACTCTGGCTACTTTGATCTTCCCAGGGTGCTGGAGAACCTGGAAGGACCCAGGTTGTCTCTCCTATGTCCACTGTAAGCCTTGGTAAGAAGCATGAACCTTCTGTAAGCCAGGACCCAACTGACCTTTTAAGATTTTTTTTTTTTTTTAATCATCTGAACATGCTATGCCGTTGTCTTGGCATTGCTTTGATCCCAGATGTCTCAGTTTTAAAGAGCACCTACACTAAGTGGCAAGGAGAAATTAGAATTATCCATATTGATGATGAAAAATAAACCTCAGAGGGCTTCCAATTGCACCCTAATTCTTCTCCCTTAGGATATTGAGAGAGTGAGGTGTAGAATTTAAAGTTAAAAAATTTTACATCACTTTACTTAATAATTGAAAGTTACTTGGCTTTGGCCCTTGGCATGATTTAAATCACAATGGATTTGAGAGATGCTTTGTCATTGACTTAATTTTCAGGGTTTTAACTCATTCAGTAAGTTGGCTTGGCAGCCCTAAGCAGCATTAGTATTTTGTGTGACATTTTCAAAATATCCTTTGAACCTATGGTAATCCCTAAGGCAGCCATGTTCTAAAACTCAGAGAAGGACCTCCCCAGGGGCTTGAAATACCTGTGTTTCCTCCCCTCACCGACAACCCCCTACCCTGCTCCCCATAGCAATGTTTTGAGGTTGTGTGATCTGGATCTGGGTTGAACTCCTGCAGCGTTTTAAACCTTTTGTTTCTTTCTTCTTTAATAACAACAGTGTTTCTTACCCTGGTCATCTATTGAGAAGTGTAGGTGAAAGTAAGCATCAACAGAATGGTGATTTTGAATATGGGAATGGGTTCTTGGGAGCCACTGATGTACCTATAGGGACTGGGGATATGATTGGTAGTTCTAGAATGACGTTGCAGTTGCTCTATACATGACCCATCACGTGGAAGATCCTGACCTCAGCAGCACACAGCAAGCATGTAATAGCTGCAGAGAATAATGCTGAGCACTAGTCAACTGGTAAGCATTACAGACTCCCCTGCTTCTCTCTCCCATGGGTCAACTGGTGTTGAATAACAGGGAGACTAGTACTTTGGACATTTTTACCTACTGAAGTTGACTCATGCTGTTCCTTTAGAAGGCTAATAAATTTTTGGTGATTAACTGAATAAATTAACAACAGGCTAAGAGAATAATTACAGACCTATTTAGGAAATCTAGTTCTTGGTTTTGCTTGGAGATTCTTGCCAGAACTTTACCTTGTAAGTTAGATATTTTTACCTGTTGCTTCTCAGAAAAACCTACAAGCATACTCTTAGGTTTATACCTTCTATCCCTAACAACAACAAAAACATTAACTGTAAACTGCCTCCTGTTATCTGAGGGTAAAGTCGTAAAAATCAAAGAGGAATTTTGAGGAGAAAGTCTTGGTAACAGAAAATACTAATTAGTTGTCTGTGTTGTGAGATGTGTTGCTTGAGAGTGTCTGAGCTTCAGAGAATGTATAATTTCCCTCCTTGATGTCCACAAGGAGCTTCTAGGATACTTTATTAAAAGACGAGTAATCAGTTATTATTCTTCGTAGGTATATCTCAAACTGCAGCTTTAAACAGAATCAACTAGAGGGCTTTGTTACAATACAGATTGCTGGACTCCACTCCTGGTGGTATGGTAGGTCTGGAAAAGGGCCTGAGAATTAAAATTTTTAGGTCCTCCAGTGATGTCTAGGTTACCGGTCCGGGAACCACCCATTAAGAATCACTGTTGTATCTGGTCCTCTGCCTCTTTCTGCACATCTTATATCCATGCAGCAGGTATGAAAATGAGCTCCCCAAAAGCATTCACCTTCACTGTTGACCTGATTATTATATAATTATAATTGGATCTCAACCTTTTAAAAGGCCAATCGTATCTGAACTACATATTAATTATAAATCTTAGTGAAAGCTCTATTATATTATCTCAATTTTTTTTTCTTTTGAGATGGAGTCTCACTCTGTTGCCCAGGCTGGAATGCACTGGTGTGATCTTGGCTCACTGCAACCTCGTCTCCTGGGTTCAAGCGATTCTCATGCCTTAGCCTCCTGAGTAGCTGGGATTATAGATGTCCACCACCACGCCCAGCTAATTTTTGTACTTTTATTAGAGTCGGGGTTTCGCCATATTGGCCAGGCTGGTTTCAAACTCCTAACCTCAGGTGATCCGCCTGCCTTGGCCTCCCAAAGTGCTGGGATTACAGGTGTAAGCCACTGCGCCCGGCAATTATCCTGATATTTGATCCTGAAAAATCTTGCTTGAACTTGAAACTTGTCCTAGAATGTCTTTGAAAAGTTCATATTCCGATAAGTGTATTACATTCTACAACAATTATGCTAAAAGGTTACTTCACAGAAAATTATATCCACACTCATGATAGAATCATTTGGAAGTTTAAAAAATATGGTCATGGTTGGACTCCATCCAAGACTGATTGAATATGACCCTCTGGGATTGGGCACCAAGTAATATACAATTTTGAAAAATTTCCAAGGGATTTTAATGGGCAGCTAGGTCATGAACCACTGCGATAGGCCTTGGAGAGGGAGGGGAGCAGCAGGGCTCTGGTAAGTCCTTTACACTTGCTTTAACCTGCTGCTCTTTCCCCTTCCCACTGTTAAACTCCCCTGCACCTCTACGTCACTCTTCTTTACAGGCTGGCTAGCGTCATCACATTGTAGGTCGTTTTCTGTGGGCTTAGGAAAACAGTCCAACAGACTGTTACCCTAGTGCGTGCAATGAAAGGCCTTTATTCTTAGGGTTCAAATTATTTTACAACGAAATTGTTTAGTTTGGAGCCTAGCCAGTTTCATCTCTTCTATACTCCAGGTTGATCTTCTGTTTTAGATGGTGTTCCTCACTCTGCCTTCTTCACCTGAATAAAGGAAAGGCAGGCAATGTTTCCAGAGCTCCTGAGCCACCCTTAGTGCTGGAGGCAGGTTTAGGAAAGAGCTGGCTCCCTCATTGCTAAACAGAATTAATGTTGTTCAATCACTTTATTCTGGCTCTGTGAAATAATACACAGGAGGAATTGCTGCTTTATGACTTTAATCTGATAAACTACCTGCTCTGGTGTGTTACATTCTGTGTGTGTTTCTCTGCCACCACTGCAGAATAATCTCAGCCTTATGTGTAGCAACTAGAATGCAAGGTTCAAAACTCAAACCAAGCCTTGATGCAGACGTCAAATAAGAACTACTTTAGAATGCTCTGTGATAATGCTAGGCACTTAGCATGACTGCTGGGGCTCCTAAAAGGAGCCAGGAAGCAGCAGAGCCTGAGAATCCTATAACATTTCCTTTTGAGCTTGGGCCTGAAGCAGCCAAATGCTGTAACCAAATAAAAGCCAGTTTACCTTTTGCTTTTCTTATGTCTTCTTTTCTTGTTCTCGTCTTATAAATTATGTTCACACTTTTCCTTTTTTCTTTTCCATTCATGCCTTTCCTCCGTTTTCTCTGTACTCCATGCATCTGCCGCCTGTCTGCTTGCTTGGTTTTTCTTCTGTGTTCTCTCAGCTTTTCACTTTTGGAAGAGTCAGGAATCTTGTATATTTTGAGAATTAGCGAAACATCGTGGGTATTTATCCAAAGTGGACCTTGTACAGTCTCTTTTATGCTCGTTTTTAATCTCACCAATTTCTAGAATCTCACTAATTTCTAGGTTTGTTAAGGGACAACATGGTGTATTGCTGGAGATCAAGACACAAAGAGTAACAGAGCCTCAGAGCTCATTAATGGTGGTCTGAAACAAGGAAAGGAGAATTAAAATAATGTCCTTAACCCAGGACATAAGAGATACAGATAGAGAGATGGCAAAATCCATGGCATATCTGTGACGGTTTTCTTTTTTTGTAGAAAATATCATAAATAGATCTTAGAACTCTGATCTTCTGATTTTTCTTAACACAGTACTCTAGGGAGAGGCCACTAGACAAGATGAATCCCATCACTGTTAGTGGGAGCTTAGAGGGAATTTTAGGTGAGGGAAAATACGGAGATAAATGCCATCTTTTGAGATAGGTCTTTTGATTCAGTGTTGAAGATTTGTGTCAAGAGACTCCCAAACCATAATAGATATTGCAGGCCTTCCCTTTACTGCCTGTTAACCCAGGCATGTGACAAGAGCAAGATTTCTAGAGATTGCCATAGAGGAAGAATAATTTCAGTGACTTTGGGAAAGCCTGAAGACTGATTTAGGGTGAAAGGCACATGTCATTAAAGAGTTTCATTATAGATTGCTGGTTTTATTAGGAGGTAAGTGGTTGGAGACATTCGTTTCCTGGAATCATGTAGGACATTTAAAGTGTTGAATGCTATATACAACACCCCAGAGGTGAAGAAGATGTTTATCAATTTAGGTGCACAGATGTCAGTCTGATTATTGGGAAGAGGGTGAAGAGGTTTGACAGTATCAGAGTATGGACACATTTGAGCAGCAGCAGCTCATTGTCCTAGAACGAATTGCCTCCTGGCCGTGATTTATTGACATAGCTGATGGAGGGACTCAGCAGAAGCCACCATTTATCTGTTTCTTCAGTTGACCATTGGAAAGCCTTACAAAATTATGTGCGTGAGAAATGTCAAAGTGACAGATTTGGGTTCAAAAGATTGTACACTTTTATACATCCACCCTTTGCCCTTCTTTTTGGACTTGAGTATTTTAGACAAAACTAACATTTTCTTCAGCTTAGTATAAACAGATTTCTGCTCAGATTAGCTGAGAAGGCATACACCATGTTATCCTTTTATGGATGAGTGATACATGTGATGTCTTTGTCAAATAGGAATTGCCCTCTGCCTTGTGTGTTTGGAGAGATGACTGGCCACACCTCTGAAGCAATCAGCTGTGGCCAAATTAACATAATATGGTACCTGTACATAAAACTAAATATAGAACAATTTTATCTTTTTGTAGTAAGGATACTATATTCCGAAGAATTCATGTAAGTTGAATTATTTAAAGTGGATTTAGGGACATTCATTGTAAAGTTAATCTTTGGTAAATCCTTGTGTGGTGATTTTTTTTCTCTCCTCTTTTGCATCCCCATTTGAAAGCCCACAATTTAATCTATTTGGGTAAGGTAGATTCTTATGTGATTAAATCACTCCAGTTTATACGCATTGAGGAGTAAAGTCACCAGACTAAACTCCTCAGGAACAATGACAGAGAGTTTTGCCATGGGTGTTTGGGAAAACTGCATTTACTTTCTGCACACTTAAACTCTGTTTCAGTCCACATATTTGCACGCCTAAAAAAATTAACAAATTTTCACAGTAACAATGATACTAGCGTTTACTTATTGCTCAAAAGAGGTATTGACCGCTATAGTGTGTGTGAAGTTGGAAACTTTAGGATGATAGCCATAGTTTGTACTTCGAGCTCACTCTAGTGGGGGAAATAGACAAGAAAACCCATAATTAGTACACAGTAAATGTTAGGTATATTTCTCATGTGAATGTGTGCAGTATGGTAACTGCTCGTTAGAGGGGACCCTATAGAATTGATTACCTATAAGAGACCTTGACTGCGCTTGGGATAGTTAAGGAAGGCTTCATGAAATAGCGACAAATCAGGGTTAGCTCCTGGCCTGGGATGATGGCTAAAAGGACTAAAGGGCGAGTCTTTGCCTCAGTTTCTTATTTGAAAATGAGGATAATAATAATCCAACTTTATAGAGATTATTATGAGGATTCTGTGAAACAAATGCACATAGATAGTTAGGCAGTCCTGGTAATTGGGAAGACATCAATAATGATGTAAGTTATCCATGTCCCTAGTCCTTTATTTCTTACAACAACAATCCTTTCAAGACAGTAGTACTTTCCCTATTTTGAAGATGCTCAGAGAGGTTAATTTGCCCAAGGTTACCCAGCTAGAACTTGGTAGGGTTCAGCTTTGAATCTAGACGTCTCTCTCCTGGTTACCTTTTGTTCTCTTTATGCTACTCAGGGGGCCCAAAATGATTCCAGCTGCTTCCTGCTTCATTATCCCCCTAAGTGCCCCACTGAGAGGAGTCTACAATTGCCTGCCCCTCCTCTCCCTGCCTCCTGGTCTTGCCATGAGTCACTGCTGAGCCATTTGTGTCAGAGAGGAAAATGGGGGCTTGCTATTCACATGTAGCAATTTGCTATGTGTTCTTGCTTATTTGCCAGGGACACCAGCAGAGAAGCGTTCATCAAGAGGCGTCATGTTTGTTAAGGGACCACATGGTGTATTTTAAAAGCTCTTAACTCTCTCTGGTATCATCGATTATGCTTTAGCATAAGAAATAAAGTGACACTGAGCCTCTTATTAATAATACACGTTTTCCATTTAACTTTGACTGGTTAAATCTGGCATAAAATGCAGACTTGCAAACCAGCCTCCCTGGGATGTGTAGCTTCTCTTAGGCTATTTATGATGCGGATCTCTGTTGAGCAGCAGCCTCTGCCTGCAGCTAAGGCTCTGGACTAGATGTTCTCTTTTCCTTTTCTCTCTTGATGGCATGGATTGTTTTGTTTCACAAGGCTCATGTTCTAGATGGGATTGTAGCTGGTCTACTACAAGCTGGTCTAGTTGGGATTGTAGATTGGTATGGATAAATACTGAAATGGGAGCTGGTATCTGACAACTGGAGGGGTTATATATGTGCCCCCATATTCTGATCAAGCTTTGGCATTTTGTGCATTTGGCAAAAGTCAGTGGTCAATATTTGAAGTTTGCATGAAGTTAGAAGAATTTTGGGCTCTGAATATGAGATGACTTAGAGATAATATGTTTATTTTACAGATAAAGAATCAGGCCTAAAGCGATTGATGATGATGATGATGATGATAGCAGAATCTCTAACAATGGTTAAGCCAGACACTGTTCAGAGTGATTTTTGTGTTAACTTGCTTGATCTTCACAATGACTCTGTCAGGTAGACAGTATTATTATCCCTGTTTTACAAGTGAGGAAACTGAGGCACAGAGAGTTTCAGTCATTTGCCCAAGCCACATAGCTGGCAGGTGATAGAGCTGGGGTTTGTACCCAGGCTATCTGGATCCATCAAAACCTTTGCTATCTGTGTATCACTACACTGTAGCTTGTCCAGAGTTACAAAGCTGGGCAGGAATAGTCCAGGACCCAAATCCCAGTCTTTTGTTGGCTGAACTATATTTGTTATTTAAAGATTCTTTTAGCAGTGGAACTCTTCTTTAAATGGAGATATTACTAGATAGCACAACCAAATAAAAAAAGTGGAAACTTAGCTGCTGTGGTTTAAGTGGGATAGGCCAGGCATTGACCATGCATTCCCTTTATTCAGCCCTTGCTGTGGCTTCTGAGAAAGCCACATGGAGCATAGTTTTATTTTATTTATTTTAATTTTTAGTCCCTACAACAAGACTCACAGTAGGGATATGATTTTAAACCCTGGCTCTAGTTAGGGATATGAGCTCCAGATTGCTCTCTTTTGGGTCACAATTAAAATCCTAACCGGCAACAGATATTTTTGGTCAGATCTGGTCATTCTCTCTGCCTCCGTACCCATTGGGGGCAAACTATGAAGCTTTTGTAGCTGCATTATTGTAGATTTGCAGGATTTCTGTTCGTAATCAGAATCGGGTATGTGTTAGAAAAAGGCCTTCCTGAGTGTATGAACCCCTTTGCCTGCTGACAGTCTCTGGGCTGGAGTTAACATTAACATCTGCATGCCCAGAGGACAGTGAATTGCTAACTTTTCACTGGCTTTCTTTTTGCTTGGACATTTTACAGTGCTCCAGGGTCATCATTCTGGGCAGTACTTACCTTGTAAGTACCTGATTTTGGCTCTTTTCTCACTCACTAGTCTGTGATCTAGTCTTCTCTCTGTGTCTGCAGAGTTCAGTCCCATTTCTGGAGCAAAGCAGTAGCTCAGTAAATGTCAGTGGAGTTTTTTGAATCACTTTTTATTATTCCAGATTATAGGCATATATGTATAGATCAAGTAGGCTGAATATGACTTAATCCCCAAGTTTCTTCTATAATAGGACCTTATTTTATCTCTCCAAGTAATGGAATAAAGGGATGGAAGCTGGTCTAGTTGGGGTTGTAGATTTATAAACAAGACATTAATCTGAAGCTTATATTCTTTTAGAGAGTTACAAGAAAACCCAAGATCTCCCCCCATCCCCAATTAAACACTTTGTTCTTTGTAAGGATAGTAGAGTAGTAGGAGTGGGGGTATTCAGGAAAGCAGGTCTTAAGGCAGAAGAATCACATCAACATCCCAAGTTCTATTCCTCACTGCCTCACGAATGGTCTGCTAGCCACCTGCAGTTGTTGTTGTTGTTGTTGTCGTGTTTTGTAGGTAAAGGAAATATGGCAGGAGAGTGAAGTATAAGAGGTCCAGGAGCTTGGTGGAGGTGGAGGAGAGGGGGGATGGGGAAAGATAAAGAGGCAGATAAGAAACAGGAATCATTGTAGACCAGTGGTTTTCAGAGTGTGGTCCCTGGACCAACAGCTTCAGTGTCAGCTGGGAACTTATTAGAAAGGCAAATTTGCTGGTTTCACTCTAGACCCAGTGAGTCAGGAACTCTGATGGGGGTGGGCAGCGTCTTTGAAAACCTTTACTTCACTAACTTTTTCCCCCTCTATCTTAAATATTCCCAATTGTTTTAGGTTTTAGTTGATTCCCATATTATACTTCAATTGTGTGTCAGTGAGTAGGTCTGTATTAAAGGAGAACTGTTGAGGAAACATAAAGAAATCTCTTTGTATTCCAAAAAGCGTTTCTCAGAGTTAAATTACATGTTTTGTTAGTGTCTGTTGCTTTTGTTCAGATTAAGCTCTGAAACAAAATTAAGATTCTCGTCAAGGCTTGAGCTTATTAATAGCTGTTTCATTTGTTTAGCGCTAATTTAAAATGTCTGATATCTGTAGAGGAAGTGCTTTATAAAAACACATACTTGTTAAGTGTTCCACTAGGAGAAGCACTGTGAAGTCCAAAGGATGTGGAGATTAGGCAAATAACTGTGGTTTTGTTGAGCTCTCTTCAGTGTAATATATGTGTGGGTGGGATAAGAACACTGGGCTTCACAGGTCGAAGAGGCTTCCACTGGTCAGATTTCAGACAATTTGTGCATTCAAGAGAATTACTGCAACTGAGTGTAAAACACTGAACAAATAAAAATTCTTGAACTCATAGTGATGAGAGATGGGGTGGGAGGAGAGAAAGAGACAGACAGACACTCTGGGCATCATTGGAGGTGACTATGATGTCAACTTCTCATTCTATAAATTGTAAATTACATGAAACAAACACCCTGTCTTTACTGAGAAACTGTAGTTCTTTCATGATTGGTAAGAGAAACCTCTGCTTTACAAATGGATGCTACCAAATAAAATATAGAAGGATACAGAATATCAGCATTTGCATCCTGCAGTGAAAATTTGAACAGGCAAGTGCCGTCAATGCAAAACTAGTTGAAAGCATGTTGGGGAACAGAATAATCTTATTAGAGAATAACCCACAAATTACCAGCAAAGGGGAAAGTATACCCTTAACAATGGCGGTCACCACCTTAACAAAGTGGTTCAACTTAGCATCACAGTGGTAGGATAGCCTGACAGTAGGAGCTTCCTGATGTGACGAACTACACAGCATCACCAACAATTTATGCCAAAAATGTTTAACCTGAATCTAACCAGGTGTATTAGGCTGTTCTTGCATGGCTATAGAGAAATGACTGACACTGAGTAATTTATAAGGAAAAGAAGTTTAATTGGCTCATGGTTTTGCAGGCTTTGCAGGAAGCATGGTGCTGGCATCTGCTCAGCTTCTAGAAGGAGGAGAGGGGTTGGCACATCACATGACGAAAGCAGGAGCAAGCAAGAGAGAGTGTGGGGGAGGTGCCACATACTTTTAAATGACCAGATCTTTCAAGAACTCACTATCACAAAGACAGCACCAAGCCATGAAGGATCCACTCTCATGATCCAAACACCTCCCACCACCAGCATTGGGGATTACAATTCAACATCAGGTTTGGGCAGGGACAGATATCCAAACTATAACACAAGGTTTACAGAAAATAGAAGGGTTTGAAAAACAAATTAATCCACACCAGGAAGAAACAGACCAAAAATGTGGGTCATTCTCAAGAAAACTGGTATGTCTGATCTTTTCAAAAAGCCAGTGTCGTGAAACAAATTGCTGGTGGGTATTACTCCGGATTACAAGAGACTAAGGGAACATAACAGTCAAATTCAGTGTACAAATCTTGATGGGATCTGGCTTAAAAATTATAACTGCTGTAAAAGATGTTTGAGGCAGTTGTAGAAATTTGAATATGGACTGGCTATCAGATAACATTAGGAACTTAATGTCTTAGGTGTGATAGTATTTTGGTTGTGTTAGGAAAATATCTTTATTCTTAGGAGTTGCTTATTAAGTATTTCATGAAAGTATCATATCTGCAATTCACTTTCACATGGTTCCATGAGAGAGACGAGTGCATAGATAAGGTGATTTTGGCAAAGTTTTAACAATTTTGAATCTAAATAGTAGGCATATGGGTGTTTGTTTTATATTTATATTTATATTCAGCATAGAGAAAGCTGTGAATTCAGGAAAAGTTTATATGTAATTTCTGAGATTTCTAGCTCATGCATGCATTTCTGTTTGAGAATGCCTTATCTAGAATTTTTTATCAAGAAATCTGAATGGTGTTTAAGAATATCTTATCTAGAAATATGTTGGCATCTTAATATTATGGTTTGGTAGATAAAATGGATTTTTTTAAAAAAAGACTTGCAAAGAAGTGGATGAAATGCTAATATAAGAAAATTAGATTTTATAAGGAACATGTGACCAGATAAACTTGTCCTAATTATTGTGAGTCTCTTTAAAGCACATACCTTAGGACATTGTGTGTTGACGCTTTTACTGTTCATAACATATTCTTTAAGAATTCTCTCAGAGCCTTAAGATGATTTGTTTTTGAGAAACATCTGAAGTCTCCTGTAGCTTATTCTGATGTTATGAAGTAAGTGACTAAATTTTGATCACAGAAGTGTGTGACAGGGAAGTAGTGGGATATTCTTTGCCCCTCTTTGTGTCCTGTGATGCTGGTGGAAATTTCAAAGGAAGAGTTTCAAAAGTAGTTTACTTTGTTCAAACTCTCTAGCCCTAAACCATCAGTGACACCAGTGAGTGTTTCTTATTTTACCTATTTGGGTGTGTTAGATGTATTTTCACTGGGACTATTCTTTTGGTCAGAGAGCCTAAAGTTAAGTGTTTGAGCTTCTGGTCCTGTGATCTCAGCAACTGGACTTGATTCAGGTGCTTTGACTCAAGGGCACAGTGGTAGCATCACCAAAAATAGATGAATGGCAGCAGATCCCTAATGGCTGGCTCTCTGCTGGTTGCCCGTCTCAGCTCAGGACTTCCGAGAGGTATAAAACCTCACTGATAGCCAGGCATAATGGCTAGGGTTTACTCAGAGATGCTGGGGGCTTGAGTGTAGTATTGCTCTGTTGTAGGCTGATAATGGAGTATGTGCCAGGTGGGGGCAGGATGGTATCCAGGCAGTGTGGGCAAAGGGCTGCAGTTAGTCCCTTGTTACACTCAGTGACAGGTGACTCTGAGCTGTCTGGAAGTAAGATAAAGTGATTCAAGGATAGGATCCATACCTGAAAGAGAGGTATTCAGAATAGCATTTGAAGTCAGGTAGACTTCAGCTCTTCCAATGGACCTGCAAGAGGTGGTCAGGAAATATCTCATAGATGAATTAAAGAAGTGTTACATGAAAATGTAAAGGGGCAAACCAAATAAAATGGGTTCATTAGGTCCCAGGACTAGTGGAGGGGCATTCATGTTGGAATGGAGAGTAGTGAGAATTGGGGAGGGGTTGCATAGGGGCTTGTTCTTAGGGCAGAGTTTTTCAACAACAGGTATATATAAGAGGTCAAAATTTAGGAAGTCTGTTAGAGAAGATTATAAACTCCATGAGGACAGGAGACATGTCTGCATTGTTCAACACTGGATACTTGATATAATGCCTGGAAAATAGTAGATGTGCAGTATAAATTTCCGTTGAATGAGTAAAAATGTTAAGTGGCGAATAAAGGAATGCATGGGGATGATACAGACAAAGCAGTAATCTGTGGTGGTTGATGGCTGACCTGGTTGTAGAGTACCAGGGGGAATGTGAATATTTTAGATTTCCTCAGAGGCTAGTTTCTGAGATGTTTTGTTTACCAGTGTGGTAACCTTCTCATGGCCCTAGCTCAAATGGTAATCAACTAGTCTTTGCAGCACAACTGTGAGGTAAACATGCTGTGTCCATTTTAGAGAAGAGGAAACTGAGATTCAGAGAGATGAAGGAATTTGCATGAAGGTCCACAACTAAGAAGATAAGATGTGAAACTAGATATTTCAGCTCTTGAATACAATCTTCTTTTTACTTGAGCGCTCAATGCTGGGGACAGTTCTGCTTTTCAAGTGGCCTGATAAATAGTATCTTTGTATCATGTGAGAGTTATTAAGACTGTGATAGAAATAAATAAGGAAAAATTCACATACCAGCCAATCCTCGTTACTCTGCTTATTCCCCTATTCATCATTTGGCTGATTGAATACTGAAGATGATAAAGCTGAATCGGTAGAGCAATGTGTGATTAAAAAAAAATCTGCTATTCCACTTAATGGGCTACAGTTATTAGAAAGAAATAGAAACCCCAGTTAATGTTAGTATGGGCTACTTATTTAGGAAAGGAGATTTTTAAATGAAATAAGCCTTTCCTTTTTATTATATTGCTGGAGACAGTTTTCATTTTTGCCCACCTGGTACTTAAATGGTTATTGCTATAAGGAAACCAGTCTTACTGATAACCGAATGAAATAAATTAAACAGACACATGCAAACAAATCCAAAATGTGCCTGAGAAAGATGTGGTCTTCTAGCTTTCAGTCATTCAGTGAGACATTTGGCAGAGATGGGTGCAGCAGATAAAACTGTCATGGTTTTCAGAAGTCATTCCAAGACACCAGAGAGGAAACATGACAGACACTGGAAAGAGACCCTCTTTCAGATATGAGTAATATATATTTTATACTCATATTAATATTTCATTGGAGAGAAGGTCAAAATCTACATTTAAATGGAAATATTTAAAAAGCAGAAGCATAATATTTGACTAAGTGAAACACTCAGGGTTTTTCAAGAACACAAGCTGC
Organism: Homo sapiens; assembly: GCF_000001405.40. NCBI lineage: Eukaryota > Metazoa > Chordata > Mammalia > Primates > Hominidae > Homo > Homo sapiens. The sequence continues at coordinate 69,844,690 of NC_000007.14, forward strand.
ACCCCTGGGACCTCAGCTCTCTAGATCTGTTGTTTCTTAGAGCACGGTAGAATGTTTGAATTCCTTTAGTTTTATCGGTAGATCTTAGCCCTGGCATTTAGGAATCTTAATCCCTCTACTCCCCTTCCATTTGACCCCGAATTGTGTTACATACTACCTAACAGTGTGTTCAGTGCACAGTATGGCCTCTCTCAGTCCTATAAAATTATTTAAATTTCTAAAAATTCATTTTTCTGGTCCTGTGAAATGGACATAATAGGATTGTGGAGATGGACATAAATAAGATGCTTTCAATTATGAGTAATGGAAAACCCATCTAACAAAGTATGGTGGCAAGAAGATGGGAATAGGAGGCCCAGGGTTTATTCAGAGGCTGTGTTCATCCTTCGTTTCCCTCTGCTATTCAAAGTGTGTTAGAATTCACCTTCAGGCTTCTGACCTCATGATTATAAGATGGCTGCCATTGTTTCAGAATAATTTCTTCATGGCATCTAAAACAAGAAGATGGGATGCCAGGAGCAAAAGAATCTTCCTGGTACCTTTTTCCTCCTTTTTATCAGAGAAGATGATTTTTCCTCAAAGCCTACAGAAGACTTGCCTTTATGTCTCATTGACCAGACTTGGGTCACATTACCACTCCGTTATCCCTGCCCTCAAACTGGCAAAGAGAATCAAGAAGACCTTGATTGGCGTAGATCACTCATGCTTGATTTCCTGAGGCTCGTCTCATTGCCTCTCTCAGAAACTTGGGGCTCTATTTTTATTAGCTAAGAAGGGCAATGGTTATTGTCTGCCACAGTGATGCTCTTGTGTGAAGTAAAGGTGCATAAAATGCATGTCTTCCCTGGACTTTAGTGCATCCTTGGTTTGTAAGTGACTACGATTACATGAATCAGAAATAAATCAGGAAAAGGAAAGTTGGTAATTTTGGCCTATTCCTGCAGAAATCATAGCAGGGAGGGGAGTGTTTGTGAACGAAGGGAGGGTCCAGTTCTCTAAAGCTGTGCTGGTGAACTACCACTGCATAGGGTGGCCCTCTGCTGACCCTAGAGCAAGCTGGAGGTGAGACGAGTTTGTCAGGACATCCCAGATTCTTTCTTCTGTACTCTTTCCTCTTCTCTGTTTTCCACCAATCCAATCAAAGGCAGTGCTGATGTAGTCAGCACAACTCCTGGGATGCAGGTGCCTGGGGCTGCAATTCTGTTCTGACACTGACTGTGGACATTCTGGTTCTGGGCAGCCACTTGAGGTAACAATAATGATACACAGTTCCTGCTTTTAAGAGGTTCATGATGAGGAGCTTCACTGCTCCCCTGTTGCTTTATGACAGGATGAGGATTCAGACTAAATGACCACTTCCCTCTTTTCTCACTCTCAAGTTTTATGATTTCTTTCAAGTTTATTTGGGATTTTTTTTTTTTGGTCTGTGCCTTTTGTTAATATATTCTACATGCATTTTGCTTCTAGGCATATTGATATTCACAAAGTTTACCACTGACAGTTGTAGTCTGAGAGTGTACAGAAAAAAACGTAGTTGACCACTCTATGATTATTCTGGACTCTGTGACTCTCTTAATGCAAGCCAAGACCACATTAGCCTTTTTGGCAGTCTTATTACTTTGTGGCTTTTGTTGGGTTTGCAGTCATCCAGAATTTCTAAGAACAATATTTGGAAGGTGGCTTTGCAGAGACTTGAGCCACTGAACTTCTCTTGTCATGTGCTTCCTTTACTTCACTCCTTTCTTTAATATATGCCTGGCATTGGGCCCAGAATCCATAATACGATATTCATAATAAATACCAACATCTTTTGAGCACTCCCTATGTGTCGGGTGTTACACTAAGTGCTTTACAGGTATTGTTTCATTTAATCCCCACAGCAACTTTCTTCCCCTTTTTCTGGAGACAGAGTCTCCCTCTGTCGCCCAGGCTGGAGTGCAGTGGCACAATCTTGGCTCACTACAATCTCCACCTCTTGGGTTCAAGTAATTCTCATGCCTCAGCCTTCTGAGTAGCTGGGATTACAGGTGTGTGCCACCATGTCCAGCTAATTTTTGTGTTTTTAGTAGAGACAGGGTTTCACCATGTTGGCCAGGCTGGTCTCAAACTCCTGGCCTCAAGTGATCCGCCTGCCTTGGCCTCCAAAGTGCTGGGATTACAGGCATGAGCCACCACACCCGGCCCCCACATCAGCTTTCTAATCTAGGTGTTAATAATTCCCATTTTACAGATGAGAAAACAATATGGAGCAAGCTAAGTCATTTGAGCAAAGTTATATAGTAGCAGGTGGTTGAGGCAGGACTAGAATCTAGGCAATCTAGTAGCACAGCCCAGGCTCTTAACCTTGAAATGCACCTTAAGGCATTTTATAAATTTGTCTTACTTTCCTTAATTTTTCCCCTCTCCCCTACCCCCCAGTACATGCATAATTGCTTTAAATATTATTACTTGTCCTGTCTTTCAAGCTGGCTTAATAGAACATACGACGTAGAGATCAAAAGTTACAGAGTACTAAAGCCGTAGAATAAGAGTTTCTTTATTCATTAATTCATCCTTTAATTCCTGATTGACTCAGTTCCTGAGGTATTACACTGAGCGTGTGGATAGAGAGAGGAAAAAGACCTAGCATTCTGCCTTTGAGGAGTTCACAAAGTCATATGGTAAATGGTGGGCCTGAGATTCTTGTCCCGCAGCAAATTCTGTCATTCTTTGTAGATCATGGGGAAAACTTTGCATTTTGCTCTAAGTGTGCTGAGTTCAGAGTGTAACATCTACTTTGCTCCGCCATAGCCTTTAAAACAGGATTCATCTCTGAGCCTCAGCACCAGTACATCTCTGGGAATCTACCTGGCCTTCTTCATTATGTCCTGCTTCCCTGACCTACATTTTTTTCCTTTTTCAGATTGATTTGTTGTTCAAAAGGCCGGTGCCCCTGGAATGAGGACCTACAAGCTTACTTTTATACTAGAAAATAAAAGACTAGAAGAATCAAGCCTTTGCTCAGATCATACTTTGTGAGGTGGGCAAGAGTAGAAAGCCGAACACTTGAACGTGAGAGCGAGGAGGGAGCCACAGATGAAGGTTGAGGACAGAGAAAGGGAAGCTGGAGGGCTCTAAACTTGCAGAGGCCTGACCTGGCACTTCATCTGTCGCCTCTGAAAACAGCTCTGCTCTTGCTCTTGCTCTATTCTCATCCAAGTACTAGGCGATCCTCCTTTTATCACTTCCCAGTTTCTTCCTTTAGTTTCCTCTAAGGTCATTCCTCCTTTGCACTGGATTTACTTTGGAGTAACAGTTGTTGGTGGGAGGTTCTGATTCTGCAGAGAGAGAAACTGAGGCATGGGATAGAGAACAGCCATCTGTACTTTGTCCTGTAAGTCATTAGAGACTGGCAGAGCCTTGTCATAGATCCCGTGGTTTGCTGTAAGCCACAGGTGGCCCTCATACCCTCATAGGAATAGGGACCTTCTTCCTTCCTTAACATGATTGGATTTTGTTTTTACCTGAAAATACGAGCTACTTCTAACAGAAGGAAAGACGATTGCAGCCTGTACTGCATTGCCCCTATCTGTAACCCCATTAAGAGGTTGTAAATAGTACTATAATGATATCTCAGTCATTTGTTTTGATGTATCCAGGCTTTTAATAAATCAGCCGCAGCTTGCTTAATAGGAATATGAGAGCAGAGCACGTTGCTGCCAGCAGCTGCTAGTAAATTATAAAGCATTCATCTGTTTTACAAGGGAATTAAATGTTTGTTCTCTTTAAAGGGTTTTGACTAAACAAGGGTGTGTGCGTGTGTGTTTGTGTGTGTGTGCACACACACAGTGGCTTCCTGCCCATGCCCTCCCAGGTACAGTAGCAACCTCAGGTTCCTGGGGAACACCTGTAACCAAAGCCATATGAATTAGAGTGCCCCCAGGTAAACCCTGTCATTATTGGTCTCTGCTCTGCGTGCATCTCTAAAGCAATATTTGTTGGATTACATTTGTCTTCCACGTCAAAGGATTCTGTGAAATACAAGTCCCATTTCCCGCTTTCTCCTTTTTTTCTTAAGACTGTCTAGGGAAGGAGCTTTAGATAAACTATACATCCAGCACAACATTCAATTGTCTGCACAATTGAGTTAGCCTACTTTATTTGACTTTTATGTTTACATTTGAAGTGGACTCCCCCCGCCCCCCGCCACCACCTTTTCGACACCCTTGGTTTTATTGACTAAATAATCTTCAGAAGACAAGACATCAGAGTTGGTGCTTTTGGTGGAAATTAAACCACAGCAGGTGTTTCAAGACCAGCTTTGGCAACACTGCAAGACCCTGATTCTACAAAAATAAAAAAAATTAGCCAGTTGTGGTGGCGTGCGCCTGTAGTCCCAGCTACTGGGGAAGCTGAGGCAAGAGCATCCCCTGAGTTCAGGAGTTTGAGGCTGCAGTGAGCTATGATCATATGACTGCACCCCAGCCTGGGTGAAAGAGCAAGATTGTCCAAAACAAAACAACAAGACGTGGGGTCCAGCTAACCAATATTCAAGAGCTGTTGGCTACTTATCTTGTGACCTTCAACAAGTTATATAGGTTTTTAAAATCTATTACTTTATTTTTTGTTACTTTTAAATTTGGAAATAATTGCAGATTTATAGGAGGTTGCCAAAATAATATAGAGAGATCCAGGGTGACCTTCACCTAGTACAATATATGTGTATAGCTCTATGTCGTTCTTTGACATGTGTACATTATGTAACCATCACTGCAGTAAAAGCACAGAACTGTTTCATCATCACGAAGATCTCCCTATTGCTTCCTTTTTATAACAACTTCTACCACCTTCCCTATCCTCCCCTCCACTGTCTTACCTCCTGGCAAGTACTAATCTGCCTTCCATCTTTATAAATTTTATTCATTTAAAAATTATATAAATGTTATTACACATTTGTATTTATATAAAATATAAAATATATCACATAAATATGAAAATATGAAATATATACATTAAATCATACAGTACATGGCTTTTTGAGGTTGACTTTTTAAACTCACTGTAATGCTATCCATCAACCTTGTTGCTTGCTTTTATGAATGTTTATTCTTTATTACTACCTAGTAGTATTCCATGGTGTGGACACATCAGAGTTTGTTTAATCATTCGCTTATTGAGGAACATTTTGATTCTTTTTACTTTTGGGCTATTATAAATAAAGCTGCTAGGAACAATTATTTACAGGTGTTTTGTGTGGAAGTAAATTTTCATTTCTGTGGGATAAACACTCAGGATTGTAATTGCTGAGTTTTATAGTGTTTGGTTTTTAAGAAATGTCAGACTTGGCTGGGCGCGGTGGCTCACACCTGTAATCCCAGCACTTTGGGAGGCCGAGGCGGGTGGATCACCTGAGGTCAGGAGATTGAGACCAGCCTGGCCAACATGGTGAAACCCCATCTCTACTAAAAATACAAAAATAAATTAGCCGGGCGTAGTGGCATGCGCCTGTAGTCCCAGCTACTCGGGAGGCTGAGGAAGGAGAATAGCTTGAACCCAGGAGGCAGAGGTTGCAGTGAGCTGAGATTGCACCAGTGTACTCCAGTGCAACAGGGTGACACTCTGTCTCAAAAAAACAAAAACAAAAACAAAAACAAAAAAACCCGGAGGTTGCAGTGAGCCCGGATCATGCTACTGCACTCCAGCCTGGGCAACAGAGCGAAACTCTGTCTCAAAAAAAAAAAAAAAAAAAAAAAAAAAAAAAAAAAAAGTCAGACTTTTCCAGAGTGACTGTACCATTGTACATTCCCAGCAGCAGTGTATGAGGGAATCAGCATCCTTGCCAGGATTTGGAATTGTTGCTGTTTTTTAATATGGCTGTTCTGATAGGTGTGTAATGATATCTCATTGTGATTAATTTGGATTTCCCTAATGGTTAGTGATGGCAGACATTTTTATGTGCTTATTTGCCATTTGTATGTCCTCTTTGATGAAATGTCTGTTCATGTCTTTTGCCCATTCTTTTGGATTATTTGACTTTTACTGTTAAGTTTTGAAATGTTCTTTATGTATTCTAGATATCAGTATCTTGTCTGATGTATGGTTTGCAAATATTTTCTCAGTCTGGAGCTTGGCTTTTCATTATTATAACAGGATGCTTTGCAGAGCAAAGGTTTTTAATTTTGGTGAGGTCAAATTTATCAGCATTTTATTTTATGGAGTATGCTTTTGATGTCATGTCTAAGAAACTCTTCACCAAACCCATAGGTCCTGAAGATTGGCTCCTATGTCTTCATCAGAAGCTTAAGCTTTACATTTTACATTTAAATGTATGACCCATTTTAAATTAAGTTTTGTGTAAGTATGAGGTTTAGGTTGAGGCTTATTTATTTTTTGCCTATGAATAATCTAATTGCTTCAACACTGTTTAAAAGGCATTTCTTCTAACATTGAATTGCTTTTGGATCGTTGTCAAATATCAGTTGGCCATAGTTTTGTGGGACTGTTTCTAGGTTCTCTATTCTGTCCGTTGATCTGCGTGTCTGTCCCTTCGCCAGTCCCTTACTGTATTGATTACAGTATAACTATTTAGTAAGTTTTGAAATCATATAGAGTGATTCCTCTTACTGTATTCTTTTTTGTTAATAGTTTCAGGTATTCTAGTTTCTTTCCATGTAAATTTTTAGAACAATCTTGAACGTATTTACAAAAATTTTGCAGGGATTTTGATAGGAATTATGATGAATACTTTTATTTTTATGTTTTGTAGAGACAGTGTCTCGCCATGTTGCTCAGGCTGGTCTTAAACACCTGGACACAAGCAATCCCCCCACCTTCGCCTCCCAAAGTGCCAGGATTACAGGCGTAAGCCACTGCGCCTGGCCCATATGTGAAATCTGCATATCAATTTTGGGAGATTTGATATCTTTGCTATACTGAACTTTCCCATCCATGAACACTATATGCCTTTCCTTTTATTTAGATCATCTTTGATTTCTTTCCATCAGCAATTTGTAGTTTTTAGCATACAGGTCCTATACATCTTTTGTTAGATTTGCATCTAAATATTTCATTTTTCTGAGACATTATACATAACATTGTAATTTTGATTTTGCTTTTCCTGTGTTCATTGTTAGTATATTGAAATACAATTTGTTTTTGCATGTTGGTCTTCAACTTTGCAGAGTTGACTTCTAGGAGTTTTTATTTAGATTTTTTGGGATTTTTGTAAGCATATCATCTATACGAGCATGTCATCTATAAACAGGGACAGTTTTATTATTTACTTTCTGATATACCTTTTCCTTTTATTGCCTTATTATGCTGGTTGGAGCTTCAGTACTATGCTGAATAGTGGTAGTGAGAGTGGACATGCTTGTCTTGTTCCAAATCTGAAGTGAACAAGCATTAGGTCTTTCCCTACTAAATTTGATGTTAGTTGTAGGTTTTTGGGTAGTTGTTCTTTGAAGCTGAGGAAATTCCTTTCTATTCTTGGTTTTTATAAATATGTATTGAATGCTTTTTTGCATCAACTATGATGGATTATGTTGATTGGTTTTTGAATATTGAACCAGCTTTGCATCCCTGGAATAAATCCCATTTGGTCAGGATGTATAATTCTTTTTATATATTGCTAAATTTTGTTTACTAATATTTTGTTAAGGACTTTTGTGTTTATAAGAGGTAGTATGTGATTTTTTTTTTCTTTGCTGGTATTTTTAGGGTAATAGTAGCTTCATAAAAATTGGAAAGTGTCTGCTTTCCCTGTTTTCTTTTCTTTTTTTTCGAGACAGAATCTCACTCTGGAGTGAGATTCAGATTCAGATTCCTAGGCTGGAGTGCAGCGGCTCAATCTCTGCTCACTGCAACCTCCGCCTCCTGGGCTCAAGCGATTCTCCTGCCTCAGCCTCCTGAGTAGCTGGGATTACAGGTGCCTGCCACCATGCCCGGCTAATTTTTGTATTTTTAGTAGAGACAGGGTTTCACCATGTTGGCCAGGCTGGTCTTGAACTCCTGACCTCAGATGATCCATCCATCTCAGCCTCCCAAAGTGCTGGGATTATAGGTGTGAGCCACCGTGCCCGGCCCCTGCTTTTCTAATGTTATCATTTATTGCTAAAAGTTTACCGTTAGTACTGCTTGTGTCCCCTAAACTTGGTATGTTGTAATTTCATTTTCATTCAGTTCAGGTCATTGTTTAAGTTATTTTGAGGCTTCCTGTTTGACCCATAGATTATTTGCCAGTGTGTTTTTTAGTTCCCAAGTTTTTTTAGATTTTCCTGTTATCTTTCTGTTATTTATGTCTGCTTTTCTTTCATTGTGGTCAGAGAATACACTGTATATGATTTCAGTTCTTTTAAATTTGCTAAGGTTTGTATTATATCCCAGGATATGGTCTATGTTATTTGTTCTGAGGTCATTTAAAAAAAAATGTGGCTTATGCTTTGTTAAGTGTAGTGTGCTATAAATGTCAGTTAGATCCTAGCCTGTTGATGGCATTGTTGAAATCTTTTACATTTGCTGATTTTCTGTCTAGTTGCTCTATCAATTAATTGTTGATAAAGGGGCATTTTAGTCTCCAACTACCTTTTGTCTATTTCTCTTTTCAGTTCTGTCAGTGTTTGCTTCACACTTTACAACTCCATTTTTTTGCCACAAATACATTTGGGATTACTATATTTGCTTGATTGATTGACTTACATATCATTTTTAATGTCCCTCTCTGTTTCTACTAATTTTCTATGTTCTGAAGTCTACTTATTTTATTCATGTAGGTACTCCTGTTTTCTTTTGACTGTTTTCATTGTATATATTTTTCATATTTTTACTTTTTACATATATTTATCATTATACTTGAAGTGAGTTTATGGATAGCATATAGTTCATGCTTTTTTATTCATTCAACCAATCTGTATTTTAATTGGTATATTTAGTCACTGTACCTTTAATGAAATTATTGGTGTGTTAGAAGACCCAGGCAGCTCATCACTTTGAAGTTCCTTGCATCCTAAGGTCCCTAGCAGTTCTGCCTGTTCTCTCTACCTTCAAGAATCTTTTAATGTTCATGTTATATATATAACACCCAGGAATTGTTTTACTGTACTTAGCAGAAATGATAGGAAAAGTACATCTGTTCCATCTTTCTGGAACTGCTTCTTTACTTTTAAAATTAAAAAAAATTATTGATACACCTATACCACAATATTGCTGTAAGTGAGATGAAAGTGAAAAAGGATTCAACATTTAAATTCTATTTGGACATCAGTTATTATATCTAAGTGATATATGAAATCATGTTGCTCTAGAACAATATTAACAGATTTTATGAGGTTCCCTTATAGGAATGAAAATTTATACGTGTACTCTTTCTTTCTCTTTGACACCACTCTACCCTTTTCTCCTTCTCTAACATATTCCATTAAGAAATTTTACTCAAACTTATGCTTTGCAGTTGGAATACCCTAATACCGATTATAAGTCCTGAATCATTTATTAAGTACCTTGTAATTGCCCAGCACTGTGCTACCAATGCCTTTCAGTGACTTTCTAAATTCACCCTGTTAGGTATAATTATCTTACTGTGTAGCTGAGGAAACAGAGGCTTAGAGAAGTCAAGTGATTTGCTAAGGTCACTTAGCTAGGGAGTGTTAAAACTGGGACTTGAATACAGGTCTTAGAGTTTAAAGTTCATGCTCTTAACCTTTATGTTTTACTTCCTCCCTGTATTCTCTTGTACTTCATCAACCTGAATTCTTTAGAGCTTTTTGATCTGTTGGGACCTAGTTTGAATTCTTAAGCATTTTATTATTTTTATTTGCTTCAATGAAAGGTAAAAGATATAACCTAGATTTTATCCATTGCTAGTTTCTTTTAGTGCCATAGTGGTTTTATCTGTCAGCGTGTCTGTGTGTTTCTTAATGTTCCTAGCAAAATTTAAGATGTGATCTAGTAACTGTATTCTTCCAATTGATTCATCTTTAGTGTCACTTTAATTTTATTTTTGAAAAATTAACGTTATCTTCTCATTTCTCTGTTGGAGTGTGATTGAGTGATTAATTCAGCAATTATTTATAGAGCCTACTGTGTGATAATTATTGTGCGAGATGCTGGGGATATTCAGTAATTATGTGTTTCTTTGTTCTTGTAATTGTTCTGTGACTTTAGTTACATCTTTCTTCAGAATCTTTCAATTCACAAGTCATCTGTAAGATTTCACTCATTTTCTATTTCTAGAGTGTAGTCCAGAAACCATATGTGTTTGTGGGAGTTTGGTTTAATTTTGGGGAAGATATTGATACTTCTAAAGTTAGGTACACCATGGTCTACTGTTTACTTTTCAATGCAAATAGAGACTTTATTGATGAATGCTTTCCTTCTCAAGTACATGTTTTGAGATTGGTGAAAATCTACAGAAAACAAATAATTTTACCCCTTACGCTGAATGCTGGGAAAAGAAAGGGTCTTGTCTATAAATTAAGAGCATTACCTATGAGCTTCACAATGTACGTGATGGACCTAGTCTGTGTAAAATGAAGATTCTAGAAGCAGAAGAAAATGGCTTCAAAAGCAAATCAGAGGTTATAGTTCATGGACAAGCTAAGTACTAAACCAATCTTATTGTTGTGAAATTAACATTTTCTGTTTTATCTCTGTGGTATCACGGAATTTTATTATTGGACAGGCTAATAGAGATCTGTTTGAGCAGCCTATTCATTTTATAGACAAGAAACCTGACACCTGTAGAGGTAAAATGACTTTTAAGGCCTTTTGTGATTTAGCCTCCAAACTTGAAGACCTGGGCCCTTGTTACTGTATCCTCTGGACTGCATTTTAGTAATATTTTATCATTTCATTATAGTCTCATACTTACCCAATATTCTTCCTTTACAGGGTTTCAGTTTTCTCAACTCAAGAGAGTAGATAAGGCACTTAATGTAGTTCATTTCTAGTTGGAGTCTGTAAAGGTTTATGAATTGCTTTGTTAATCCACGTCACTTTGTATCTTAGCTTTCTAGACTTTAAATGTTGGTTGTAGTCCGTATAACTGCCAGACTTAACTTATAATGAATGCCTTCAGGTAGGTAGATATTTGTTTGTGTGTGTTCCGTAAAGAACAAACAAGGGGCTAAGAATTATCAACTCTTGCTGTGAGGGCCCCTTAGCCAGGCTTCCACCCTCTGCCTCTTCAGTCTTAGGGACTTGTCAACCAACTTCTGCTTCAGGGCCTCAGGGATGGTGGGTGGTGGGGACCTTAGGTTGGCTAATTTTACCATGGCATGACTTCCATTTTTAAGAGTTATTTTCTTGGATTGAGACACAGTTAGCTTGCCTGTGGCTTCCCCGCAGTGATTCTTCTGAGTGGATGGAATAAATCAAGTTTCTCTGTGTTTCCTGACTAAATATTGCAGGTTGTTTGTGCCATTCCTCACTTTTTGGATTTTAGATAATTCACTATTCTACATGCTTCATTTTTTTTATGTTTCCTCAGGTGAGCCCCAACTTTTAACTGAGTACTTTAGAAATAGGCTGAGTCCCAAGGGGTCAGTGGAACTTTCTTGTTCCACCTAGCATAGGCCTGAAACAGAGGCTCAGTCTTGGGACTCCTTCCTTCAGCCTGGAAGGAAGAAGTGAGGGAGAAAGGAAGAAAGTGATCACCAAGGCAGGCCTGGTGCCTAGAAGCTGAGCTTTGAGAAGCATACTTTAGTAACGCATTTTCTGTGTCCTCTCCTCAGTTAACTCGTCTCTTGAATCTTTATTATTAAAAATTAACACCTGAACTGGTAATCTCAGTTCCTGCGGTCCCTCTCTGTATTTCAACTTTACATCAGCCACTTTTTTTAGTATTATAAACAGGAGATCTTTTAGACCCCTAGGCTTCCAGTTTTGATTGGCCGTCACCTTCTAGCTCCCTCATCTCATTACAGACTAAGCTGGATGCATTAACTAGTTGCATAGTCTTGGACAAGTCACTTAAGTATTCTCAGCCTTAGTTTCCTCAGTTGTGCAGTGGGTCTCCTCACACCTACTCACTTAAGAAATAAATGAAATAATGTGTGTGAGAGAGTTTTCTGAACAAGAAAATATTAGCTAAATATCATCTTTCCTTGTTGTACCCTTGTTTCTACAGGACACAGTTGGATCAGCGGATTCAGTGCTTTTCCTGGGATCTCTTACAGGTTCCCTCCATGCTTGTTGCCCTTGACTGATGGTATATTGGAACATTTGTACACAGTGGCCTTGAACTATAGTGGGCACTTGAAATGGCAACATTTTGTATTCTTCTAGGAACTACTGTTTTTCTTTGAAAAGCCAGGAATTTCACGGCTCCAGAGGAGGGGATGCAGAAGCTATTTCTTTTTATTTTCCCCTGTTAAATCAGTATAATGAGATTCTATGTGCATAGTAATCCTTAAGCTCTTTGCCTAGTTCCTTTTGCCCTAGGCACCTTGGAGTGATGGAATTGTAGTCAGTCAGACATGTGCAGTGTATTCACACATACACTTAGAGGGCTCCTCGTCTGCTCCCCCTAGCTAAGCAGCCCCTTTGAAATGTCTAATAAAATCCCTGCTCTTGTGCGCTGCATTGAAACAAAGCAGGCTCACGCAGTCCTGGAAATGAGCCCTGAGAGGTATTATTTCTATATGTCGGTCTTTATTTGCCTGTTTTGACAGTGTCGTACAATGAGGGTCCTGCTGCTGATGCAGCAGAATCACAAGGAGCCGTCTTTGCTGTGTAAATTCTCCCTCAAAGGTCTGGCATTCGACCTGCCTGCTAAACCCTCTTTGAAACAATGCAATGACAAAATATTTTCTTCTTACTGATAATAGGCAGATTATAATTGCTATAATTGCTTCTACCTCATTCTCTGAAGGGAGGAAAGTAGGGCTATGGAATGAGTGCTTAAAATTTTTATTTATCGTCTTAGAGATATAGATGGTTCATTTATTATACAGAAGTTTACATAGCAGCCTCTAAGTGTACGTTGTTTCTCAATAGTTGGAATTAAATTCGTACTTTTGGACTACTGTTTATTAAGACATTCCCGGGAGGCTGAGGCAGGAGAATGGTGTGAACCTGGGAGGCGGAGGTTGCAGTGAGCTGGGTTTGTGCCACTGCACTCCAGACTGGGTGACAGAGTGAGACTCCGTCTCAAAAAAAAAAAAAAGACATTCCTCCTTGGTGATGAATAACACCTGTGTGCCAAAAGGATTTTTCTCATTGGCTCTGATTAAGGGGATATCCAGCCAATAACCGTAGCAAGCCTTAGGGTGAATTTTTGGCAATCTCCAGGTCTAGTCATTGCCTTATGGGCAGTCTGATGGCACCTTGGGCATTGTCTTATTGCCCTGAGCACAGGTGTTAGGGGCATGGAGTCTGATGAGCCGTGCTCTGCTGTCTACCCCCAGTCTGTTCTCCAGACCCCCTAACCAAACTTCTCATAGAGGTGACCATCACAAGGACCTGGTGTGTGGCTAGATCAGTGACAATTTATGACCACTTCTGGGGAAATAGCTCAGAGTGCACGTCCTTCGTGTGGTAGGTCCAAAATATTATCTTTGTATGTTCAAAGTAGCATAAGCTTTAGTTGCTGCTGTTGGTTTCAGGAGAATCACCTGGATGTCAGTGCCTTGGGGTTATTAATAATGGTAAAAAACCAGTATGAGGGTGGAGCTTAGAAGTAGACCAAGACTTGTGAGTCATGCACTGCTTTTTAATTTGCAAGCTAAATAGGTGCTAAAACTCACCTACCCTGGCTGCTGAGATAGTCACTTTCTCCTGGTCCTCCTCTATTGTAAAGAGAAGAGGTTGGACTTAATGCCCTTCAAGGTCTTTTCTCTCTGACTTTCTGTGAAACTCCAAGGTGAGTCCTAAATTTTGTTTTGGTCTATAAATTTAAATGCTTCCCCTGCTGAGCTGCTTTGGGCTGAGAATAGAATGGATGGAATTTACACCTTCTCTCTCTCTCTGTCCCATGTGATGCTTTGATTGGCTGCTAACAGAAGGGAAGGTGGTCAGAAGGCAAGGAAGCCTTGGCAAAGAGGAAGAGGAGTGAAAGTACTAAAGAATAGGAACAACTGGGGGTCAGCCCTGGAATAAAAAAGACTTCACAGGGCAGTTACTAGGCTTGCCTCACTCTTTGGAATCATGAGAGGTTTGCTAGGTATGTACTGTAAGGCCCGTGTGGCCAGAGACTGAGTCTTGGATTTACTCTTTTTGCCCTGACATTGCCTTGTGTAGCACTGGATATCATGTAGGTACTAATTATTTCTTCTTTACTTAACTTCCTGGAAACCGCTGCAATTGTCAAGTGAATAGAAGTGAATAGGACTGTTATATTAAACATTATAGAGAAGGGTCCATGCTCACAGCATCTTCATCATTCCAAATATTGTGCTTGTTGAAGCAGAGAACCTTGTCAGGACAGTCATTGTACCAACATTTACGAAATGAAAGCAAGAGCTATTAACCACTGTATAAGATTTGAGGATATTGTGCTTTCAAAGGAAGCAAAGAGGGTTTAAAATTACTCCAGTGGGATATCTCTTTAGCCTCACTTAAGGATTGTTTAAAAGGAAATAGAAATAAAGATTGTTTCAAAAGAAAAAGAAATAAAGTTAGAGGTGAATAGATGGTATATGTAAGAGCTTTATGTTTTGGTCATACTAAGTTTATTGTTAAGTTACAACAAAAAAATTGTTAACTATCATGTCTCCAGTTTTGCAGGATAATTTTCTTTTAATGTATTCCAAAAACTGACCTCAGAATTTGATGAAGTGTTAGACAAGATGACAAACAGAGAGACTGTTAGTAACGGGCAGAAGTCATTAGTCTCAGACTCATATTCATTTGTTTGTGGTTATTGATTCTAGTCACTCCTATTCTTATCTCCATCCAAAAATAGGCATTAAACCCTAATCTCTTGTGGATGTTTGCTTTGTAGATTTAGGAGAATAAGAACATGTGACCATACCTGGTTAGCCATCTCAAGATTTGTTATGAGCTAGTTGACTTCAAGAGCCAGTGAGCTGGGTTGTGCAGGATACTTGTTACTGGATAATTCTACTTCAGATAGATGCTCTAGTTGCTCTGCTAAAATCCTCTGTTCTGTCAAGCCTGTCAGAGCCAGAGTGAAAAAACAAAACAAACAAAAACAACAACAACAAAACCCTAGTAGAGTACCTGAACTCTAAATTACAGAGTTTAAGGACTGAAAATGACCTTGAGGATCCAGAGTAGGACTCTCAAACTCACATGTTCCTGGGGTAGACAGGTAGCAGAGTGAATGAATTGGACAACTATAAGCAATGGGGGAGACTGAAGAGACATTCAAATTTAGAAAATTTTAAGGACATTATACCTGCCTGACAAAGAGGTGTTTTTTTTTGTTGTTGTTGTTTTTTGTTTTATTTTCTGTCTCTGATGCTTGAATCAGGAGGACAAAGAGCTCTGATGCTGATTCAGCTGCAATTTTGAGGACCCTTGACCCTAACTATCAGGTTATCTATTTCTGGTTTAAGGATGATGACCTGAGTTACAGGTAGGAAAAGGCATTTAACCAAGGAGAGACAGCTAGTGAGGGCTGGAGCCTGGGGCTCTGAGGTGTAGTCTGAGGTTCTTTCTCTACACCATGGTGATATCTGAAGGGGAAGGCAGGAACACCTGGATTTCAATCAGGGATTTAAAAAAAACTTTCTATTTTTTTAGAGAGGTATAATTAACATACAATCAAATGTACTCATCTTAAGGGATAACTTGATATATTCTTATGTGTGTGTCCTTTCATGTCACCACCACCCAGATCATCCCAAGATTCTCCTTGTGCTCTTTTCCAACATCCCCCACACCCCTGCACCGGAATCACAATTTACCAGGGAACCATGGCACTTTTCCTTCCACTTGCAGAGCTGGTCCGTCTGTCACTGGCCCAGTTCCTCCCCTCACCTCCCTCTCCTCAGATTCAATTGTAAAGAGCTATAGCAAACACAAGGGCACATGTTGCTTAATTTTTTTTTCCCACATAACCCAACAGAATCTTGGGTTTCTTTAAAGTAAGCTCTCTAATTATGCCAATGCCATTGACTCACCAAGTAGGATGCCAGGTCCCACAGGGTGTGTCCTTCACAGGGTTCTGAGGGTACTGCTTCTTGCAATGTCAACTGCTTTATACAAAAGCATATTTAAGGTCACATGATATTTGCCAAGTTATTAATTATTCGGAGGCTACTTTTCCTCTGAAAGAACTTCAGATGTCCGATGTCATGATTTTATTAAATCAAAGACCCATATTTCATTGTAATGGACATGGCACTCAAAACCTGGGAATCGACTCATTGAAAATGTAGCCAACACAACACTGAAAACAAAGCCCACCTCACAGGCAATGCAGCTTCCTTAAAAAAAATAGCTGATTCCCAGGCTGAAGCTGTTAAGCAGATTTTTATGCAGGGCTTCAAGTTACTAAAAAAGCAGGATTCAATATGCCTTTCTCTTTGATTTGTAGGAGGGGGTGGGAAGTAATGCTGCTGCTCTCCCCTTACCCCCTTCAGAAGGGCTTTTACCATATTCTGAAAGCAATGCTTGAAGGACCCATAAATGGATTTTGGCTGTCTCCTAGTGCAGGGATTAACATAGAATTATAGAAGTGTGCTGCATGGTGGTTGGGAAAATAGGGAGGATGCCATTCTCTTTTTGGAGGGACATGGTGCTCCCGTCTCTTGCCTGTGGATGTTCCCTATAAAGCAGCCTGTCACTGTGAAAAATGCACACACTGTACCATCTCACAGTTATAAAGGTTAAGTAAGCATCTTGAGCAGTGCCCCACTGCTTTTGTACTTTCCATAATGTCAGCCGATAAAGGATTATTGAAAAAGGCTTGCAAGGAGATAAAAGGCTTGCAGGTTGAGGTTAAACAATTGAAATTTTCTGTTCCCAGTGTAGTAAATTACCAATGGCAGATTTAACGTTTGTTAATTATTAGAGCAAAGTACTAAGGATTGTTTTCTTTTGCCTAATTAATTACCTCATCTGGAGTGGAATGTTAATTCAGATAAATGATTATTTCTTAATACCTCTGAAGCTTTCCTTGGAATCTCCTAGAATTGCCAGTCCTGAAGTGTGGTTTCCTCACATTCTGGGGAAGATAGGGGATAGGTGACCAACGTGACTACTCTCTTGGCCTTTTTCCCGTCTCAGAAGATGGCAGGATAACTTGTTTAGACTTTTGGTGATGGAGTTGGTTTGCTGTTCTAGTTAGTAGAACATGAGTGTGCTTCCTGGAATCCTGTGCCTCATAACCAAGTTTTTGAGTTAGTCTCTCGTGTGGTTTTGAATTTAACATTGAACATTCTTTTTACCTTTGGTAATTCTCAATTTGGGGCACCTGCCGTGAACATTAAAGATGGTATCCTTTGGAAAGGACACTCTAGTTTCTTAACTTGCTTTTTACCTTTAAGTTATTTTACCTCCTGATGTCTGTTCAGAATGCTAGAGGCAGGTTTTTATTCTTTCTTGGATCTAAACTATATCACCTCTAATAGTTGTGAATAGATAATATTCAAAAAAGGTAAAATCATGACTCATGCAGATATAAAATATCCACATGTCAAAAATTTTACTTATTTTAAATGAGGGAACCAGATAGATGTTACAACAGGTACCAAGGAGAAATGAAAGAACCACAAATTTATATGGAATAAAGGAAATGAAAACGAACCCACAAATGAACACAAAACTTTTGGGGGAGGGTTGTTCCTCTAGGGGACAGAATGTATTTGCATAGCTATAGACACTTTTCAGAGTTGTAAAATCGCCCAGTCAGACACAAAGGTAAGTGTCCCTGTAGGATGAGACCATTTTCTGAAAGGAGGGCCATTAATCTCTTTTGCTTTTTTTTAGGGTCAGAAACTTCCCCTTAGACAGTTGTGTATGAGGTTTTAATCCAGTTACTTAGGATGACATTGTATCTTCAAAGTAGATTAGAGATGAATTATGTGACTTATTTTTCTTTTTAGAAGGAAGCTTAAAGGTGACTTGGGGAGATGGGCTGGTAGATCTGGGCCATTGGAGGCGAGCTACAACCCATGTGACCAGTTACCCTGCACAGTCTCTACTCCTGATAAGGCACTTATTTTATGAGCACTTTTCATAATGATATGAAAAGGCAGCGGGATTCTGTCTAAGATTATCTGGAGTGAAAGCTGGAGGCTGATATTAAATGGATAGTCCTGTTTTCTTTTGGTGCTGCCAAGCTGAGCTGTTTAAAATGATGCTTGGAAAAATGCCTCCTGAGCCAGGAAGTTGTCTGATTAGTGAAGAGATTTCCGAGACGTTTGGCTCAGAGACTACCCCATCATACCACACATGTTCTTTTCCACATTCACCTGAGTCTTCCAAAGATACGAGGACTCGGGGTGGTGATAGGGTGTACATTCTTACATACACATATGTGTATATTTGTATATACAGTCTGTCTATCCATGGGTTCTGTATTAGTTGATTCAGCTAACCATGCATGGAAAGTATTTGAAGAAGAAAAAAAGGATGTTTGATTCTGTACTGAACATGTACAGACTTTTGTCCTTCTCATTATTCCCTAAACAATATAGTATAACAACCATTTACATACCATTTAAATTATATTAGGTATTATGTAAGTAATGTACAGATGATTTAAAACATATGGGAGGATGTGAGTAGGTTATATGCAAATTTTACAAAGGGACTTGAGCATTCGTGGATTTTAGGATCTTGGGGGATGCTGGAACCAATCCCCCACAGATACAGCGGGACAACTGTATTCATATAAATATATAGGCCAGAGATTGGCTTTAGGGGAGTCTGCAAAGTTCCATAATTATATGCATTTTTCTTAGGCAGTATTGTGTCTGTCAGATTCTCATAGTCTCCAAAAGTTTTATGATTCTTCAAAAGTTTAAGAACTGCTTACAGAAACCATGCCCCCAGTAATTATTCTGAATCTATGTGTTACCACGTGTATGACTTAGAAGAAGTCTAGATGAAGGTTCCACCTAATTACAGAATCCACTGCTGTAGCCACAGCTGGATTGAGTTATGTGGCAGCCCTGCCCCAGAGCTGGGGAGGCTGCGTGTGTGCCCCTCCACACCTGAGTACATCCTGGGTGTGCTGAAATGAAGCCCAGGGAGATACAAAGCACCATAATGCCATTAAGGCCAGCACCCGTTGGGTAGGGGAGAGGCTGACCATACAGACTTCTGACTTCTGCGTTTCATTCCCTGCTCTGAAACCTGTCCGTCTCTCAGGCTTGCAATCTGCCTTCCTGTCTCTCTGACAGACCTGTGACTTGGGCTATGGTTCTGATACCAGGAAATAATGCAGGGGTGGGAGTCTTAGTCCCAAGCAAAATAAATCACTGCTCCCATTAGACATTACAATGTTTAAACCCAAGTACATCTGTCTGCCTTCAAAACCAAGATTTAGAGCATGTCAAGCAGGTGCCATGCCTCCAATAACACATACTTTGTTCCAACATTTAGTAGATTACTGTGAGATTTTAAATTCAAATTCTCAGACATTCACTTTGTTTAGGAAATAACTGCAATAAAGCAAATTGTCTCCTGTTCTTTTTTTCCCCCTACGGTGCAGCCAAGTGAGAGCAAATCAATTCCTAGTCAATTTTTTGTTGCTGTTTTCCTCCATGCTAGAGAAGAGATGATGCAGCTCTCTCCTGTTGCAGCCCTGTGCTGGGTGTGGTTCCCTCTCCTTAATTTGTCATCTGAAAGCAATTTTGTTCAATTAGAGATTAGAATTAAATTTCAGTTGTAGGGCTTCTGTGCAGAGGAAATGATGCATTAATGAACACACAGATGTCATCTTGCAGCCATGATGCTTGCAGAACAGTTTCTTCAGGATTCAAATAATAAAAGGGGCCACAGCAGCAGGAGCATTGTTTACTGGTTGGCATACTAAGTGGAGGCTCACATTTATTTGCAAACCATTTATCATTCTGTATACTGAGAGGGAGAACATACTTTATTTAAAATATTTGAAATAATGACTCTTAAAATCGGATAACAGAAGCATTAATGCCAGGTGCCATGCAGTAAATTGCATAATGCTGTTGGGTTGGCACTGACACTGTGATTTGTGTTGCTAATGATCTATCCAAATAGATGGGAGTTGAGAATAAAAAGAGAATATTCCTGGAAAGAGACAAGGCAACTAGTGAATTAAAAGTGTAGTGAGAAAGGGAAAAAATGTGTAGGATCGTATTTTACTTATTGGAAGACCCATCTGCTCTTCTGTACACACATTATGTAAGTTTCACTCTCTGTATTACAAATAACCTGCAGGGTGGATAGGAAGTTCATATATCTGCCTTCAGCTGTTTTTTTCACTCACAGACGTGAATGAACAGAAAGATTTATGTCTTGTGTGTTGGATATTATAGGATGGTAGGTTTTTTTTTTTTTTTTAAGGGCGTTGTGTATTTAGACTGTGATATTCTGTGCACTGCTTTGCTTGAAGTGAGTGATGGCTGCGACTAAGAAGGCAGCAAGTGGGGAGTGGGAGTTTGGGGAGGTGGAAAAGGGTTTCTGTGAGACAATATTGGTTTGTCTGGTCTTTGGGCCTGGGCTACACACATGCCCTTTGACACTTATGGTTAAAGTGTTTATTTCCGAATGGTGCCCAGAGCTATGTTCAGTGTGTCCTGAGTCACTGTTGAATTTTTAAAATTTGGTAGTCTCTGTGCTGTCCAGAATTTCTTAGATGTGTTTTGAATACAGAGGGCTCTCAGTATCAGGTGGCATCCACGCTGGTCATTGATGTTGACAGGGATGAAATCTCACTTAAAACCCTCTAATTTCCTAGTTCAAGGACTCTTCCTTATTCCTCTTCCCCTGTTGCAAAAGGACCCTCTGATGTTGGTTAAGGGTTAATAGTTCTGTCCTTGAAATGTTTTCTTTCTGCGACATCACATTTTTCTTTTGCTTTATCCATATCTTGTGCCAAGGCCATTCTCTTTCATTCTCATTTCCTTTTTAACCCCTGTGTGTACTGCATCAAGTCCTATTTTGCTGTCTCTTCGAATTTAGAGACATCATCAGTGCATATCATCCATTATACAAAAAAGCCAGTAATAGCCCAATTTTTATTTCCTGTCCAAATTTTTCTCCTCAACTTCATATCCATATCTCTCTTCCAGAAATTTTATTAGAAGCACAATGTATCTAGGATAAAATGTACCCTCTCCCTAACTCTTCCTTACCTTTTATAATGGTGCTTACGTTTTCCATGTCTTCCTACTTAAAATTGTATTCATGTTTGTAGTCTTCTCCCTGACTTCACTGCTCATGAGTTCTACCTTTTTCTTGTCTGTTATAAGTCCTTTCCTTTTCATTTCTTTTGCTACCTGCCTTGTCCAGATCTTCCTTACACATCACCTGCAAGTAGCTGATCATCCTCTTAACTGATCTGGTAGTTAATGGTGTCTTTTGCTCCCAAGCCTGCCTAGTCCTCTGCTCATCTACTTATTTCTGCCTACTACTCCAAAGCCTTCATTGGCTCCCCATTGCCCAAAAATGAATTCCAAACCTCCCAGTCCTGGTGATTAAGTAGTTCCCTCCCATACCCAAACAACCCAGCCCTGTCTTTTACTAACTTTTCCTTATAGGTGTGTGTTTTGTTCTCCCTGTTCTCCCCTGTATGCCTTTCAAAACCCTGTCCTTGCTAAAGCCCAGCTTGGATGCCTTTTCTTGGAAACCTTCCATGATTGCCCCCCTGGAGTGTACTTTGTTGCTCTAGGTATAAATGACTACTGCACTTATGTTAAGGCACCTGTCACATACTGTAGGTATTTAAGGACCTCCTCTCTCTGCTGGATGATCATCATTTTGATAGCATATTCCTTTTGTTTTCAACAGAGCTTTTTCTATTAATTTTAAATGCAATATACTGTTGCAAGTAGTAGTTGGAAAAAATCACAGAGCAAGCAAAGTTCTGGAATACAATTTTTAGGTCTTCCTCAACATTCCTGTCACAGTAGATGATGTACACTTACAGCAGAAGACGATGGTTAGAAAGGTAAGAGCCTAGGGTCTGAGTCAGCTTCAACTAGAATGTGAGAACTGAGATAGAAGGAATTATTTCCACCTTCCCGGGGATTTTCTAGCATAGCCTATGGGTTGTGGTTTGCCCAGCAACACCTTAATCTAGTTGCTTATGTTTAGTAAGCATTTACAGCCTGGGTTAGCCGGCTGGGGTTCAAGACTCTTGGCCTTTAGGCCAGTGCTTGATGCTTCTGTCAGCCTGGAAAAAGGACCCATGTATCACTCAGTGGTTCTTTAGCCAACTTGAGCAAGTAAAGAAGTCTAGGAGGCAGAGGTCTTCTGCCAGCTTCAGCCTTTAGGATTGTTAGGGTGATGTGGGGCCTGCTCTGGTGTGTCTCGTAAAGAGGATGAAGGAGCAGTGAGAATTGTGTAGACTAGCAGTATCCTTTCATCTGCTTTGTTGTGAGCCAGCTTAGGTGGTCTTTTCTCTGCTATTAAAGGGGAATTCTGACTCCTTGAGTTGATGAGATGGAGTTTGGGAGGCAGATAGGCCTTGAGGACTTGGTGGGAGTTTGTAATCTGGGCGGCCTGGCTGAATTCATCACAAGGGTGGATTTTTAAATTGCCTTTTTTGCTCACCTACTCAAATTGAGTCACTGAGCAGTATACTTGTAGATGCTTTAACAAGTAGATTATATTGAATCACATTTAATAGGAAGATGACTAACACAAGGGAGTTGTTTTATGTTTTAAAAACTGCTCACGTTCCTGAACTGCAGAAGCACCTGTTCTGTTACTTTTTAAAATATGGTCGTGAATATTTTTCCCTTTTTGGTTTCCCCAGGGCAGTGATGTTCTGGTTCTGAGGTCTAGTACAGCATTTCCTTTTTGGCCTTTTGTCCTTGCTTAAATTCTCTTCCAATTCTTCCCTTCCAATCCACTGACCCAGGATTAGAGTACTAAAACCTCACTTGTTTTTCCTTATTTTTGTTCATCTAACTTAAGAGTGCGTGGCAAAAATCTTCCTTTGTTTTTAACTAAGCTCGTTACCTTCACCCTGGTTTCATAATGTGTCACCCTCCCTCTCTCCCCCTATTTTTTCCTCCTAAATTAAACCAACAGGAGTCATTTGAAATAGGCGCAGTGCCAGAATTAGCAAATAAAAATACAGGACACATAGATAAATTTGAATCTAGATAAACAAATAATTATTTTTTAGTATAAGTATGTCTCATGCAATATTTGAGAATACTTACTCTAAAAAATCATATAGGAAATTCAGATTTAGCTGGGCATCCTGTATTTTATCTAGTAACCCTACATAGGCATATATTTGAAATAAAAATAAAATTTTACATTAAAGAAAACATTATAAAGAAGAAAAATTTAAGTTTATTGTGTGTTAAATATTCCCAATGCTTTCCTTACTGAAAAATGTAAGACTGTGGACAAATTATGAAACAGTTTGTGCATAAGATTTATAAGTTAGCTACCTAATGAAAAGCTTCTGTTGGCTATTGGAATCAGCCATTTATCCTAGGATTCAGCTTTATCTCTTTGCTAAGAAGATGCTCCTGATTTTGAGGTGAGAATATTTAGTGCAAGCGGTAGACCATTGTTACATATGATATATCACAAGCACCTGTGTCAAAAACAAATGTTGAAGTATTCAACAATTTTTTCCTCATTTAAATTGTGCCCAGCTCTCTTAGCTCAATTTCTTCTGGCATAAAGATTCTTAACACAAACAATTGGATGATGAAGACAGTAAATTCTTGATTGAGCGAAGTTTTTATCCAAGACTAGCTTCCCTCTGTCACCCAGGTTATATGTGGAGTACAAACTAATTATGAAGCTAAATCTTCCTCAGACCACATAAGTAAGTCTACTCCAAAGCTTAATAAAATGATTCTGCAATATTTGTTCCATGCTTTGCTTTTTACCAAGCCTGTGCATACGTTCTGATTTGATTCTCCTGACAGTCTATGAGAGAACAGTGATGATTTGTCTCCTCATTTTATAAGAGATAAATTTGAAATTTTGATAGGTGAAATGGCTTGCTTAAGATCAAGCAAGACTTAAATCTTGATCTTAGGCCTTTTGGGCCATTGCTCTTTCCACTACCTGTATTGACTTTTGAATGTAAGTGATTTGGGAATTAGGCAGTTTAGGAGTAATTGTACCAGTGTTCCCCTCTGCTAGCTTGGAAGATGAAGAGCTGTTTTCATACCTGTGCATTGTGCTGGAAGAGGTATTTGCCTTTGGTTCAGTGCATACCTATAATACACATTGGGTCTTCTTTTGAGGAACAGCTGCCTCCCCTGTACAAACAGCCTTTCTGAATGAAGGGGATCAGCCACCGTTGACCTGTGAGTTTGAAGTATTGCACTGTTAATGTTTGGGCAGGATTTTTTTGAACATGTGGTTGTACCACAGAGTTACGCAAGCGAAATATTCTTGGAAATGACATTCTGCACAACCGTAGGGAGAAATATTGGGAAGCTGGCAAGAGAGTCAATTCTATCAGTGTTTATTGAGCACCTATAATGTGCATTTTGTGAATACTGGATGATGTGGATGAGAAAAGATGTAAGTCCTACTCAGGAGCCCTTCCTGCCACAGTACCTTCATTAGCATCTCCTGCCTATCAGTGCTTGAAATTCCTGGCTCATTTTTGATATATTTTATTTCTGATTTGAGGCATCGTGTCCTTTATTTTGATAAAATATTATCTAAATATTTTATATCACATAAATTATTAAAATAAAATATTATTTTTTGTTTGTTATGTATAGTCCCCTAACAAAGTTTGAACTTTTTGAGGTCAAGGATCATATATATATATATATACACACACACACTCATGTACAGAAGAAGTTCTTGAAAAATATTGGATAAGCAAATAAATTTGTGGTATTCTTGGGGAATCTTGGATTAATAAATGGATAGCATCCCTCGGTTGTTGTATACCTATATTCAAAGGATCCATGACTCAATGATGGGGTAAGGAGGCTAAAAGAGGCAAAGTCAATGACTGAATTGAACATGGCATATCATCTCAAATTATACTGGGAAACAACATTATTGTCTACTTGTTAACCAAATATATGCAGTTGATATCATTCAGGCCTTGCACAAGTTCCTTAGTGTATAATCTTGGTCCTTAGAATGAAGTGAGCAGCAGGTACATATTCAGAGACTCATAGTTTGATGGCATGGGAACTGTATCTTTGGAGATATAATAGAAAAAACTGTGCCTTATCTGATTAAAAATGATTTCCTAAAAAGTACTTGGATAATTCCTAATTGTCCCAGTTTTCATAAATGATTTGGAAAATGCTGTTTGAGACTGTGATTGTTAATATACTGTGGAAGCCTATTAACTTCTTTTTAGAATTCAAAAGCCTTTAATATATGGGGCAAGAGAACATGGATTGACAAATGGATAAGAGTAACTAACTTTATTGTAAATCACTGTTGATATTTGGTCCCTGCCTTTGTTCTTTTGTTTTACTTTCTTTCCTCATAGGACTCATTACCTTTTAACATATTAGTAAGACCGGGGGAATTTGTTCACTTTTTTCCTTGATGTATAACAAATCATATTGCTTAAGTTAAAGCTAAAGTAGATATTTAGGTTAAAAATTATGTAGATATTTAAGTTAAAAATGTGAATTGACTTAAGGAATAATATTAAGAGAACAATGTAGCAAAAATTGTCATATATATACATATCTGTGCGTATGTGTGTGTAATATATATATATATATATGTATTCACGTTATATACAGACATACACACAGACATATGTAAGTACCAGGGATGAAACAAAAAAAAAAAATAAAACAACATGTGTTAAGTACTGTGTTAGTACTAAAGATGACAGAAAAAAGTACAACCCTAGATCCTTGGCCAGAGATGCTTACTTGTCTTACACTTCTTACAGTCCCCTCTTTACTACACGACAGGTTAACTTAATCAGGACAGACTGTATAAGTTACAGGGCCCAGTGCAGAATGAAAGCATGGAGCCTGTTGTATAGAAAGTAGGACAAAGGTGCCATTAAAGGTGGTAAAATATAAAATATTTTTCTTCTAGGGGATCTCTCTCAACTTTTTATGGTGTTTTAAATTAGCTGTTTAATGTTGCTTTAAGTGAGGAAAAATTCAAATTTTAAATTGCTAGCATGAATTTTACCATTCATGGTTCTGTTGTGCAATGCCAGTTTTAAATGCAGATATGAGAGCATTCAACTTGTATGTAGAATCACTGAATTTATACAGTTTATGTTATGCCTCATAGGCACATAATGTATTTTGTTTTTACCGCACAGTGGAAACACTGCATGAAATGAACTCAGAGGTTTTTATTTCACTTGTTGATATGCACACATTTAACCAACACTCTCTACCTTCAGATTACAATGAGTAAGGAAGGACTGAAAGGGACTGTCTTTCCCTTTCCTCCTGTGTCATTTTCAGTGTGATTGGCTAATACAGGGAAGTAATATGTGTAAGAAAAGGTATGTTAGGATTTCTTGCCATTCATGTTTGTTTTAGAACACTATTTCCAGCTTTCTGCCTTTAAATTGAAGTTTTGATTTGAAGGGAAAGTATAGGCTCCCAAGGTTGTCTGTCTTTCCTCTGGCTTCGTCGTAACCATAACACACTTATAGGGTAGTCCCCCCTTTATCCATGGGGAATACATTCCAAGACCCCTAGTGGATGCCGGAAACCACAGATAGTACTGGCCCCTGTATATACTATGCTTTTTCCTATACGTACGTGGCTGTGATAAGTTTAATTAGGGACAGTAAGAGAGCTAACAACAATAACAGAGATTTAACAACAATAACTAAAACAACAGTTATTAACCACAGTACTAAAAGCTATGTGAATGTGGTCTCTCTCTCAAAATATCTTACTGTACTCTACTCACCCTTTTTGTGATCTGTTGATCTGATAACTGATCTGAGACGGCTACTAAGTGACTAATGGATGAGTAGCATCTATAGCGTGGACATGCTGGACAAAGGGATGATTCATGTTTGGGTGAGACAGAGCAGGACAGCACAGGGCCTCATGCTATTCATAATGCCTCAAAATTTAAAACTATGAGTTGCTTATTTCTGGAATTTTTCATTTAATATTTTCAGATTGTAGTTGACTATGGGTGACTGAAATTGTGAAACTGGAGATAAGGGGGACTGCTGTACTCTGATTTTTACTGAACTGTCACATATTGCAGGCTCACTGGAGTTCTATGTTACTGGGACATACAAACACTATGTGAATGGGGCAGCCAGGAATTCGCTCGCGCCTGTTGCGTGTATTTTTTCTACTCATGGACATGTTCCACTGTGTTATCCGACTTAACTTACAAAACAAAGTTCAAAGATAAGATTATAGAGCATTAAACCAAGTGCCGAGCCCTTCTGAGTGCAGGGCCCTGAGCGATTGCACAGGTCACACACCCATGAAGCTGGCTCTGACCTTAATAGATAAGGAAGCACAGCAGAGACATAAGCTGGGCCTGATGCCCTGTGTTTTCACACTGAGGAAAGCATGAATTATCTCTTACGTTCCTTGTTTGAAACTCAGGCTTCAAAAGTAGGAAAGGTTAGAACATCAATCCATTGTGCCTTTCCACCTTTTATCTGTAACTTGCTGAAATGTTTTCTTCCTCCTCCTCCTTTTCTTGTCATGTTGGATATGTCCTTAATATATCAGTGTCAAGTGTTGTGTCTGAATGTGAACCTGAATTCTATTCTAAGTGCTGAAATTAAAACAGTGTTTCTCTGTTTAGTTTCTAATGTATTCGGGGTACTAGAGTATCTAAAACAGCATTTTAAGAGGCTTTAACATTTTTTGCCTTTTTTTCTCCCGAATTATACAAGTCATTTTTCTTTTTCTGATTTGTTGTCTCCTGAGAAAGTAGGCCTCCCTTTTTTTTTCTTGCATGTGGCAGATTAGTATCCTGTGGTCCATTGCAACCACTACAGTGGTTGGTAGGAAGTAGAACTTGTAGAAGGTGCAGTTAAAACTACTATTAAAGTAGCAGGGAACCTTCTTTGCCCTCTCAGATGAGGACCAGGAAGTTGACTTTCACATTTGAGGTGGCACTTGATGTAGCCTATATTCTTTTTTTTTTTTTTTTTTTTTTTTTTGAGACAGAGTCTCACTTTGTCACCCTGGCTGGAGTGCAGTGGTGTGATCTTAGCTCACTGCAACCTTAGCCTGCCAGGTTCAAGCGATTCTCCTGCCTCAGCCTCCCGAGTAGCTGGGATTACAGGCACGCACCATCACACCCAGATAATTTTTGTATTTTTAGTAGAGACAGGGTTTTACCATGTTGGCCAGGCTGGTCTCGAACTCCTGACCTCAGCTGATCCGCCCGCCTCAGCCTCCCAGAGATATAGTCTATATTCTAAAGAGACTCTCTTCTAATCAAGTGGTTATCATCTGCTAATACTTTGAGGAAAAAAGATTAATGTTCCAGGATTTATAAGTTCAGAGAACTAGCTTAACAGAGTGCAGTGCTTCACAGATCTGTCTGGCTGTGGAATCAGATTGACTTTAGGTTGCTGTGGTAGCTCTGCAGCATAGGAGCTGGGAAATTTAGTAACCTTACTTGGTGGTTCTCAGCCCTTATTGGTATGGTTAAGGAACTTTGAATAAACACCTGTAGAGATTTGAATTTAGTTGCCGTTGGGTGGGGCTCAGGCTTTTTTTTTTTTTTTTTGCATCCCAGAGTTAGCAGTCAGGGTTGAGAACACTAGCTTATCTCAGAACATCAATATTCTCATTTATAAGATGAGAGAATTAGACTGTATGAGATCGTCGTGAGATCTAGGCAGATGAACACAGCACTTGGCCAGTCAATGTGAGTGACTGTTATCGTTAACCACCCTTACTGATTCTTTGCTGAGATTGGAAGCTAGATTGGCATTCATTTCTTAAGCTGGAAACCTGTGCTGATTTGTTAGAAATGCTGCAAGGAACAGAAATGATTATCTATCCTAAGGGAATGACTCAGATCTTGTTAGAATACCATGCCCAACTTCTCACCTCCCAGAAGAGTGTGTCACAGAATAGCTGGAATTACACCTACTTTATGTATGAAGATTATCCCTGGAATAGATACATCTTTGAGGAAGAAGTTGATTTATTCATTTGTGTAATGTTTATTGATACTTAATACCTATCAGCACTTCTAGACTGTGGCCTGGAGGAATCCATAGATTGGTAATTGGTTGGAAAAGTGAATGTAAATTATAACACAGAAGAACAAGTGTTTTGTTAAGGATAATGGAAACTTTAAAGCTAAGTAGAAGATAGCCAAGCTGAGAGGCCTGGGTGGGCTAGGGAAGAAGGTTATTACTGGCAGAGGAAGTTGCAGTTTTAAAGAGACTTAGAGGCTGGACACAGTGGGCTCATGCCTGTAATCTCAGCAATTTGGGAGACCAGGGCAGGAGGATCACATGAGCCCAGGAGTTTAAGAGCAGCCTTGGCAACATAGTGAGACCGTGTGTCAAAAAAAAAGAACAAGAGACGTGAAGACACACTTGGCATGACTGGGAAACTTAAAGTAGTTTAGCATGTCTGGAGTATACTTACTCCAGAGGTGGGAGTCCAGAAGATGGTGATAAGAAAGAGGTTAGAACCATAAGCAGGGTCCCAGTCATGGAAGGCTTTATTTGGAGATTGAAATTGATTATTGGATAGCCATTGAACATTGTAAGCAAGGAAGTGGCATGCTTAAACTTGCACTTTGGAGATGTCACAATCCTACAACAGGCTGAAAGGCTGGAGACATGGAGGCCACTTGGGATGTTGTTAATGGAAGTCCAGATGAGGAGGTCTGAATTAAGGTAGTAGCAGTGTAGTCACAGTGAGGTGGACAACAGATGGCGGAGATTAAGAAGGTGGAATTTGTAGGTGTCAGCCCCAGGCATTGCATCTATTTTTTTTTTCCAAGTTGTGGAGACGGAGTTTATCTCTGTCACCCAGGCTGGAGTGCAGTGACGCGATCTCGGCTTACTGCAACCTTTGCCTCCCTGGTTCAAGAGATTCTCATGCCTCAGCCTCCCAAGTACCTGGGATCATAGGCATGCACCACCAT
Organism: Homo sapiens; assembly: GCF_000001405.40. NCBI lineage: Eukaryota > Metazoa > Chordata > Mammalia > Primates > Hominidae > Homo > Homo sapiens. The sequence continues at coordinate 69,874,816 of NC_000007.14, forward strand.
GCCCAGCTATTTTTGTTTGTTTGTTTTGTATTTTTAGTACAGACGGGGTTTCACCATGTCGGCCAGGCTGGTCGCGAACTCTTGACCTCAGGTGTGAGCCATTACGTCCAGTTGCATTGCATCTGTTTGATGTTGGGTATCTAGGATGTACATCTGTCAACTCGTGATGCCTCCCTGAACCTTCGATGATTATCTATTGACTATAATCTACCCCCAACCCTTTTTTTTTTTCCATTTTCATCTTTCACTGAATTCCTCTGTGGATCCATTGATCACGCTTTGCATATTTATTCCTTCTCCCCCAACCCCATTCTTCCTGGATGAGCTTTTTGCTCTCTTTTAAACCATTGCACTTGACTGTCTAGGCATTTGCCAGTATATCAAATAAGTATGTATTTGAAAGTCTAGGTGAGCCTTTCTTAAATACTGGATGCTCAGTCTAAGGTATCCATTGTGTTTATGGAATTACTTTCTCTCCTGTGTATCTAAATGGTACTAGTTTGATACTTTTCTGAAGATAATTGAGAAAAAGTAACTTTGATCTTTTTTTCTTCTGTGGTTCAGAAGAGAAATTATTTGTTTCTTGCTCCTATCTGAGCCAGATTGCAAATTTAGTGCTAAGATTTCTGGCATTAAGAGGATTATTATTATTATTGTTAAATTGATTGTCTCATTAGATTACCAACATGAGGCTCATGGGACTTAAAAGATTTATGCCCATATCCTGGTTCCATTTTTGTGTAGAGCCTGTGGGATGAAAATGGCTCACAGGTCTGTTTGTGACACAAGTAGCTTGATAGATGGCCTATGGTTCATGTGTAGAAAATGTTGGCGACTATAGATTTATTTTAGTATCATTTTAGGAAGCACAAAAGTGGTGTCCCAATTGAACCTTATGGAGAGAGCATCATTACTTTCCATCACAGGTTCAGACTTTGGGACCCCAGGGCTCTGGAAATGGAACTCTTTGAAGAGGTCAGAGCCTCTATGCACCCTCTCAGTCAACTCAACTGCATGTAGAGGAGGGAAAGAATGTTGTTATTATTCTTAATATTCTTATAGTAGCGTCTAATAGTACATTAGTAAATAGTTATTCACAAATGGTTGTTCCTATTGCTTAGCAATTTCTGATTTCAGATTTGTGTTTTGGATATATGTGCATACTGACCTTCTGCCTTTTAATAAATCTAGAATTCATTTGATAGTACAAATTAACAAAACCAGTTGTAATAAAAATATTGAATTTTAACTTTAAAAAATATGCAGTGTGGCCAGGTGTGGTGGCTCATATCTGTAATCCCAGCACTTTGGGAGGCCGAGGTGGGCAGTTCACGCGGTCAGGAGATCGAGACCATCCTAACGAACACGGTGAAACCCCGTCTCTACTAAAAATACAAAAAAATTAGCTGGGTGTGGTGGCGTGCGCCTGTACCTCGGGAGGCAGAGGTTGCAGTGAGCTGAGACTGTGCCGCTGCACTCCAGCCTGGGTGATGGAGCGAGACTCTGTCTCAAAAAAAAAAAAAAAAAAAAAAAAATATATATATATATATATATATATATATATATATGTATATATAATATGTATTATATATACATAATGTATTTTATATTTATATATATTTTGAGATATATATAAAATACATTATATATATACATAAAATATTTTGTGTATATATATATATATATATATATATATATATATATATATATATATATATATATATATATATTTTCAGTGTTCATATAACAAATTTCTTTTGAGAGCTACCAAGGACCAGACTTGGTGCTGTGGGATATTTGATAGGTGTGAGACAGTCTTTTCCTCAGAGGGTTTGTATCCTAGGAGTAGGGATAATGATAACTGCATAAGCCACCTGATTGATCTGGAATTGGATGCAACTTTTACTACAGGAATTGACATAAGGATTTAGACCCTTTTCCAGTACATTGACCTAGTAGTATTAACAGGACTGTGGCAACTTTGAACTTCCCTAATGAGAAAAACATGTGTTGGTGAGCAGGTATTATCACATCTTCCCTTGCTTTTCTGTTTAAATACAGTATCCTATTCAGATAGGCAAATCTCTGATGTTTTGTTGAGTGAAGTCTATGGGCCAGATCACATAATAGATGATGTGTTTGTTGGTTGCCCACTGATTAGCTTGGGACTTGTTACCTAGAGGTCCATGGCCCTTCTGAAGTCTTCATTATGTTGTTAGTTTCCCAAAATGATCCGCTGACACTTGTTCTAAATATGGTTTATTTTTTGCAGCTTAATGATTTACTTATTTGCCAAATACTGGGATTTGGTTTCAGAGAGCATCCTTTTCTACCTCCTTGGGTATATAGGCCTTGATTTATAATGTCTAGTTACTCTGTCAATGAATCAGTTAGTGACCATTTTGAGTGTTAAGAGCTTTGAGTAAAGAAGTGTGTGAAAAGCCTTCTGCCACCAGGAAGCTTGCTTCCCTGTGCCTAGTCTAAACCAAAAGTCTTCAAACTTTTTTGATTGTGAACCCCAGTTGGACAAATCACTTAGAGTAAGCACCTCATTTTAAAGTTTTATATTTATACTACTGTACTAATATATAGATCAGAAACATACCGAATTAGAAAGTAATAAAGAATGAGATGCATATTTATTTATTTACTTAAACTTTTATTTTAGATTCAAGGGATACACATGCAGGGGTGTTACCTGAGTATACTGGGTGATGCTGAGGCTTGGGGTATGAATGACCCCGTCACCCAGGTACTAAGCATAGTACCTGGCAGTTTTTCAACTCTTGCCTCCTCCCTCCCACTTCTGATAGTCCCCAGTGTCTTTTGTTGCCGTCTTTATTTCTATGAGTACCTAGTGTTTAGTTCCCACTTACGGGTGAGAACATGCAGTATTTGGTTTTCCTGTTACTGTGGTAATTCGCTTAGGAGAAAAACACATTTAAATAGACATTATAATGCAGTCTTACCCCTCAGTGGAACATCCTACAGACCACTGGTGTAGACAGAAAGTGCTAGAGGGGTGCTTGGGAGAGAGAAATCATCCCTGAGGCACGTAGTGAAGAATGAGTTGTGTGCAGGACATCACCAGAGTCATGGCAGGCCGTGGAGAAGATATAGTTGGTACCATCTTTTGGTGTAAGCAGCAGGGAGCCATGGATCTTCCTAGGAGGAGCCACAAGGTAGAAGTGGCCATGCCATAGATGCCTGCATAGCATAGTGGGCTGGGGTAGACGGTGGGGGGCATGTGTGTAAAGAGAGAATGTGAGGGAGACAGGTTGGTATCCTAATCCTAATCCCACAGCAGAATAGAAAGGCAAAGAGGATGGTGGTGGCAGGTAGGGTGAGGAGGTAGTGAATATGTGGACATTTCCTGCATGACCAGAACTGCTAAGGAGGAAGTGAGTCTTGAAGTCTGCTGGACAAACAATGGTTTGTAGTAGGAGAACCCTAAGGTGGAGGGAGCGGGGAGGGGAAGGACTGGCCACATCCCAAAACCTTATTATGTCCAATTTTACTGCAGCTGTTTTATGACTGCAACATTTTTGTTCAGGAAATCGTTTATTTACCCCCACACCTTTTCTTTTAGACTAAATGACAAGAACCAGTGCTCACATCCAGGGTCAAAGCTAATCTTTGAGGAGGTGGAAAACGCCTCCTTGTTTCATTGTCTCTCTTGAAAGTGGTGTCTCCCTTTCACTCTCCTGCAGGAGAGAGATGTCCAGGTACTGCCTAAGCAGCCCCAGTGAAAACGGATGGTTCTTGAGGCTTCCAGAGGTCAATCTGGCATAAGAAGTAAAGAAGAAGCCACATGACTCGGAGAGGCAGAATTTCTTTCCTTGGACAGGATAGAGCTTTTAATTGAATCCAAATCACATCTCTCATCCTGTGAATGCTGGAGAGCAGTACATTTTTAACTAGGAAGAGCATCAATTATGTATTAGCCACGATACTAATTTACCCTGAGTGTGTGTCTTAGAGCTGGCTTTCATCTCTGCATAGCCACTGATGTAATGCCATTGTGTTTCTATACTCAACCAGTCGCTCTTAAGATAGGGTGTCCTGCTATTGAAAAGAGTAGAAAGTAGGGATTGCTATTGCTGAGGCTCTTTCTGTGTTCTTACAGCTGAGGGCCCTTTGGGATACCACCTTAGGGTGGGAGAGCTGTTCACTCACCGTTGTGCTTTGAGATGCAGACTGGGGCTTGTCCTTTTACTCTGATGCTGCTGCTTTATCAGTTATTTGGTATTATTGTGTTCCAGGATAAATCTCTGGAACCCTCAGTTATAGATATTTGAGACTTTCTGTGTGTGTGTGTGTGTGTGTGTGTGTGTGTGTGTGTTTGAGACAGGGTCTTGCTCTGTCGCCCAGGCTGGAGTGCGGTGGCACGATCTCAGCTCACTGCAGCTTCCCTCCATCCTGGGCTCAAGTCATCCTCCCACTTCATCATCCCAAGTAGCTGGGACTACAGGCATGTGCCACCATGCCCGGCTATTTTTTTTTTCTTTTTTTTTTGTAGAGACGGGATTTTGCCATGTTGCCCAGGCTGATCCTGACCTCCTGGGCTCAAGTCATCCACTCACCTCAGCCTCCCAAAGTGGTGGGATTGCAGGCGCGAGCCACTGTGCCCAGCCTGAGATTTTGAACATTTGCCTCCAGAAAATGTAGGCAGTTTCTGTGGCTGCTTATTTCCTCGCCAGTAATATATTTTGCTTGTTCCTAGAGTACTAAATGTAATGATGACCAAAGTGGACTGAGCATTTCCTAGATCTTGACACTCTTCTAAGCACATTATATATATTAACTTATTAAATTCTCACAAAAATCCTATGAGGTAAATACTATTATCATCCCTATGTTACAGATGAGGAAAATGTTAAATAACTTACCTAGTGAGTGTAGCATAGGCTCTGGTGTAAAAAGCTGATTCAAACACCTGCCTTGCCACTGTGAATCACGGCCCTCAGTCCTTTCCTGTGAAAAATTGATTTTTATTTTTTTTGAGACAAGGTCTTACCCTGTCACTCAGGCTGGAGTGCAGTGGTGTGATCATAGGTTGCTGCAGCCTTGACTTCCCAGGCTTAGACAATTCTACCATGTCAGCATCCTGAGTACCTTTTAATTTTTTAGAGAGATGGGATTTCCCTATGTTGCCCAGTGTATTAGTCCATTCTTGCACTGCTACAAAGAACTAACTGAGACTGGGTAACTTATAAAGAAAAGAGGTTTAATTGTCTCATGGTTCTGCAGGCTGTACAAGAAGCATGGTTGGGGAGGCTTCAGGAAATCTTCATTCATGGTGGAAGGTGAAGGGGAAGCAGGCACATCTTACGTGGCCTGGGCAGGAGGAAGAAAGTGGGGGTGGGGGTGCCACACACTTTTAAACAACTAGATCTCGTGAGAGCTCACTCAGTATCATGAGAACAGCAAGGGGGAAATCCGTCCCCATCATCCAGTCACCTCTCACCAGGCCTTACTTCCAATACTGGGGATTACAATTCAACATGAGATTTTGATGGGGACACAAAGCCAAACCATATCACCCAGCTGGGAAAATGGATTGTTAATAGTACCTGCATACAGAATTGTGGTGGGCATGTGATTTTGGCAGGTGATAAGCTCTTCATTAGCATTCACTACCACAGTGAACACCACCATCCTCCTCCTCATCATCATAATTATCTATCCAGAGGATCATGTGAGATGCTTCAAACCCCTGACTAAGGCAATCTCAAAGGATAATTTGCCTCAGGTGTCAGAATTGTTTAGCTGTACTTGCCTTTCCTTGCAAATATAATGGCAGAAAAAGAGGAAAATTTAGACATTTTGAGCCTTTTCGAAGCGGGAAATCAGGTAAGATATTTTCAGATAGATAATTTGTTTTCTCCTTGTGCTCTTATCACTTCCTTCCTCTTTCTCTCCCACCTCTGAGAACCCTGGATGAGGGTAGATGAAGTAGAGGAGAGGGTGGTGACAATGGTGGTAAAAGAAAAAGTAACCACCAAACATGTACAGAACCACTCCAGCATTTAATTAAAGCCTGCAGCCCTTTGTCAGCCAGAAGCTCCTCTCATGGTGAGAGAGGCAGAGAGCCTTGTCACTGTCTCTAGAATTATTTGTATAATTCAGCAGCTGTTTCCCTCAGATGCCTACCACACGAGGTTGGATTATAAAGACGTATGAGTAGAATCGCCAAGGTTCAGACACTTGTGTTCACTGTTGAGCTGAGAGCCACTTAGGCTGTTCTTGTACAAATGCATTAGATTATGGTTAAGCAGCTTATGGACATAAAAACACATTAGAACTTTACAGCACTCTATAAATTATAGTTTTTGCAGCATTCACAGCCACAATGCTAGGTAATTACATTCATTAATCTACTAGTAAGAGCACATAAAGTTGCCTCCCAAACCTTACTGTATGTGTCAGTACTCAGCTGGGAAGGAGAGTTTTTTTCCTCTCCTTTTTCCCCGTCTTTCCCTGTTCCATTAAGCCTTGTGTGGGAAGATTTTTGATGTTACATTGAGGTGTTCCCTAAAAGAATCCAATAAACCCATTTTTTTTTTTTAATGGTTAGGCTCTGGCAGGAGGCCTTGTAGGTAATATTTTCATGTTGAGCTGCACCTAGTAACTATTTTTGTATGCATTTATTTTCTTTTTGGAAATGGACAGATGTCTCATTTGGAAAGCCAGCAAGTTAAAGCAGTTGAAAAGAGATTAATGATAGAATCAGTGGTAAATGCTTTTTCAGGACTTCTTTTTGCCTCTCTCTGGTAGCAGTTAACATGATGGTCCTTTTAATTTTGGATCTATCAGGAGTACAAAGTATTGCTCTCTTCCCATGCCAAACTTTCCTAAAGTTTCCATCTTTCCATATGGTGATAGGAAATGCCTCCCCCCACAGCCCTGTCTCAGAACTTTCTCTTATTTGCATGTCTCATAAATTACAGAAGGCAGATTTAGGAAGAAATGCTGGAACTTTATATGGTGCTAGTATTTCAAGGAGCAAATTGTACTTTCTTCGCATTATTTCTCAGGTTAAATAGACCAAGTGGACCAGGCGTGGTGGCTCACACCTGTAATCCCAACACTTTGGGAGGCCGAGGTGGGTGGATCACATGAGGTCAGGAATTTGAGACCAGCCTGCCAACATGGTGAAACCTCATCTCTACTAAAAATACAAAATTAGCTGGGAGTGGTGGTGCACGCCTGTAACCCCAGCTACTCAGGAGGCTGAGGCAGGAGAATCGCTTGAAACTGGGAGACGGAAGTTGTAGTGAGCTGAAATCAGGCCACTGCACTCCAGCCTGGGCAACAAGAGCGAAACTCTGTCTCAAAAAAAAAAAAAAAAAAAAAAAAAAAGACCAAGTGATAGGCTGGGCGTGCTGGCTCATGCCTGTAATCCCAGCACTTTGGGAGGCTGAGGTGAAAGAATTGATTGCTTGCTCAGGAGTTTGAGACCAGCCTGGGCAACATAATGAGACCCCATCTCAATGTAATAAATAAGTAAATAATTTTTTTAAAAAGTGAAAAGAAAAAATAGGCCAAGTAATACAGCCATCTTAAAAATAAAAACAAAAATGGAATAGAGAAGTATGTTAACCTGCAACCCCAAGGCAACACTATAAGTCCTGGGTCATGCTCAGACCACATTCTAGGCTTCTGCTTTCAGTTCTGTTCACATGAATGAGAACATGAATGCTAGAGCCACGCAGGTCTGTGTTGAGTCCTGGTATTGTCTTTTCATAGCTATGTGACCTTGGGAATATTAATTAATAGTAATAAAAATAATTAATTTGGACTGAACTCCTAATACATCCTAGGCATTACATTAACTAATTTAATCCTAATAGCTGCTTCATAAGTTAGGTGATATTATTCGCTCCATTTTATATATGAGAAAACTGAAGCTTCACAGGGTATTGTAGTAATTAAATGAGGTATTATAAATAAAATATCCAGTATGTTGCTTGGCACATTCAATGACACTCATTAAACACAATCTTGAGGATATATGGAGAATAGATCCCACCATTGTTCCTCCAATGCCAAATGTAACCTTTTAGAATGACAGTTTCCCTTTTTAATGACTTACCAGTCATTAATTGTATCAGTCAGGAAGAGGAATTCCTCACATTTATTTGTAATTTATTTACTGCCTGTACCAGGAAGTATCCCAAGCACTTTCCACAAATTTCATTAAACTTTCTATTCCTGTATTCCAGGAGAAGAAATGGAGGCTCATAAGGGCCAAGGCATTTGTTCATGTTCGTAAAGCCAGAAGGTGGGAAAGCCAGTTCTCGGACTCAGATGTAACCGCCACCAATAAAGAGTAGGGATAGCAGTGAAGTGGTCTATTTTCCTGGAATGAAGCTTCTATGGTGGGAAGTAATCTAAGCAACTGATTAAGGAGCCAGCTTTGTGCACTTCAAAGCAGCCTCAGCTTCGGGGTGGAGCATAGAGTTCCTTTTTTTTTTTTTTTTCTTTAGCAGGCAGGAAGATATTCTTATTCCCAAAGAACTGAGAAATATTTGAGACTATCCATAGTACTCATTGGTGCTGTAAGGTTAGATAACTGCTGAGAAGAAAACTGATTGCTCTGTGTAAATCAGTATGCTGATGAGGGAATGATAAAACTGCAGGGTAGTACCAGCGTCAGCATCTTGTTTCCAACCCAGCTCTTCTCTCTCTTGACAAAACAGCTGTCATTTTGGATTAATGTTGAAATCACCAGAATCTGCTGGTCATCAGAGCAGGGCCGATGCCATCTTTGGGATGAAGTGTGCTGGCAACAAGATAGAAACTGGACATGGGAAAAAGGAAAGTCTCCCTCAAACATGCTGCCATCCAAGGCCCAGTTTAAACCACAGGCTCAATTTTTGCTCCCAAACTGATTTCCCGACTAACCCATCTGCTCATGCACACACCCTCCCAACCTCACACAGCAGGCCTGGCCTTTATCATTTCAGGTCCTGCAGAGCTGTTCTCTCTCACTGTGGTACTGATGCCAGTTTTAACAGCCGCCATGTGTATTGACTCCTCTACCGATTACAAATATATACGCGTTTGCCAGTTTGTTTAGTGAGTGGTTTTCATAGGCTGTGATGGGGATTTCACTTTCATGAATATAATTTGCTGAGCCTGTGGTGACATCAATAAATCCTTCTGGGATGGGGAATGGTTGATTTCCCTACATCCAGATGACATCCTCCAGCCCACTTCCTTATGGGACCAACAGCCAATGTCATAACACATGCTTCTTTGTGAGAGCATGGAAGGAAATTGTTTAAAGTGTGTCATCTGTGGGCACAGTTTCTAAGGTAGATACCTGTGAGGATGTATAGGCATGCTTTAGACATGGACAGAATGAGTTATGTACTTAGTAACTCAAAACTCTGCTGAGCTCATTGTGGACAGCTCTTACAGATAAACTAAAATGCAGCTTCTTAAAAAATGAGAGGACATTTGCAGAAAGCATTCTTACTGCTTTCAGCAAATCTATGTGCCTTATGTTTTTATATAGCAGTCATTTTCTCAAATCAGACATCCCTATTGCCTATTAGATAAACACAGAAAGCATAGATTATGAGTTTAAAAGTATCGACAGCATTTCAAGTGCTATCAGAGAACATTTAATTCAGTTTAATTTTGTGATAAATCTCACGTTTAATCCTCTGGTTACCCTGTAATCATGTCTCTATTGATCTTTTCTGAATGACTGCCTGCAGTTTAATAAACTTTGCCATTAACCCAGAGCTTCTAAAAGGAGAGATTGATTCCATTATCAAATCTGATAGAACCAATAAGTACCTAAACATCACTAAATCTATCTATAGGAAGCTTTGGCCTAGAGACAAGCCTGTGGCTTGTTTAAGAAACTAGGTAAAAATCTGGATATCTTTGCATGACCTAATTGCCTCACAGCATCTGATTCCCTTGTGCAAACTGACACTGCCTTTCATCTTTCAAGTCAATGTAGTAGCCAACTGAAAGGACAGTCTCTTTTCTTGCCTCAACCGTAATTGTAGGGTCTAATTTATTCTCACTGCAGATATAGCTTGAGGAGTTTATTTGGTCTATGTCTCAGGTCAGTGGGTATATCTTAAGCACTTTTCTGTGTCTCTGAAAACCTGCAGGATAGTTTGTTTTATTTTTACCTATATGATGCCAAGGGAAAGAAAATTCTGTCTGGATAAATCCTGAAATAGAAGACTGGGGGTGAAGATTGAGAGAGAGGGAAGGCAAGTACAGAGTCATAGCTGTGTGAACAAGCTCTAAGACTTGGAAAACTTTCCATGAAACCCATATATGTTTCTCATGTAGTGATAGGTTATTTGCAATATGTGTTGAACAGGAATTTCTACTTTTTGTGCCGCGAGTATTTATAGCTTTCATCATTATTCATTAATATTTATTGAGTCACATAGGCAGAACATATGGAATTCAGGGTCTAGAGTATATTTACAGCTTCTTATTTTTTTAAGGTCAGAAAGGTGTCATTCCCTGCCACTTTTCACCTCTTAAATAAATCGGTGAAGGTTGTCAATTTTACAGAAAAGCCAAAGCTTTTATTTTCTGTCTAGATTTTTATTGACAATGTGAATTTTTCAGAAGGAGTTCGGCTATTTGACTTAGGAGGCATAGCCTTTCCCTAATTACACTTCGGTGGGGAAGTGGAGGTGCACAGAAGGATTTTTATAATGAGACAATACTAAACTGTAATTTAAAATTTCCTTCCAACAAAAGACCCTAATCTTGGCACTTAGAAATAAATCTGTAATGACGTGGTGTTAGGCAGTGGAAGCAGGATTAGAGCCAAGGGACTCTGGGTGTGTTGCCAGTTGCTGATTTTCTCACTTTGGAAAGTCACTTGTTTACCCAGCCTTAGTTTCCTCATGTATAAAATAAAACTGATGGTGCCTGCTTAGAGAGCTATTAGAGAATTCAATGAGGTGATTATTTTAAAAGATACTGTAAACTTTTTCCAATGCTGAGTTGTTGTGCAGACATTAATGGTTATGAAAAAGATAAATTAGTCCTCGCTTTATATTCAGAAATGGTCTGACCTTTCAGTAAATTATGTTTAGTTCTTAAATCAAAACCCAGTTAGGACAAGAGAGCTTGAAGAGTACGTATACATAAGAGAAGTCTCACAGAGATATTTGAAAGGCTGGAAAATGTGCTCTGGAGGCAAACCCTCCACTGAATTGATGAATTCTAAGTTACATCTGTTGATATTTTTTGTGTGCTAAATAGCCTCCCAGTATGGTAACATTAGAGAGGCTGAAGGAACCTAAGAGGAGGACCCTACATTTATAGGTATTGAGGTAGATTGGTCTCTGCCCTTGAGAAGCCAATCAAAATTAGGTTGAGAAAGGATGTAGCAATTGTTCGTGGAATACTAATAGGCATATATGCACTTGTTCATGTTGATTCTCTATGTCACTGCTCTGTAAGAGAAGGAATGCCTGCACATCTTCAATAGGAAGTTGACAACAGTTTCTGGAAAGTTGGAAGAAAGTTACAGAATTATTCCTTTAGTAGTAATTATTCCATAGTTCTCTAGAAACATGACAAAACCTCTTGAAAAACTTGAGTCATAAAAGGACTGCCTCACATATATACACACACTTCCTGATATGCTGTGTAAAACTGCGTTTATATTCAGAGCCACATAACACAAATTTTGCCAGAAGTTGCTTTTTATACCACTGAATAGCTCTAAACTTTAAATTGTCTTTCATAAAATTGTTTCTTGTCTGCTGAGTGGACAGAATGTCTCTCTCTTCCCCACCCTTCATATCATTTTGTTTTCCTAAATGGGCCACTCTGTGAAGTAGTTCTTTACTTCTAGCCACCACCCCTGCCTCTAGAACAATGCAACCAACCTTAACCAAAGTCACATATCAAGAGTTCTCTGCTGCCTGTTAATGCAGATTTGACTTCTTTGTGTGTGTGTGTGTGTGTGTGTGTGTGTGTGTGTGTGTGTGTGTGTCAGGGTCTCATTCTGTCACCGAGGCTAGAATGCATTGGTGTGATCATGGCTCACTGCAGGCTCAGTCAGTCCTCCTGCCTCAGCCTCCTGAGTAGCTGGGACTACAGGCATACGCCACCACACCCAGCTAATTTAAAAAATATTTTTCTGGAGACTGGGTCTCACTCTGTTGCCCAGGCTGGTCTTGAACTCCTGGGCTTAAGCCAGTCCACCTGCCTTGGCCTCCCAAAGTGTTGGCATTAAAGGCATGAGCCACCGTGCATAGCCAGATTTGACATCTTAAAAGCCAGAGCTAGACATACTTATTGATTGTCTTCCTGGGGCCAGGTGCAGTGGCTCACGCCTGTAATCCCAGCACTTTGGGAAGCCGAGGCGGGTGGGTCACTTGAGGTCAGGAGTTGGAGACCAGCCTGGCCAACATGGTGAAACCCCGTCTCTACTAAAAAATACAAAAAATTAGCCGGGCATGGTGATGTATGCCTGTAATCCCAGCTACATGGGAGGCTGAGACAGGAGAATCATGTGAACCCGGGAGGTGGAGGTTGCAGTGAGCTGAGATTGTGCCATTGCACTCCAGCCTGGGTAATAGAGCAAGACTTCATCAAAAAAAAAAAAAAAAAAAAAGTAATGGAAACTCAGAGAAGGTTGCTGAAGGGAAGCTAGAAGGCCTCCTCCAGGACAGAGAAGTAATCATTTTACACTTATCACTTACGGTAACTACAATAGAATCAGTGAGCTAGTTGCTGAATACTTCTAGAGACATTGTTCACTTAAAGTGAAGGTGTGATAGTATGTGAATACCTGGGGAAGAGAAGAAAGCGAAACATTTTTAGGAAAGAAAAGGAAAGTATGTGACTTATTACTAATCAGGATCAATTTGAAGATCTGAATAGATTTTCACTGGCTAATCAGAGTTATTCTGTGGAATATCTGCAACCTCTGCAACCACTTTTGATTTTTCTGTGAATAGTGAGGTACTGAGATCCAGTAAATTATAATTTGGCCTTGATATCAAGCCATGAAAAAGATGTTTAGAACTAACATTCATTGGCCTCTTTCATTTTTTTTTCTCTTGGGGTTAATAAGGCGATTTATGTTATTTCTAGGCATCTGTTCATCCCCTCTTTAGCATATAGGGGAATAGAAATGGTTTATCCGGGATATGGATGTGGTAATGTGTCTTAGTCTGTTTTTGTGTTGCTACAAAGGAATACCTGAGGCTAGGTGCAGTGGCTCATGCCTCTAATCCCAACACTTGGGGAGGCCAAGGCGGGAGGATCGCTTGAGGCCAGAGTTAGAGACCAACCTGAGAAACATAGCAAGACCTTGTCTCTACAAAAAAGTAAAAATAAAAACAAGAAAAAGGAATACTAGATGCTAGTAATTTATAAGGAAAGGAGGTTTATTTCACTCATGGTTCTGCAGACTGTACAAGAAGAATGGTGCTGGCATCTGCTTGGCTTATGGTGGAGTTCTCATGTGGCTTCCACTCATGATGGACGGCAAAGGGGAGTCAGTGTGTGCAGAGGTCGCATGATGAGAGAGGAAACAAGAGGATGGGGGGAGGTACCAGTCTCTTTTTAACAACCAGCTCGTGTGGGAACTAACAGAGTAAGAACCTCTCTTAGTTCTATTAGAGTTCGACATGAGGGAGGGCATTAATCTATTTATGAAGGATCCAATCCCATGACCCAAATAGCTCCTCTTAGGCCCCACCTCCAACATTGGGGATATATATATATATATATATATATATATATATGTATGGTTTTTTAAATTATTATTTTTTTGGAGACAGTCTCACTCTGTCACCCAGGCTGGAGTGCAGTGGTGCGATCTCGGCTCACTGCAACTTCTACCTCCTGGGTTCAAGCGATTCTCCTGCCTCAGCCTCCCGAGTAGCTGGGACTACACCTCCACGCCTGGCTAATTTTTTGTATTTTAGTAGAGACGGGGTTTTACCATATTGCCCAGGCTGGTCTCGAACTCCTGAGCTCAGGCAATCCACCTGCCTTGGCCTCCCAAAGTGCTAGGATTACAGGCATGAGCCACCAGGCCCACCCATTGGGGATATTTCAACATGAGTTTTGGAGGGGACAAATAAACTATAACAGAAATAATTAGATAATGTGTTTGAAAGTCTTGGATGGAAGTCCGAGAGGGGAAGAGTGATGGAGTAGTACAATTCATAGCATGGCCCAACAGCTTCAGAATGAGAGGACATTCAGGGCATCCTAATTTCACAAGTTCATTCTCCTTTAAGTTTTTGTTTTTAGAAATGGGCTCTTGCTTTGTTGCCTAGGGTTCTCAAACTCCTGGGCTCAAGCAGTTGTCTAGCCTCAGTCTCCCAAGTAGCTGGGACTGCAGCCATGCACTACCAGGTCCAGTTCTAATTCATTCTTTTATAAACAGGTTACTGTGTGTCCTCTACTCTGTTCTCTGCTAGGAATTCTGGCATGATGAAGTCATAGCCATTGTCCTTATGGAGGTAATTCTGAGTATTACCAGGAAGATCCAGTTACCAATATTTTGATACACTGTAATAAGTACATTAATTCTTTTCCTATCTTTTGCATACAGTGCTTAATCAAAAAATGAATAATGGTTGTTTCAACTTACTTTACCATCAGCAGTGTGCAGTGGTTCCCATTTTTCCACACCCTCACTGACAAGTACCTCTTGTCTTTTTGATAATACCCGTCCTAACAGGTGCAAGATGACATCTCATTGTGGTTTTGATTTGCATATTCCAGATGACTAATGAGCACATTTTCATGTACTTGTTGGCTATTTGTATGTCTTCTTCGGAAAAATGTCTAGTCAGATTTTTTTTAAAAAGAACATATTACATGTAAAAAGAATAATGGTTAATTAAAGCAAGTATCATTAGAATTACACATCCTCTCAAATGTGTGCGTGTGTTACTTTAGTGGATTAGATTTAAGTGGGAGAAAAAGCAATCGAAATTTGAGTGTTCTGCTTGTCTTTCTTCAGTTAGCATACCAGGCTTCTGCCCTTGGAGAGGCCTGAGAATTGTGTGGTGCTAGTTTCTCTTCTGGCTGCCATTACACTATCTTCTGTTGTATGGTTCTTTTTGCCTTTTTGGACTCGTCCTTTGTGTACGTTATTGCCCTAAGCCCTCACTGATGAGATTTTCTGCCTCAGTCATGCTGTGCTCAGCTTTCAGAATGTTGTTGTTACGGAGGAGTTAATTTTTTTTTTAAGGTTTCCTTTTCGTCATGCTGTATTTCTCAGATTATCTGGAGGGACTGTAATCCAATTTTAGGAATCCTTCAGGGCTGAGAGCCTAAACTGTTTTAAGCAATAGCATCTGGTTGCCAGGGACTCAACTACTTTGAGCGTGTTAAGGTCTAACGGCAGCCAACTCTCAATTATCTGTGGGAATGGGAGACTCCTGGGATGTTTTCAATTCACAGAGTGTGCAAAAATCTCACTTAAACGGATAGTCGTGACCTCATCCCACAGCTGAGTTTAGGAGAGCTTCTCAGTGTGTGGTTTTGTTTTCTTTTTGTTTTGTTCTCTTCTCACCTTTGACAGTGGCACTGCAGCATTGACAGGTGCCTTTTATATGTTGAATTTATCTGTACCTGATCTATTTTTTTAAACCTTGTCCCTCTCATCTTTATTTAGATTCCATATGTGTATCATTATATACATTAAGTATGTTTTAATAAACTGCCTCAATTCTTTTACATTTTAGGAGCAGTAAAATTTATTTATATTTTCTTTCTTTGCTTATTGGCTAACGTGCTCATGGGAGGGGATGTAGCCAAACAGTAATCAGGCTACCAGATAGAAAGATAAGAAAACTTTACAAAAGGTTAGCCTCTGAATAATAATTGAGAACTGGCTGTTAAAAATGAAAAAAAAAAAAAAATACGAACTCTACCTTGTCACTGAAAATGAGGTGAAGGCCAGGCAGTGCTCCTCAGTCAAGACATTCGTGTTCACAACTGAGTTGTCTCCAGTGGAAATTTCATGGCTACTTTATGGCCTAAAGCCAGTGCTCCCAGACGTGGTCATCCCTTGGTTTTAGGATTCTAAAAGATGAGTTTCTTTTAATGAAAACTGAATGTAATCTAGTTGTTAGGGATAATTATATGCCAGTTGTGCATGACGGCAAGGGCCCCTGGTTTTTAAAAACCAGCTTTATGGAGGTATAATTTACATTCCAGTAAACTGCACAAACTAACAATATACAATTTGATGAGTTTTGACATGTGTATATACCCATGAAACCACTGCCACAATCAAGACAGCGAACATGTTCACCCCAAAAGTTTCCTTATGTCCCTTTATAATCCCTTCTTCCTATCTCTCCCAGGAAGCCACTAGCCTGCTTGCTGTTGCTATCAATTAGTTCATATTTCCTAGGATTTTATATAAATGGGATCATACATAATATAATCTTTTCCGTCTGATTTCTTTCACTTGGCATACTTATTTTGAGACGTATTCATGCCACCTGTATCAGGAGGTTATTTCTTTTTATTGCTGAGTAGTATTCCATTGATTGGTTACAACCACAGTTTGTTTATCCATTCATCTATTGATGTACATTTGGGTTGTTTGCAGTTTTAGAAGCATTGCACATCTGCTAGGAGCATTCATGTGTAGCTCTTCATGTAGACATGTACTTTAATTTCTCTTAGGGAAATACCTAGGAGTAGAACGGTTGGATCATATGGTCGGTGTACTTAGAACTTTTAAAGAAACTACTAAACTTTCTTCCAAAGTGGTTGTGCTGTTTCATATTCTCACCAGTAGTGTATGTATGAGCATCCTCTGCATCCTTGCCCACTCTCGGTAGGGTCATTCTTTCTTATTTCAGCCATTTTATATGTATGTAGTGGTATCTCATTGTGGTTTTAAGTTGTATTTCCCTAATGACTACTGATGTTAACTATTGTTTTATGTATTCATTCACTTTCCAGACAGATATCTTTTTTTTTTTTTTTTTTTTTTTTTTTTTTTTTTTTTGAGATGGAGTATCTCTCTGTCATCCAGGCTGGAGTGCAGTGACACAATCTCGGCTCACTGCAACCTTTGCCCTCTGGGTTCAAGCGATTCTCCTGCCTCAGCCTCCGAGTAGCTGGGATTACAGGTGCATGCCACCATGCCCAGCTAATTTTTTTGTATTTTTAGTAGAGACAGGGTTTCACCCGTTAGTCAGGATGGTCTCGATCTCCTGCCTTGTGATCCATCTGCCCTGGCCTCCCAAAGTGCTGGGATTACAGGCATGAGCTGCCACACCTGGCCCCAGATATCTTCTTTAGCAAAGTATCTGAATCTTTTGCTTATTTAAAAAATTGGGTTGTTTCCTTTTTTAGTTTTGAGAATTTTTTTTTTTTTTTTTTTTAAGATGGAATCTTGCTCTGTCGCCCAGGCTGGAGTGCAGTGGTGCAATCTCGGCTCACTGCAACCTCCACCTCCTGGGTTAAAGCGATTCTCCTGCTCAGCCTCCTGAGTAGCTGGGACTATAGGCGCGTACCACCACACCTAGCTAATTTTTGTATTGACCAGGCTGGTCTCGAACTCCCGACCTCAGGCAATTTGCCTGCCTTGGCCTCCTAAAGTGCTGGGATTACAGGTGTGAGCCATCACACCTGGCCCAAGAATTTATTAAATTAATATATTCTGTATACAAAACTTATCAGATACACATTTTAAAAAATATTTTTCCATTCTGTGGCTTATCTATTTATGTATCTTTTACTCTCCTGGTAACTCACAGAACAGTCACTTTATTTTCTTGACAGTATCTTTTGAAGAGCAAAATTTTAATTCTTGAAGTGTAATTTATCAATTTATTCTTTTATGGATTATGCCTTTGGTGTCATAGTAAGAAATCTTAGCTTAACCCAAGATTACAAGAGTTTTCTCTTAGAAATTTTATGGTTTTAGGTTTTACATTCAGGTTTATAATATAGTTTGTGTTAGTTTTTTCTATTTAGATTGAAGTGTGGATTAAAATTTTGCATATGATTACCTATTCTATCACCATTTGTTTAAAAAACTTATTTCTCTGTAGAATAGCTTTTGCCTGAAAATCAGTTGTTGATATATGTGTGGGTCTCTTTCTGGACTATTCTGTTCCTTTGATCTGTTTTTCTATCTTTATGCCAATATAGTGATGCAATTTTAATGTGGTGTGAAAGATGGCACTACAGAGCACCTGACTTGCTCCTCCTCTAACCTACTTTACTATAATAGTTCACTGATTAGCCTGTTTCCCTGGATAAGCAGCCTGAGTTTAGGAATTCTTTCTTAGATATTTCCAACAGATGGCAATGTGTATGCACATAGTAGGTGTTTTGATATTTGTTTTTAAAAGATGTGAATCTTAGGGATTAATGTTTGAATGCCATCCTGGATGCCTTGTACATTCCTACAGATAGTAGTCTTCTCTACTTTCTAAAAAGTTTAGGCTCTGAAAATCTGTTCATAAAGTCCATTTGCTCAAAAGTCCAAAGTTGGGGACTGTTGTGAACATATCTATCTAGTTACTAGTTTTCTAATTTTTCATTTCTTATCACTGGAGACTCATTATTGGTAGAATCAGTGTTTGTAAAACCATTCAAAAACAAGTACAAATGGTATACAATAAACCAGCAAGGGACTTGACAGACCAAAATGACAGGACACAGCCATTATGTCATTGTGTCATTGGGGACAGGCAAAGCACTTTTTTCTTTTTCTCCTGGCTTGTTATTTTCTTTAAGGTCTCTAAGATCAGATAACTAACAGAAGAGGCTCAGTTTAAATTGCAAGCCCCTCACATACATATACATGCATTTGGGTGCATGCAGACACATATACCACAAATACTTTGTAAGTGATGGACTGCCCTCAGGTTAGTTTGCTTGGAAAAATCAGGCGGAGACTTTCTATAACCCACTTCATGCAAGGCAGACAAATTGTGCCCTCATTTTCTATTGTCTCTGGCTTCATCTGTAATCAGCAAATGGAGCCCTGCAGCTTACATAGTGTTTCATCTGCTATTTGTTACTCTCCCTTAGTTTGCACAACACTGAACCATCTCATTTTGAAATTCAAGAGTGGCGAGGAGGCCTTTGGTGGAAGATTGTAATTTGGGAGAAGGGAAAGTCAAGAGCAAGATCGCCTATTTTGAAGAAGGCGGGGTGTTGAAGGAAATTGCCTTTGTCAGTCTCTGAGCCTCTCCATATATGTGCTACTGTGACCCTGCCCTCCATCACCAGTGACCTAAAAATCACATAATTTCAACTATTCTCCAAACCTATTCACATCTGTTGTGCATGGCTTGTACACTTACCCCCTCTATTGACAGCCAATATGTCTAAATCTTTTTGCCTCTCAGCCAGCCTCTTGTTGGTGGCTCCCTGGCTTTCTTGCCTTCTTTCCTGCTTCTTCTATGACTGTCAAATGAATGCCTTAAAGCGTTTTTTTTTTTTTTTTTTTTTTTTTTAACAGATTTCTTTCTTATCCTTCTGCCCTCCTGCCTTTCTCTCCTAGTGCTTGTGTAAGGGAGGCAGTTTTTTTTATCTTTACCCTGTTAGGGTCTCTAGCTGAGGCTGAGTATTAAATTGATGTAAAATAGATTAACAGAAGAAAAGCATATGGATTTTGACACATATATAGGAGCCCCCACAGGAAAGTGAAGACCCAAAAAGTGGCAAATCTTGAATCCTTATTTAGTAGGTTGAACAGAGTGGCCGTTGTGGAAAAGTAACTAAAATAAATGATGTGGCTAAAGGAAGATAAGAGTTAGTAAGATCTGTTGGTACAAATTTTTCTGGACTCCCCATGTCTAGAAACGAGAAAATTTCTTCTTTCCTACTATAGGGAGATCATCTTTCACATGAGAGTTTTTTCCCATCTCAGGTGTTTCTGGTGATAATGTTTCTTTTCTCCTATCTCTTTTGTTTCTATTTTTCAAGTGCCTTTAGCTTTAAAATAATCCTTAGGCCTAAATAGCATGTTTTGGGGTGGCGTGTTCTGCCACTCTTCATTTGCTCATGCTTTCCTTGCAGAATATGGACTACAATCATCTTATTTTCAAAAAATTCTTCAGGTAATTCTGATGGACAGTTTCTCTTGTGAACCACTATCCTAGATCATGGTAGACGAATGAATCAACAGGCCTTTGAAAATTGCCATTCATTGATCCCAAAAAGTTTTTTTATATACCAGATAATTTCCCTCCCCATATTATAGCAATACTAGAGACTGCCCAGGTTTCCTTAAGGAAGTTCTTAAATTAGTGCTACTGGTTGGTTGGTGGTGGAGGAAAGCATTGGTGGGTGTATATTTACAAACAATTACACAGGCATGTAGTCATGTACACAACTCTTGTGACTGTTGATAAGATGATTAGTTTATGATCAGTCTTTGTCTTTGATTCTTAATGCTTATAATGGATAGTTTTTGTCATTTTTCTCCAAGACAGTCTGAAAAAATTAAATAGTTATTTTACTTTATAAATGGTAAGCAGTCAGTACCTGTTTATAGAGGGAATGAACAAAGAGTGGTCTGGTTTATTCAGGATTTGTACCAAAAAATCTATATAGTAATTTATAAATAAAGGTAGATCTTTGAAAAAAATAAAGATAATCTCTAGTCTCTGAAAATATAAACCTGTTACATAATAAAAAGTTGTTATAGACTCTTCATTTCTTCTTACCTCTTAAGCCACCACCTCTAGACACACTTTGATCCTCTCTCTCTCTTCTTCCCCCCCCCCGAGTGGAAAATCTCAATATTAATTGGAGCTAAGATGATTGTACTACTGCTGCTAAGACTTCAGCAGGTCTCTTACAAGCTAATGTCACGGCATGGGGTCCATTTGCTCTGTGTAGCTATTCTGCAGTGCAGTGAGAATTCCTTGATTAATATGCTACATGAAAATAAAATGGATTTGGAAAAAATTATAGCATACTCTCATAAATATTAATTCACATTTGTATGGAATTACACATAATTTTCAATATACTTTGGAAGCACCTTCAGTATGAAAGATTTGGTCTCCAAAGAGAATGGCATAATTTTTTTAAAAGCACAGTGGATACATTATTAAGCATCATTTGTTTATTAATCTGATCCTCTACATGCATATGATGCAGGGCAGTAGGTGGGTTGTGTGACAAAGAAAGGAGCTTTATACCCTGTGGGGAGTTTTTATATTACACTTAGAAGTGGTACAATTTAATCACATTATATAGAAGCAGCCCATGATGGAACTCACCTGGCTCCCTCTGCTAGTGTTGCCATTATTCCTGAGTGTCTCTTTATGGCAGCTATTTTGGTTAAATGTGAGACTAAACACAGAACATTTTTGAGCTGAGCAGATGCCTGGCATAGCTGACTGAGGTTGTGGACACTGGACAAAGGAATTCAATTCAGCAGCCATTCATTGAACATTTACTATGTGTTAGGCATAGCATGCAAGGCTGTGAAATCAATGGCCATGTGCGCTTGCTTTGATCTCGACTTGTCCCCTGAAACACTTTTCACCACATCCTCATTGCCTCAGGAGAGCTACCTCTCCGATGGCAGAGGGTTAATCGTCTGCAGTGGTAGCAGCTGGAAGTTAGGCCAGAAGCTGCTTATTTGCCTTGTGGACTGTTATCTTTGATATCTTCTTACTCTTAAGGATAAGGCCTTTCCCCTTTTCTGGGGTTTCTTGCTGTTTGCTGTGATCCTTCGTGTATACCAGCAGTGCACACTAGATTCCTTGGTTTCCTGCTTCTATCACCCTTTCTGGCTTGCTACACTGTATGTTAGAGACAGCTTAGACTATTTTAAAGTCAGTATTGTGCTTTATAGGTTTGGATGTTTTAACTAGTTGACTCCTTTATTTATGTATTTATTGACTAATACATTGGCCACCTACTATTTGCCTGGTTTATGTGAAGTACTTATGTGAAGCACTGGGATTACTGAGATGAACTACTTAGTCCCTCCCCTCTTTCACATTCTTTCAAGAGATTATGCACCCAGCTGCCTCAAGGCCTTTGCACAAGCTGTTCTCTCTGTTCAGCCTTTCAGATCTAGGTCAAATAGCAGTCATTTTCTCAGCTCTAACCCTCTCCTCTGGACTATATCATTTCCCTTAGTTTTAGCACCCATAACCTATCCTTTAGCGTTGTTAACTCAGTTTGCAATGATATATTTGTGTGATTTGATTAGTATTTGTCCTGTAAATTCTAGGCTCTATGAGGGTGGTGACTTTTCCCCACACCATTATCATCCTAAACATAGGTCAGTGCTACATTGGTACTTGGCATGTACTGGGCACACAAAACATAATTGTTGAATGAGTGAAGACCTGAGAATAGAGTACTTTGTATTACAAGAAAGGTCTCCCTGAGTGGGCAACACTGCTAAGAGTCACTGAACTAGAAAAGGGAGGAGTGTGTAAGAGAGGCCTTTTGAGGCCAAGGCAAATCAGTGTAAAGGCCTGCGTTAGTTTGTCCAGGCTGCATTAGCAAAATGTCATAAACTGAGTAGCTTATAAACAAGAAACATTTATTTCTCACAGTTCTGGAGGCTGGGAAGTCCAAGGTGGAGGCACCAGCAGATTCTGTGTCTGGTGAGAGCTTGTTTCTCATGGATGGTACCTGTTCTCACATGGTAGAGGGGCAAATAGACTCCCTTAGGCCCTTTATAAGGGCACTAATCCCCTTCATGAGGGTTCCACCCTCATGATCCAGTCAACTCCCAAAGTCCCCCATCTCCTGGCCAACATGGTGAAACCCCGTCTCTACTAAAAATACAAAAAAAAAAAAAAACAAAAAAAATGGCTGGGTATGGTGGCAGGCATCTGTAACCCCAGCTACTCGGGAGGCTGAGGCAGGGAATCGCTTGAACTGGGGAGGCGGAGGTTACAGTGAGCCAAGGTCGTGCTGTTGCACTCCAACCTGGGCAACAAGAGCGAACTCTGTCTCAGAAAAAAAATATATTCTGGGGAGACACAAACATTCAGATCATAACAAGGCTCAAGGTCTCAGACTAATAGGAATGGCTGATTTGGGGAGAGATGTCAGGGAGTACCATGCATGTAAAGTTGGGAGTGCTGGGATATTGCAGCAGAACAGTGAGAAAATTGGATGTGAAAGGGAGGAAAGAGAGCGGTATTTTAAGGAGAAATGAGTAAAAGGAAATTTCTATTTTGGTTTTGTTTTATTTTTAAATGTACATTTAGATAGTAAAAAATTTAATTGTTCATTTAAAAATAACTAAAATAATATAATTGGATTGTTTGAAATACAAAGGATACATGTTTGAGGTAATGGATACCCCATTTACCCTGATGTGATTATTACACATTGCATGCTTGTATCAAAACATCTTATGTAAGTCATAAATATATATGCCGACTATGTACCCCAGAAATGAAAAAATTTTTAAAAAGTTCATTTAGGACTGCAGAAACTGAGGAAGTGTGGTAAGGCTTCATGAGGGGGATTTTCTGTGTAAGAGGATTAGATCCACTAGTTTCCAAATAACTGAGTGCCAAAACATTTTCATTTTATTGCTTAGTGTGTGCATCATTTCTCACAGGGCAGAGGATATTTGCATGTATGTGGTTTGTTTGATGTTCTGAGAGCCCATTTTGCACGTGGTCTCAGAGTTGTAGTGACTTACTCCACTTCTGATAATGAATAATGTCAGTGTCCGGACACTAAAAGCCCAGTCTGTTGGAACCTTGGTGTGTACTGAGCTGCCTGGAGGCACAGAACTCTTATCAGGTCATGTGGCCTGAAATGCTTACCTGTAGTTTCTACAGATGCAGTTCCCCATTCAAGGACATTGATTTCCCATTTCCTACCCACCTCCCCTCATCCCCAACCACACACAGGAATAAATTAAAAGTTGCTGTTGATCTTGGTGATAATATTGTTGTTACATTTTGCAAAGAAAATGGAAATAAAGGATGCTTAGAGGAACATGTAAAAAAATATAATGCATTAAGGAAACATTTTAATCATATGAATAGACAGTTCTTTCTTGCTGGCTCACATCCACCTGGACCTGATAAATTCAGTTGGGTGCTATTTCTTTTGAATTGAGCATGCACTTAGTGCTCATTTTCTGAAACATAATTGATGTACCAACTTGGGAAATGAGTGTATTGCACTTCCTTGGGGAAGGTCATTGTGTGCTGGACCCAGCACCAAATCGAACAGAAAGCTGCTATCCCAGGGAGCAGTGAAATCACTTTTGATGCATATACTTGTGTTTTGTTTAGTTTTCTGCCCAGTAATAATAGAAAGGATATATATATTTGTGATGGCATTAAGGATTCAGGAAAATTGAGAAGCCATGTTTCTTAGTTTTGGGTCTTCTCATATCCCACTTTCCTATCCCTCTCCCACTTAGTAGTAACACCCTTTAGTATTTAGCCTATATTTTGGGTGTGACCCTAGATACCTTTGTAACCACCACTTCCCTTTCCTTCTCTTCTTTTCTACAGAAAGATGTAGCACTTAAGCCTCAGGAACGTGTGGAGAAACGCCAGACGCCCCTGACCAAGAAGAAACGAGAAGCACTTACCAATGGCTTGTCCTTTCATTCAAAGAAGAGCAGACTCAGCCACCCACACCACTACAGCTCAGATCGAGAAAATGACCGCAATCTCTGCCAGCACCTTGGGAAGAGAAAGAAAATGCCGAAGGCACTCAGACAGGTGAGGAAGCTTGGGTTCGCTCTTTCCTGTGGCGGCAAAATCCCTTCCTTAGGTGCTTCCTCCACTGTGGTTTTTCGTAACAGGTGGAGAAGATATCCTTGGTGGGATGCTGAAGTGGTTGTCCAACAAAGCTGTGTGCGTGCCTTTAAAAGAATCTAAAACCCAATCTCAGCTCTTTCTATGAGGATTTGAAACTTCAGCATGGTGCCCTTTCAGTCAGATGTGCTTTATGCAACAAAGCTTGATGCTAAGTGGTACTGGTATTTAGGGCAGACCTGTCTTAACAGTTGTCAAGATGGACTGGCTTGCAGGGGAGAGATCTTTGCAATTAGGATAAATGGAACAGGTGGATTTCATCACATACATTGTGCATCTCATGGTTCTAAGGTGCTAAAATGATTGCCTGTGTGTGAGAAATGCCTTGCTAAGATTTATATTTTCCGGGGAAGCTCAGATATTGTGGCATCTGGGAGGGCAATGGCAAAAAATGAATTTGCCTTTTGGTGTCTTAGTTGTTCTCCATAGGCTATAATTCAAGACTATCTTTGTGATCTGTTGATTGTATGAACGTCTGATAATGAGGCTTACTGGCCTGTTAATAATTAGGTTTCAATGATCCACAAGAAAGTATGGCTCTTGGCATTTGGGAAGCCTTTCTGCCTGTGGAAATCCCCACATGAGATGGATTAATAATGAGATATGAAGCTGTTTATAGCAGTTTTTCTGCACAAATCCAGAGGCTTCAGTGCCTGTCAAGTTAGTTACCTGTGTCCTGGGTGTGTTTTATTTATTTTTGGCAGGACCATTGGGTAGGATTGACTATCACTGAAGAAAGCAGAGGAAGGAATTGTGGTGTACAGAGCAGGTGCTGCTAATTAGAGGTGGAATAGGTAATTTTTGGTTTGCAGATGTTTCTCTGCAGAGGCAGGGAGATCTGGGATCAAACAAAACAATGGTTCCCAAACCACACAGATCTTGAGAATCATATAATGAGAGCTACTAAACCTAAATTTCTGGCCCCTCTTTAGGACCTAATGACATTTGTAGTTTTAGAAAGTTTCCTATTTGAAAACAGTCAGCCTGGTTGGAAGTCACTCTTACAAAGAATCAAGAGTGTATTTGGGTGATGGTTTTTAGTTAAAAGATTGGAAAGATCAAAAGCCTCAATATGATGTAGTGGGCAGTTTGGTGTCAGAATTCTGCCTTATACGTAGTGAAGCATATAATCCTGGTAAAACATCTGGGGTGATGGGTTTCAGATGGACCCAGAAGGCTTCCAAGGTAATGCCTAAATCTGACAACCAGCACAGTGTTTCCAAAGGTACACTTGTGTCCTGAAACGCCAGACTGGAGTTATAATAGTAATTATTAACATTTACCTAATGCATACTATGCTACATTCAGTGAGGGAGTTTTTATAGTATAACCTATAATTTGTACAACAACCCTGCCTAGTAGGTAATATCATGGTTACTTAACAGCTATGGAAACGAGGGCTCAAAGAGATAAAGTGACTTGTCTGAGGCCTTGTCAATGAGGGAAGGAGCCAGGGTTTAGACCCAGATATCTCTAGTTCCGTGGTTTGTTCTGTTTTCCATATTTAGATGAAGTTTTATTTATTTTTTTCTTGATAGGGAGTTGGGGAGAGGGAGGAAAGCCTAAGTTCTATAAAAGGTGATGTTCCTGTGGTATTTGTGACTCCTAACTCATGCCTCTGTGTGAGATATGTGAGAAAAGTAATTAATCTCAGTGGAGAGAGATTGCAATGTAACCACCCCCCTCTCCCTCAGGCCCCCGCCCCAGCAGGGTAAGAAGGAAGCCTTCTTACTCTGAGTTAACACCAAGCTGCGGATCCTCATCCTTGAATCTTTTTCTTCTAGACGTGATCTGACTTTTCTATTCTGTGTCCTCAGAATTATTCTTTGTATTTCTTTCTACTTCTTCGAGACTTTCAAGGTCCTCTGGTGACAGAGTTTTATGATCGGAAAAGAAGACTAAGACGTAACACATCTTAAATTTGAGTAGCTTTTGGTCTTAATGGCCAACTCTCTTGTACTAATGGTATTTGAAATCAAAGCTATCTTTGTTTTAGGTAACATATTTGAAAAGCAAGTATTTTGACTCTTTATGAATCATGGAGAAGGAAAGCATGAATTGTATCTTTGGCCCTATGTAAAACTTTTAAAAACAAGGAGTATTTTCTTACCTTCAGTGTTGATGCCAAAATATGTTATCCAATCAAGTGTTATATTTCTAGTAAGAAGGAATGCAGAAGGTGATAATTGAGATAAGGCCATAATACTTCTCATTTTTAATATTCTTAGAATCACTTGTGCTATTATGAAATCCCAAACAAGTCACCATCTGGTAACAGCCCATCTGGAAAATGAAGGGCTTGGACTTGAATGTTTCTTAGGCTCCTCCCTCTGGGTCCCATAGTTTTTTAAATTTATGAATAACACAAATACAGTGTTGTAAAGGTCTGTAAAGGAGTCTGTAGGTCTGAAGGTAATGCCGTTTTGGAGTCAGTCTGTAACTGATAGGCTCTGTGAAGACATTTATTTATTTTTAATGTTTTTTTTTCTTTAAAATTTTGTTTTCATGTAATATGAAGACATTTAAAGGAGAAGGGTAAGATGCATTTATAGTAGGAGGGAGGGGAGTGGTCCATTGTGTGTCAGTCCAGACAACTGCCATCTGTTATGTGATCATTGGTAAAAGGTGACACATGAGTGTTTAATGACCATAGTAGATGTTCAAAAAGCTTGTCTGAAGAATACTCGTGATTGCTTTCCTATCATCCTAGATGCCTGTAAATATCACAATTACTTTATCGCCTGCGTTTGCCTCTTATCAGGTAAAGAAACTGAATCTGACCATCTTAGCTGGGAGGGGACCTTGAGATGAGAGTGAGCTTTGAGGAGCATTTCTACATTAATGGATTGTCATTTAGTGCCTGTTATTGAGAACTACAGATGAAATAGGGAAGAGGCGAGAACTTAGTCTTTATTTCTGACTTGGTTAGAATGAATTAGGTTTGCATCTTATTAGGAAATGGTACTTCCTGAGCAGACAACTTAATGCACAGCTTTCCTGTAATTATGGGAAGATGTTACTCCTTAGTAGAGAGGAAAGAATAGGATTTTTTTTTCTGAGACTCCGTTGAAGGCAACTGATCTTTTTACTCGGAGGGTGCAATTATAATACTTTTATAGGAAAGATGTATAGTTCTAAAACCAAACTGCTTATTCTTTCACTTGCCTGGTTGTAAAACCCAAGTTCTTGTGATGTTTTTCCATACTACCAAAAGAAAGCTTTTAAACTGACACTTATTTGTTGGATTATGTTTTTAAGTATAAATACATACTGCCTTAGAAGATGCTGAGGTGGCACCTGTCTTGGCAAATGGTTGCACTTTTTGATATGAGAAATTTGAATACTTTTCTTACTTCCCAAAGGGGTTAAAATTATGAAGAAATCAATAAATTACCTCTTATACAACTCTTATACAAAATAGCGCATGTCTTTCTGACCTCTGTAAATGAACTATTTGTTCATGATGTAAGCACTTAGACATGATATAAAAAAAGTTTTATCATTTACTTACAAGGACATGGTACTTTTTTTTTCTCAATGGAGATTTGGGGGTGGGAAAAGCAAAAGAGGTTGCACATGGCCTCTCCTTAAGGAGCTTTATTCTCTAATTGGGAGACCAAGTCACAATGAAACCACTCAGGAACACAAGGAAGTCAGGTGTCGCTAAACCGATAAGCCAAATTATAACTTCCTGAGAAGCACTTTGGGAAAACTTAACCCTTCCCAGGGCATTGAGTTTAATTTCAGTATATCTGACTTCTAGACCATGGAGAATTCTTAAAAAATTTAGGACTTTGTAGTTTAAAACACACAGAGAGCAAAAGGGTTTTAAAAATAGAGTACCAATGATGAAAAGTTGATGAGCATTCAGAGAACTCTCAGATTTGGCTCTGACTGGATTTCTAAATCTCCATTTAGTCCATTAGTCTGTCCTTTCTCTGTAGTATCAACTGAGCCAGAGGAAATAGGCTTAAGTGAGCTAGAAGGCATTTTTAGGTTATATGAACTCTTCTAACAGACACCAAGATGAATCATCAAAATAAATCCTGTGGTCTCCCTCCTTAACTGAATTTTAGGTGCCAAAAAGCCATTCATCTTAGGGCAGAATTTCCTAAAGAAAGAGGCAACCTGTTGAGATTGCTTTAGTCACAGGAGAACATCATTTTAGAGGAAAATGGAGGAATTTGTGAATATTTCAGGAGCCTGTTAGTAGACTCTAACCTTGCTGGTAAGGATGGCTTATGTGGGAATGTCTTATGTGGTTTAAAAATCTTTATACAAGTTGATCTGGGTAGGTATTTCTTTTTAGGAATAAAAATTTGCTCTTCTCTCTCTGAAAATCCAGTATGGTGGGAGATTTGTAGTTGACATTGTAAACTGTAGACACCAAAAGTGTCTACTGCTTTCTAGGAAGAAGAGGAATCCATCCCAGTGCCAGGCATTTAAAATTAGAGTGATTACTAGAACTCTGCATGGTTGCATCTGCTTCATGTATTGACATTGTACCTTGGTCTTCCTTGGAGTAAGTGATAGTGGTGCTATAGACTTAAGAGCCCAGGTGACTGAGCCACCCTCTCTTCCCACCTGTCCTGATGGAACAGTCTATCCCAGCCCATGCTCTTTCCTGTTGAGAGTGTTTGCTACCAGAGGCTGGTCCCTTATTTCAGCACGACTTAGACTTACTGCTTTTGTCTGAAGAGCTTTCTCTAAATTTGTTACTAGTAGAAATTAACTTGCAAAGGAGGATTTATAATGGAAAACTTTGATTAAACGGATCCAGTTCAAGTCTCGTTTCTGAAGATCTGCTAATTAGTTTTGGATGGAAATCTAGGCCAAAAATCACACAGGTATTTATCCAGCTTGACTCTAGAGCCTACAGGTTTCTGGAAATCAGAGCATTTGAGACACGAATGTAATTTGGGATTTTACTGTCATAATGAAAAGACATGAACTTTGCTATGTGCTCTTTCATACATACTTTTGTTATAATATTTAGATGTCTGCTGGTACCTTGAACTAGTATTAAGAATGTCAGTTAAACCGTTTCTACCTCATACTTCAAAATTTCAAGTTTACCATGTTAATTGGGATTTCATTTGCTTTCGAAAAATTTTGTAGTCATGTGAAGGTTACAAGCTAAGGTATCAAATAAAATTCTTTATATTTTTTTCCTTTTTATGAATTTAAGTTGCATACTACTTTTTCCCCTTGCCTAAAGTATAGAAATAAGAAAAACTGTAAGGAAAGATGGAGGGAATAAAAGATTGGCTTATGATCTCTCTTTGGAATATTGATTGACTTGAATAAGAGTGAGATGCTAGTTTTAACATCAGGTAATTGAAGAACCCCAATCTAGGCTTGTCTGTGTTCAGGAATTACTCACGTATTGTATTGGAAGTATTGGTTTGTAACTGGGATTGGTAAACCTGACACTAATATAATAATGAGTTATATGAAAGGTGTTTTGCTTTTGTTTTATCTTGAGCATTTGGAAACAGGTTTATTCGTGTTTTTCATTTTGTGTCTTTTGACTCTATACTTTGTTGCTGTGAGCCCTGAATGTTGGGAATAGTGAGCATAAACATCACTTAACTTCAGTGAGATACATCTTTGGAATGTTATGACCAGTAATAATTTTATCCTAAATGACATTTGTAATTTTAAATAAAAATTTAGTAAAAATTGACTATGAAAAGGACATAGCATATGTATTAGGATTCTCTGGAGAGCAAGTACCAGTAGAATATATATGTGGGTAGATAAGAGGGGATTCATTCGGGGAATTTGTTCACATGATTATGGGGGCTGAGAGGTCCCATAACAAGCCATCTGCAAGATGGAGACCCTGGGATTCACAGTATGGCTCAGACCAAGTCTGAAGGCCTGAGACTGGGGTAGTCCTCAAGTCCAAAGCCTAGAGAGCCTAGAGTTTAGATGATCAAGGGCAGGAAATTATATCCCAGCTCTAGGAGAGAGAGAGAGACCATTTCGCCTTTCCTCTGTTTTTGTTTTATCTGGACACCCGGCTGATTGCATGGTGCCTGCCCACATGGAGGGCAGATCCTTCCCTACTTAGTTCACTGAGACTCACATGCCAATCTCCTCTGGAAACACCCTCACAAACACACCCAAAGGTAATGCTGTACCAGTTCTCTAGGTATTCTTTAATCCAGTCAAGTTGATACCCTAAATTAACCAACACAGCACATTAACTACCACCTCATAAAATAAAACCTGCAGAGAGAAAATAAGCTGAATGGGAAAAGGAACTGCAATGAAAAGAATGGGCCATAATTCAGCTTGGGTGATCCTGATACCTACAGGAGTTGTTCCATAAAACAGTGACCTTTTATATTTCCCAAAGTAAGAAAATTTTATATGTGTATTTGTGCATGCAGAACTTTATTAAGGGCCATTTAAATCCCATATATTGATAGAGGAGTTAAGAAAGATAAAGTGACAGGAGTGATTCTCAACTCTGGCTCCCATAAATTTCTACAATGTCAGTGATTGAAGAATGAGGGAGCACATCTTTCCTTTAATAAGGCCTAGCCAGTACACTTTTGGTAGTTGATGAGGGTAGGACAGAACTCCCTTTCTTTATTTGAAACTGTGTATTTTTGTGCTGATTAAATTTTACATTTTTCCCTCTTGTGATGATATAAAGTTATCTGCATGTGGCCAGATCTCAGCTAAAGAACATGAAATAAGCCTCTGTACATTCTGCATTCTAATCTCTGTTCACAGCAATCTTGTATCCACACAAGTCTGTACATGACAGGTAATGAGTGGGAAGTGGGAGGAGATGGGTGTCTGTGTGGTTTGCACTGGTGGTGGTGGGGAACTGAGCAGATGGTTGTGATAGCCACATGCTGCGTGATTCCCGTGGGAGTTGATGGTGGTGACAGGCGACTCACAATGTGCTATTTACAGTTTGGGTTTGCAGTCTTTCGGTGACATCTGAATGCTCTTTAGCAACTGCTTTCATTACTGCCTTTCGAGGAGCTGTTAATTGAAAATGAAATTGTGGGTGGGCTTTAAGACAGGCAGACGCAGGCAATTCTGTGTGGTAAATGTTGCTTGAGAACTGTTGGATGTCTTCATGCCCAATTTGTAATTCATTTTCTAAGACTGTAAAAGCCAAAGGTGCATTTGGAGATTCAGTTATGTATATACATAGGCAGAGTTGAATGTCACACCTTGCCCAAAGGGTCAAACATACAGTTATTGGTATGGGTGCTGTGGTTCACGCCTGTAATCTCAGCACTTTGGGAGGCTAAGGTGGGAGGATTGCTTTGAGCACAGGAATTCAAGACCAGCCTGGGCAATATGATGAGACCTTGTCTCTAGAGAAATAAAAAAATTAGCTGGGCATGGTGACGCATGCCTGTTGTCCCAGTTTCTTGGGATGCTGAAGTGGGAGGATTGCAAGGGCCCAGGAAGTTAAGGCTGCAGTGAGCCATGTTCACGCAACTGCACCCCAGCCTGGGCAACAGAGCGAGGTCCTGTCTCCAAAAAAGAAAACCACACAAAACACCTATTTGTCTGGAAACCAACCTAGGGGAATGCTTGGCAATCCCAGCTGCCTGCTCATGTCTTACCTTTGTGTAGTTCTCTTTAAATGTATACAACTGTGTGAGGTTCTTATGTAAAATCTGCTGACATCTTGTAGTGTTCTCTGTGAGTTTATCGTAGGACTTCATCCTCCTTTCTTCCTTTAGCTCTTCATAAAGTTACTATGCAGGAGTAAATGGTTATTTGTTCTCTTGAACTTTGGGATACATTTTTCCTTCCGTATCCAAGGAGGATTCTTTCCAGGACTCCCCATGGATACTAAAAGCTGTGGATGTTCAAGTTCCTTAAATAAAATGTTATAGTATTTTTATGTAACCAACACACATCCTCTCACAAACTTTAAATCATCTCTAAATTATTTATAATACCTAGTACAGTGTAAAAGCTATGCAATTTGTTATTATATTGCATTGTTTAGGCAATAATTACAAGACAAAGAGCCTGTGCATGTTCAGTATATAAGCAACCATTGTAGGCCACATTTTTGGTCTGCCATTGGTTGGATCCATGGATACAGAGGGCCAACTGTATCATATTCAAGTTCTTACATATAACTTTGTTTCTTGTAAACATTTTCATATGATACAACTCTGTTAAAGGCAGTTGGAGCCCAGAGGCAAACAAGAGAAGAAGGAAGAGAGAGGGTGGATTTTATTGGACTTTGACAGTGGTTGATGATCTTGATTCTCTTATGGCTGCCCCCAGCTGCAGGATTGTGATTTGTTTCTTATCTTCAGAGTTGTTTGCTAAAGCATTAGTAGCATTACTGAAATGGTAGCTTTTGTAAATGTTTATATGTTGAATTGTTTTATTGCCCATAGCTTTGCACAGAAATCTTGTGCTGAACAAGGAATGACCTCCCTCTTGGAAGTGCTGTTAACTCTCTTTTTAATTAAATATGAATATAGATACAATATAACTGCATTTTTTTAGTTTTCCCTTGAACATTTCAGTGAATACTATCTGGGACAAAACCGTGCTGAATTATACGCTTTCACTACTATCACTCTTTGCTCTTAGAGAGCCCCCGAGGCTTGGGGTGAGGAGACACACCCCTTGCTGTACTTAACCCTCAGTCCCATTAGACCTGCTTTGCCACAGGAACCCAGCTGTTTTAATGCATTTGAGTTGCTGTTGGGTCCTAATGATGTTTAAAAGAACCTGTCTTGGTATTCTAAATGAACTCTGGAGCATTGCCTATTGATGCAAGTGTTGATGATTTTATATCAGGCAGATATAACTTTGTTATTTACTCTGGGGCTTTTTACACCTAGGGGTGTGCATCCTCACACCAGTGCTCACAAAGACACACACAGGAGCAGAAACCAAAATAGCTCACAAATGTGGGCAAGTCCTGTGGGGGACCACCTTATGTCTCTCAGGAGGCCTGATGAGCTGTGCCATGTGGCCTTCTGGAACATTATACCTGCATTCATTGATCACAGCTCTGCAGAAGCTGCCACTTCTCCTATGTGCCTGCCTGCAGTGACGCTGATGTAGCAGGTCATTCTGTAATCACTGTTTGCACCTGCATTTGCTCAGGAAGTGTTTGCTCATACATCTTGAAATCATGTATTACAAACCTGGACAGGTCCTAATTGCTGGTGATGGTTCTGAGAGGTTGAGATTGGCTATAATTAGATGGAGAAGCAATTAGCTACATATTCTGAGTAGGGAACATACAGAATAATGTTTCTCAAAGGGTGGTCTTTGAACCCCTATGTCAGAGCAACTGTGGATCTTTTGTTAAAATGCAGATTCCCAGGTAATCACCTTGGCATAGTCCATTGGGTGGGGGTCAGGGTGTGGCAACAAGGAACTGGAGTTCCTTCAGTGACTCCAGTACAGGTGCTGCAGGAGCCATATTTTTAAATAAACTGTACTTATTTTTTATTTTCAATTAAAAATTGCAATATTGTTAGCAAAACTTGGGAAGAATCATAAAATTGTAACAACATATCTTGCGGAAATTAATTTTATCAATAATTGGATCATATTTTTGTTCTGTACATTTACTAATTGAGTTATCTTCCAAAATGTATTGGCAAGAAAGAAATGTTTCTGCCAGATGATGTAGACATTATATAACAAAAAATGATGTTTTCAAAATAGCTACTTTTTCTAGGTGTTTACTAGAATGGACCTGATAGAATAATTGTATTCTAGTATTCTCTCCTTAGGCCCACTGGCTCACTCAAATAATAGCTGTTTATAAAGATGCTAACCGGAGTTTTTTATTTTTCATTTTTTTAAAGTTCTAATTTCTTGTTTTTTCCCATCTGTAGACAATGATGATGAGCTCTTAAGGTTTATACATTTTTTGAACCCTTCAAATTACAAAAGTTGGTGATATTTGGTACTGGGGGTCAAGTGTGAAAGAAATCTGAAAATATTGCCCATATCAGTGGAGACTAAAGGCCATTTGTTATTTTCTTCATTACCAGCAAAGCTTCAGTTTAATAAAAATATTATAATTGAATTTACGATTTTGATTCCACAAATTCAAAAAGAAATATTTTCCTTTCTAAAGCCAAACAGAATAAAAATTCTCATAAGAATTTTTGTTTAAATAGCAAAACCTATTCTTAGGATTTAACAATTGCCTGAGGTTTGTCAACAGTAGGTAGCATTCTTTTTTTATATATTGCTATGAGGCCAAAAATGCTATTTTCCTGGAGATTAGTGCAAAATAATCTACCGAATAGTTGCTAATGAAATTATCATATGAGAAAGATTATTAATAATGACTTTTGATTTTAAAAAATACTATCATCAAATTTTCCTAAGAAATGATGATGAGAAAAGCAGTTTTGAAATACAAAGCTGGGTGGTAGTGGGCCTGGTGTGCACTGCTGGAAGGTTGCATGGTACTTTGTGAAACTTCAGCAGCCCACTTGCATAATTTATCATTACCTGTCCCCTACCTCTCTCTACTTAATTCTGAATCTGTATTTCTCAGATAAACATGGCAGTAGGAAGGATAGGGAAAGGTGTTGAGGGGATGTGATTATATGGATGTTTTTGAAGGGGAGTATATTGGTGTCATGGGATCCTTGGGATGTCATCTTGCCAGCTGGAATCCTCTGTGGCAGGGGTACCTTCTCTCTGAGTATTGCTCATGCTCACTGGGCACTGGGCTTGTTCTGCCCAGTTGGCCCAGCAGGCTGCACTTGGCTCATGCTACTGGCCCAGATCCCACACCTGCCAAGGGCGAGCCAGGCGTAGAGTGGCAAGGGGTGTGTGGGTGAGTATATTAGTTCTTTTCCACGCTGCCAATAGACACATACCCAAGACTGGGCAATTTATAAAAAAAGAGGTTTAATGGACTTACACTTCCACATGGCTGGGGAGGCCTCACAATCATGGCAGAAGGCAATGAGTAGCAGGTCACATCTTACGTGGATGGTGGCAGGCAAATAGAGCATTTGTGCAGGGAAACACCTGTTTTTATTTTATTATTTTATTTTTTATTTCTTTGAGACGGAGTCTTGCTATGTCACCCAGGCTGGAGTGTAGTGGTGTGATCTCAGCTCACTGCAACCTCTGCCTCCTGGTTTAAGCGATCCTCCTGCCTCAGCCTACCAAGTAGCTGGGACTACAGGCACCTGCCACCACGCCCAGCGAATTTTTGTATTTTTAGTAGAGGCAGGGTTTCACTTTGTTGACCAGGCTAGTCTTGAACTCCTGACCTCGTGATCCGCCCGCCTCGGCCTCTCAAAGTGCTGGGATTACAGGCGTGAGCCACTGCACCTGGCCTGAAACTCCTGTTTTTAAAACCATCAGATCTCTTGAGAGTTACTCATTATCACGAGAACAGCATGGGAAAGACCCCCATGATTCATTTGCCTCCCACTGGGTTCTTCCCATGACATGTGGGAATTCTGGGAGTTACAATTCAAGATCAGATTTGGGTGGGGCTACAGCCAAGCCATATCAGTGAGTGAGCCTGGGGTATGGCCACTGCTCACAGCCAGGCATGCCTGCTGCTGCGGCAGGGTGGGCAGCCCCAGGCACCAGAACAGGTGCTGGCTCCATGCAAGGCTGTGGCTGGACAAGATGTACTGCATGTGGCTTCCACTGTGGGCACCCCTGTCTGGATGAGGGCAACAAGGTGGCACCCAGAAGCTTGGAGATACCAGGAACCACAGAGCCCCAAAGAGGGTGTCACAGCCCTGCCTCAGGGAGCCCCTAGGTCTGGGCTCCCTAAAGGGCCGCAGCTCTTCTCTCCTTCTCATTAACTGCAACGTGGCGAGCAGGGGGGAAAGTGTGTTTCAGCCCTGTTTGTGTTACAGCTCATCAGTGCTGCCATTCAACAGGTCTCGAGTTCATGTCCCATGCCTAGGAAGAATGAGGTACAGCAGACAACTGGAGTGTGAGCAAGGCAGAGAGGAGCTTTATTTGATCCACAGAACAGCTCCCAGGAGACCTCAAGTGGGTAACTCCTTTCCACAGGCAGGTCATCCCTATGAGTGTCCAGCTCTCAGTGGAGAGGCGAGCCGCAGTGGTAGCTCCTTTCTGCAGCTGGTAGTCCGATGTCTGTTTGAGCCTGGCTGAGTCTCGGGTTTTTATGTGCTTAGAAGGGAAGAAGTACATGTTGATTGGTCCATGGGCAGGCCTGGAAAAAGCACCATCCGATTGGCCAAATGGTCATCAATGAAGTCTTCACTCTGGGCGGCAGACTCCACCGGGAACTGGCACCCTGGCCGCTAGGCTTCAGGTTGTCCCTGGCTTGAAGGTGGAATTTCACTGGGGACCTGTCCCTTTCTGCCCTGAAACCTGTCTGCCTCCCACCATCAATGTGCCATCCATGGCACTCAGGCTGTTGATGCCAAGGGACACCTGTAGGCCCACGCTGAGCCACCTTCAGTCCTACCTTGGCCTCCCTCTTGTGCTCATGGGTGCCCAAAATCTGGAGGGGGTGCTGAGGTGGCAGGGGGCTGGCGTGTCAATGCCACCCGAGTGCATGCATGCCTGGCCAGGTTGTGACAGCACTCAGGCTTAGCCTCAATTTTCCTCTGAAATCAGAGTGGGCTCCAGGTATGGGGAGAAGCCAGGTATGGGGAGAGGCCAGGTAGCGAGAGTAGGCACTTCCAAGACTGCTCGGGCAGGGGCACTTCCCCAGGCGCCTGAGAGCTCAGGGATGCCTGGGTCTGGAGCCACAGCTGGGCAGCTGCATGTGTGCCCAGGAGCATGAATCTCCCTCTCTGCCAACTCAGTGGAGGGTGGGGCTCCTGCCTGTTCCTGGCCCCAGCCGGCTCCTCAGAGCATACAGCCCCGGCTGCAGCCAGCATCTTGGCAGCGGCTGCTCCAGACAGGCTGCCACTGCCATCACTGGGACCATGTAGGGAGTATATTAGGGCTGCCCCATGGTTCTCCAGATAGACTAAGGAGACAAATTGACATAGTACAGTATTAGAAGGAAAGAATATGGAGTTTAAAAACCGTTTTCATGGTCATTCTGCCCCTGCTCTTCTCTTCCCCCTTTCAAACTGAGCAGACCCATATTTCTCCTTTCATCTCTGTCCTTGAGCCTACCTTCAGCTCTTTGGCTTTCATTTTACTCCCTCCTTCCACCCAGTGTCTTTTGCTAGCTTCTTGACCCAGCCAGGATTGCATGGGACATCACTTAGATCTGCTCTCAGAGTCACAAAATGCCTTTGCTTCCTGTTTCCTTGTTCCTTTTACTGTGCTGGTTCTTTTCGGTAAACTTTTAGATTTATCATCTCTAGATTAGTGCAGCATTATTTAGCTCATTGCTATTGTACTCTGGTTTAAAAAATTTCAGTGACCATCCACAGCCATCTAAATAAGATTGAAGCCTCTTAGTATAGGACATTTTAGGCCCTGACTAATCCTGCTGCAATGTACCTTCCCAGTTGCCTTTCCCACTCTCTGTAAACACCAAGCTGCAACTACAACTGCTATTTGGATGAACCCTGTGTTTTCTCCACATTCCTGTGCCTGTGCTTTGGCTATTTTCTTTGTTTAGAATATTCTTTTTTGACATATTTGTCTTCCATTGACTAGTTCAGACCCACTTCTTCCTTGAAGTTTTTATGATCTTTTTCCTTGTAAGTAATTGCATTGTCTTCCCAACTCTTATGATCCTTTGTTTATAACAAGGGTCACCCCAGAATTTATCAGCTAATTTAGGACATTACTGGGAATGAAAGGGGGAACCATTAATAATTACCTTGGAACAATAAGCATTAATCAGGACTTCCTGAAAAACTGGGATATATAGTCACTCTGTAATTCACTTTTGGCCTTTTTCATACCATACTCTGTTTTGAGTTGGAGGTATACATTTTCTTCTTTCCACTGAAATGTTGAGCTCCTCGAGGACCTCACTGTGTGACACAGCAAGGGGCCTAGGCTTATGTCACATATTGGGAAACAACACCCTTAAAACCACTGCTATCCTTTACTCGAGGATACCCTTCTCATATTTATAGTTTCCATTCATGTCTCTTTCCAGTCTTTTCTCCATATGCTAGCCAGAGTGATCTTTTAAAAATATACATATGATCATATTATTCCCACAAGTAAATCCTCTCAACTGCTTCTCAGGGTATTCAGATTGAAAATCAGACTCCCATCATCTGCAGTGCCCAGTTATCCAGTGCTGTTTCTTCAGCTTCATGTCATGCTTCCCTTGCTTACTGGCTCCAGCTCCCGACCTTCCATTCCCTCCCACATGCCAAGTTCCTTCGTACCCTGGACACCTTATGCTATCCTCTTTGGAAGAAATGGTTCCCCCTCTGTTTTTTGAATGATGAGATCCTTCTAGTCCTTTAGGCTTGAACTGAAATGTCATCTTTCATAGGGGCTTTTCTCGACCATATGGTTTATTTAACTCAGGATCTGCCATTTGTCTTCTGTGTTTTGCACTCACCTTTTTAACTTCCTAACACCACATTTATAATTATAGATTTTTCTTTCTATGTCCTTCCTTATGTCTGCACCTTCTGCTGCACTCCAAGCTCTACTGAGGAGAGATATCACCTCCACCACAGTGTTTGTAGCACATTGCCTGGCACACAGAAGGTGGCACTCAATAATTAAAGTTGAGTGGTTTGAATAATTTTTGCAATGGATGACATTGCTAATTCCACACTCCTGTTACATTCCAACTTTAATTGGCTACAAAAAAAAGCACACACACAGACACAGACACACACACACAGACACACACACACACACACACACACACACACACACACACAAACAATCCAGACCCCAATACAGTATGACTGTTGTCTTCTCTCTCTGGGGATATGCAATGTAAAATAAGATACTGATGAGCGCATGCTGCACACCAAGCAAAAATTTATCCCAAGCAACCCCTGCGCCCTGCGTGGACCGTGTCTGCTGTTCTCCCATGGAATCTATCAGCAGTTTGTCTTCCCAGGGTTGTAGCCTGTCAGGATGGTAGAATTGCTAGTGCAGCCAGGAAAAGCTGACCTAGGAAAACCATAGCCTTCCATCTTTTTAGAGGTAATCCAAAAGAGACTAGACAAGCAGAAAGACGGAGAGGAAAGTTGGTGGGAGTGAGGTGAAATTCACTGAGTACTCTTTTATATGCAAATATTTGTGTGGGGCTCTACTTTTTTACCATGAGTACAAACTCTTTTTAGTATCAATGCATGAATAGCGTGTCTTTTCACTGAAAAATTATTGTCCCACGTGCCCTCGGTTTAAAATGTTTTGATCTTAGAAAACAGTTTATTTCCTTTTAAAGTGGCCCAATTAATTCATTTTCCACATATTTGCTCATTGAGCAAACATCAACTGAACATCGTTTGTGTGCAAACCTTATACAAGAAACTCTGACATAACAGGGAGGATATGTTTAATGATAACTCTGCCCATGATGTGTTTATGGCTTGCTAGATCCATTCTGACCCACCTATTGTGAAGAGTTCATGGAGAGCTCTTAACAACAAGTGAGGCTGAGGCTGGCAGATTAAATGCAGTTCAAAGGGAGACAAGGTTGAACATCTCCTAGAGAGGGAATACCTTCAGAGATACATATTAAAGTTCTTTAAAATTGTTTCTTTCTTATTGTGCCATTTTTGTTGACCTCCCTTCTGTCCTTTTAAGAAACTTTTGAGAAAAATGCATTATTCTACCGAAAGCATCGGCAAATGTTGGAAATAGTATTTTGTGTATCAGTTTTCTTGGCTGCTTATTTTTAAAAATAAAGGCTTAAATAAGGTTCGCACATTTTTCACTCAGGTGCAATTTACTGGGAATTACCTGGCGCATTGGTTTTATGCTTAATATTTACAGATTATTAAAATCTCAGTGGCTTTCAAACTGCATGGACCAAGAAAATAGGTGTATTTTCTAGAAATGGTTTTGCTTATGGACACTGACCCACTTTGAAACGACTTACTCTTGGAACTCTTAGTACAGGAAAGTCTTATGTTTCTGTCTAGAGGTGGAACTGTTTATGATAAATAGAAATAGCTTTCCTTTTCTATCATTTCTGTTTTCTTGGAAGTAGATTATTTTTGATGCAAGTAGACCTTCAGAATTTGAATAGAAATTTTTATTTATTTATTTATTTATTGAGACGGAGTCTCACTCTATCACCAAGGCTGGTGTGCAGTGGTGTGATCTTGGCTCACTGTACCCTCTGCCCCCCGGGCTTAAGTGATCCTTCCACCTCAGCCTCCTGAGTAGCTGGGACTACAGGCGCACACCACCACACCTAGCTAATTTTTTGAAGAGATGG
The DNA here is from genome assembly GCF_000001405.40 of Homo sapiens. Classification (NCBI taxonomy): domain Eukaryota; kingdom Metazoa; phylum Chordata; class Mammalia; order Primates; family Hominidae; genus Homo; species Homo sapiens. The sequence goes on from NC_000007.14 coordinate 69,915,910, forward strand.
GGTTTTGCCGTGGTGCCCAGGCTGGTCTCGAGCTCTTGAGCTCAAGCAATTCTCTTGCCTTGGCCTCCCAAAGTGCTGGGATTACAGGCGTGAGCCACCGTGCCTGGCCTTTTGAATAAAAATTTAGACTTCAGATTTATATAGTGAGTATACTGATGGGAGATTGAACAATTACGTGATCTCAGGAGTAGATTATAGAGCTGTTTCTAATTTACTATCAAGTTATTTTTTTCCCAAAAGATAATTTATAAACTGCTTTTTTGTTTGTGGAAATCCTGTTTGTTAGGAAGTGTTACAAATGGTAGTTTCCCAGTGAATTTATCAAAATGCTGTTTATTCAATAACATTCACTCCTCCAAGGATACTACTCACTGTCCCTTGACATTCATTCATTAAATATTTATTGTTCATGTACTGCTATGGACAGACATAATTTTGGGTGCTTATATTAGTGAACAAAATAATGAATACATCTGCCCTAGTGGAAGTTACATTCTCTTCATATATTAAATTCTCTTAGTAGTATACAGCTTCCATTTAAATGTTTAACCCAGACCTTTCTTCTCAACTTCTAGATTCATAAACTCAGCTCCTTATCAGAGTTTTGCTGCCTAGATCATTCACAAACATTTCAAACTCAGCATATCTCACTTTGAAATCTATAATGGTGGTCCCCAAATTGCTCTTCCTCCTCAATTTCCTTCCTTACTGTGTGCACCATCTGCTAAGCATCCAAGCCATAAATCTGTTCATACTAGAAACCTGCAAGTCAAACTCCTCTTCCCCTCTTCCCCCCATTCTTACATCCTATAGATTTTTATCCTATGTATTTCTTATCTGACCCTCTCTCTTCAATGTTTTCTATCCTTCCTGCGAGTGCAGTAGTTCAGGTTCTCTTTCTCTTGGAGGTGTGATGACTAGCTTCTCATCTGACTTCTCAGCCTCTAATCTTGCCACTGTTAAATTCTGCTCCTCAAATTCCTCCATTATTGTGTTCTTGACAGCATGCAAATTGAATCGTGTCATTTGTTTCAAGAGTTTTCATTGACTTTACTTATAGGTTAATTTCAACTTTCTTTATATGGTATAGAAGCCCACACATTTTTTTGTTTTGTTTTGTTTTAGAGAGGATCTCACTCTCTTGCCCAGGCTGGAGTGTAGTGGTGTGATCATAGCTCACTGCAGCCTCCACCTCATGGGTTCAAAATGTCCTTCTGCCTCAGCCTCCCAAGTAGCTGGGACTAAAGGCATGTGCCACCACACCTGGCTAATTGTGTGGGTTTTTTTTTCTTTCTTTCTTTAGAGATGGAGGACTCACTGTGTTTTCTAGGCTGGTGCCCACACATTTTAATGCCTTTCAGAGCATTCCCTTTTTTTTTCTTTTTTTTTTTTTTTGGTGCTTCCTAATCCCATGCCCCTATCACATCAGACTTAATCTATTTTCTATAATGTCTTCCTTCACCCACTCCTACAAATCTGAATTTTTTTTTTCCTTCAGTGAGTCTGATCTTAGTTACATGTGAGAAATGTAGTCCTACTAAATCAGAAATGGACTATACTACCTCTTAGAATAACATCTCTTGAAAGGGATCCCCTATAGCTTTAAGGGGCCTGCTGGTTTTTTGTTAACATGGGTGAATTGTATAGTGGTAAAATCTGAGATTTTAGTGCACCCATCACCTAGTAATGTAGGTTATAACTACATATTGTAGTAGTTACAATATATTGTTTTTTGTCCCTCACTCCCCTCTCACTCTGCCCTCTTCTGAGTCTCCAGTGTCTGTTATACTACTCTGTATGCCTTTGCATACCCATAGCTTAGCTCCCACTTATAAGTGAGAACATAGGGTATTTGGTTTTACATTCCTGAGTCACTTCACTTAGAATAATGGTCTTCATTTCCAAGGACACCTTTGTTGTTGTTGTTGTTGTTGTTGTTGTTGTTGTTGTTGCGACGGAGTCTCGCTCTGTCGCCCAGGCTGGAGTGCAGTGGCGCGATCTCGGCTCACTGCAACCTCCACCTCCTGGGTTCAAACGATTCTTCTGCCTCAGCCTCCCTAGTAGCTGGGACTACAGGTGCCCGCCACCACACCTGGCTAATTTTTGTATTTTTAGTAGAGACAGGGTTTCACCATGTTGGCCAGGATGGTCTTGATTTCCTGACCTCGTGATCCACCTGCCTCGGCCTCCCAAAGTGCTGGGATTACAGGCTTGAGCCACCATGCCCAGCCCCAAGGACACATTTTTAAACTAAGAAAATGTTCAGTTTGTTAGAATTTAATGTGGCATAGGGAAAGGAAAATGAATTTTAGAGGACCAGTCTTTTACAAAAGATTACTGCAAATTTTGGTGGTTTCGTTCAAAAACGTAAAAAAGATCAATTTCTTTTTTCATAATGGTAGTTGCTGGACCCTTGTATTGGTGTGGCCATTGGAGATTACAGAAGCCTTTTGTTACTGGAAATAATTTTCAGGCCTCAGAGTTGTAAGTCAAGAATTGCCTATACTGAACCCTTTGGAGTCTTTTCATTGTTACGAGGTAACTTTGCTTATGTGTGAATTAATGCTTAGGCTTTCAAAGCAAGAAAAACTAGACATGATATGAACTTTGTCATTCTGCTAAGTTAATACTGAAATGAAAACTTTTACTGATACAAAGACATTTCTGTTACCAGTAAATTGTGTAGACTTTGTGAGGATTTTGAGATGTGATTTATATTGGCTTATTTTTTAAAAAGCTGGCTTAAAAAGTGACCACAAGTGTGCTAAAAGGTTTATTTGAGGTAACCACAGTATTATAGTTCCCCTGGCATAATTATTCCGTATTTTGTTTCCATGAGTCAAGGCACAAAGCAAGGATAATCATAATGATTGTAGGAAACAGCGCTTAGAGCTGGGATCCTAGGATTTTAATACTAGGATCTTTTACTTGTTGCAGCTTCCACATTCCTTTTTGAAAAGCTTTTTTTAAACAATATTTTTTAGGGCACAGGCGAACTATTTTAGCAGAATGAAGCAGTAATTTAAGAAAAATCTTTATATTCCTGTCCATTTCCACATTCTTTCTGAAAGGCTACTCTTGGGGGTAGAAATACAGCTGTGGATGAAAAGATTGAGGTAAGGAATACTTTTCTCTTAAATTCTTGTAGCTTGGGTCATTAACTATTGTCATATATGTCGACCTAGTTCATGGCAGCCAGAGGAGACAAGGTATAAAATTGACTGGGTTGTGATTCAGAGGGGGAAACAATGGAAAATATATTGAACACTTTTACATTACTGAGACCCCTTCTACACTTTTTTCCTCTTTGGTTTTAGACTGTATAAAGTATTGTGTTGGTACTGTAGATACAGCGTGTGGCTATTGATATTGATATAAGAAAATCTGTTAAGGTTCCTCTTTCAGCAGTTATGGGGATCTTCATTCAGAGCAATAAGATCATTTCTCCTAGGTGTTACATGTTGGCAGACTGAAGAAGACAAAGACGTCTTGTCTTCACATTGTTTTATGGCCACGACTTTGAATTCATTTGATCACTTAAGAGGTATCGCAGACACTGTAGCTAATTAGAAGGAAGGGGGCAGTTTTATTGTGAATATGTTCAGTGAAGAAGATAGCAGTGTTTGTATTGCACAGGCTGTATGAACGTGTATTTTGTTGGGGAGAGAGAGACTGAGAATCTGGATTCTTGGGTTAAAGTTTCTACCTTGCTGCTGGCACTTTGTCCTTAACCAAGTTATTGCTGCTCTTTGACCCTCAGTTTCTGTGATTGTACCAGAATGCAGATGTTGTATTCTTCTAACACTGTGAAGATGTTATACATGCTGGAGTACTTAAAATTCCCTCTTCCTTAAAATTGAGAAAAAAAAGTAGATTAAAAAAACTAGGAACTACCTGGACTTTGATAATATTAATATTTTAGATAAACCAGCACTGAAGTATGTGATACCTACAAAGAACAACACCTCAAGAGTTTCTGCTTTGTGGTAATGACTCACTTTGGTAAAATTATGCTGTGCACATGGTTATTAGACTACTGTAGATACCAGTGGGTACATTAGATTGAAAAACGTAAATGAAGTGGTCTTATGTATACAATTTTTTGCAGTTGCCTTTTGTTGGGAAGAGATTAATATGAGATAGTGTAACTTTTTTGTTTGGGGTGGGCGGGGGTGGGCATGCCTATTGGTGGTGATCTGAGGATTGTAACTTTAGATCTTTTACATTGAAATTATAGAAATTTGATTGTTATGGATAATTCATGGTGAAGGAATGTAATGAAATTATTATTATTATTATTTTTAATGACTAACCCATGTTCCTAGATGTATTCATTTTTGGCTTAGCTCTCCTCTCCTCTCCTCTCCTGTCCTCTCTCTTTCTTTCTTTTATTTTTTTTTAGAGAGGGGGTCTTGCTTTGTCACTCAGGTTGAAGTGCAGTGGTACAATCTCACTGCAGTCTGAACCTCCTGGCTCAAGCAATCCTCCCGTTTCAGTCCCCTAAGCAGCTGGTACTACAGGTATGCACCACCATGCCCGGCTGTTTTTGTATTTTCGGGGGAGGCAGGGTTTTTCCATGTTTCCCAGGCTTGTCTCAAACTCCTGAGCTCAGAGAATCTACCTGCCATGGCCTCCCAAAGTGCTTGGATTACAGGTGTAAGCCACTGTACCTGGCCTGCTTTTCAGTTTTTCAGTAAGTAAATTGTGAGGCATATATGTTGATTCTTCTGGCTTTGGAAAATCCTTCCCTATACCCTATTTATGTAGACTGAATGAAATTGATAAGATACAGTATTTTCTTCCTAGACTGTTCAACACTGGCGTGAAATGGTTCTTGTGTAGGACTCCTTGCCCTCTTCCAGGTAGCTCTCTTTATTCAGTACATGTTTTACATGCATTCTCTGTGTTTCAAACCTGAGAGATGTCAGAGGAATATAAGAGATGGTCCCTATTTTCCAGGGCTTCACCTCTGGGTTAATTACTTTGGGACAGTTTAAAGTAAATAAACTGTAAAAAAATACTCTTGGAAAAGTTGGTGAATGATACGTGCTTAATTTTTCACTAATCTCCCTCGTGGTTTTTATAATGCCATGTGTTTTTCTTGGGAGGGTTTCCTTACAGCTGTATTTGTGATCTTGGGCTAGAATTTATGAGCTGCCACCATGAAGGTCTGCCTCTGGCTTTGGCATCAGAGATGGCGAGTTGTGTGGTTTGTTTTCTTATTGTTAATGTGAGAATTTTTCCTAATCAAAATAAATGCCTATGTGTTTTTCCTGACTTTCTTGTTGGATTGACTAAGGAAGTTGTGTGAATTATAAAAATTTCTTCCTGAAATGAAGGACAAAATTTCCAAAGCAGGATGCATTGAGATTGTCTGAAGAAATGTATGTCTTCTGGTTTTAGTATTTAGACTTGAAGTTTTTTTTTTTTTTTTTTTTTTTTTAACCGTAATAACTAGGAAAAGTAGAAAAGTTAAAAGAAACAAAAAACATCACGGTGGGAAATAGAAGGAGAAAACCAGACATTTATGAAAACCATTCTGGATCTCACAGATGCTATTAAGATTAGTAAACGTTGGCCGAGCATGGTGGCTCACGCCTGTAATTCCAGCACTTTGAGAGGCAGAGGCAGGCAGATCACCTGAGGTCAGAAGTTTGAGACCAGCCTGGCCAACATGGTAAAACTCCCCATCTCTACTAAAAAATACAAAAATTAGCCAGGCTTGGTGGTGTGTGCCTATAATCCCAGCTACTTGGGAGGCCTAGGCAGGAGAATTGCTTGAACCCAGGAGGCAGTGAGCCGAGATCACACCACTGCACTGTAGCCTGTGCAACAGAGCGAGACTCTGTCTTTAAAAAAAAAAAAAAAAAAAAAGGCCGGGCATGGTAGGTCATGCCTGTAATCCCAGCATTTTGGGAGGCTGAGGCAGGCAGATCACCTGAGGGCAGGAGTTTGAGACCAGCCTGACCATTATGGAGAAACCCCGTCTCTACTAAAAATACAAAATTAGTGGGCATGGTGGCACATGCCTGTAATCCCAGCTGCTTGGGAGGCTGAGGCAGGAGAATCTCTTGAACCTGGGAGGCAGAGGTTGCAGTGAGCCGAGATCACGCCATTGCACTCCAGCCTGGGCAACAAGAGTGAAACTCTGTCTCAAAAAAAGAAAAAAGAAAAAAAAATTAGTAAATGTTGACTAGTCTCAGGGATATTTGAGCTGCACTCAGTAGGCTACTTTGCATTTGTAAAATTCTCACACATCAAATTGCATCATCTTTGGCTTTTTGATTTCATGCACGCAGTCTGTGAAAGGCTAAGCCAGGTATGTGGTTACATATAAACTTACTACCAACTAGCGCTGTCCTTTTTCTACTCCTTAAGAGGTTTATTGGGGCAATAAACTGTTGGCATTATTACTCACCTAGCATAAGCTGATCCTTTCTTTGACTGTTTTTAAGGAAGATGTTGTTTTATCTGCTAAAACAGGTAGCACGAGATTGACTTCACCAAAGCCTCTTCTAAGACTTTAGAAATGGCTTAAGCTTCGCTGCTTTCTTAGCACTTTTACTGTATAGGCCCTGGTATGTGGTATTGATACATACAGTAAGTATAAATGTGAGAAGAGAAACCACATTTTCATGCTCTTAAGTGATCCATGCTGTTTTCACTTCTCAGGGTGATTTTTGGTTGTAGCCAACTCAGAAACTCTCAATTTAATTTGAGATTGTGTGAATTGCTTTCCTAGTCTGTACACCAGAAAGAATGCTTCTCTCCTTACACATTTCGACACTTCTTAGTGAAGATCATTTACTTATAGAGTGTATGCATTATATTAGCATATGGCCTGGGTAACTTCAGACTTGTTAACATAGCGTGGGAAAGGTTACTGAAAGCATGAGGAGGCAGTATATTATCTCTCAGTTGATTTTGTACACCATTTTGAATATTTTCTGTACATTCCCTTTCCTCTAGTGTTGGTTTCTTATACTTATAGTAAAGGGAAACTGATGTTGATATTGTTCAAAAAAGAAATGAAGTGAATTTTTGTATTTTTAAAGAATAAATTAACATGCTTTAAAGTGCTTAACCAGTTGTTACAATATCAGTTATCACAGATTGGTATGCGTTGGTCCATGTTATGTATTTGCCTGAATCAACCCTAAGACTGGTTGGCTTATTTCTGCCTTTTCTTTTCCAAAAGGTATACTTGACATGAAGTAGACTGTGCCTGTTTGATTTTAAGTTTTGAATATGGTGGGAGGTATAGATTAAAGTTAATTTCTTTTGCATATGGATATTCAATTTTTCTGAAGGCATTTTTGAAAAAGCTGTCCATTCTCCACCTTTGCATTGCCTTTGTACTTTTGTAAACAATCAGTTGTCCATGTATGTGTGAGTTTATTTCTATACTCTCTATTCTGTTCCTTTGATCTATTTGTCTATCTTTATGCCTATACTATACTGTCTTTATTACTGTAGCTTGCTTTGTAGTAAGTTTTGAAGTGAGATAATGTTACATAGTTTTGGCTTTTTAAGATTCTTTTCACTAGCGTATGACTTTTAGAATCAGCTTGTCAGGTTCTATAAAGAATCTGGCCAAGATGTTGGTTGAGATTATATTGATCGTGTGATCAATTTGGGGAGAATTGACAGTTTAAAATATTGAGTTTTCAACTCTCGAACAAGGTCTATCTCTCTATTTAGATCTTACTTATTTCCTTCAGCAATATTTTGTACTTTTCAGTATATAAGCCTTTCATATATTTTGTCAGATTTATTCCTATGTGTTTCATATTTTTGATGCAGTATTAAATGGTGGTGTTTTTTAACTTTAGTTTCCAGTTCACTATCAATATGTAGAAATTCACTGATTTTTGTATATTCACTTGCATTCTGCAACCTTGCTAAACTCACTTATTAGTTCTAGTAGTTTTTTTTGTAGGTCTTACTGGATTTTCTACATGGATGATCATATTTTTAGTGAATAGAAGCAGCTTATTTCTTTCCTCCTAATCTGGGTATCTTCTCTGTCTTTTTCTTGTCTGATTTCTCTGTCAGGAACTTACAGGATCATGTTTAATAGAAGAGACAAGACTGGACACTCCTGCCCTTTTCCTGATTTTAGGGGGAAAGACAGAATCTTTTGCCATTAATTCTGAGCTTAGCTATACGTTTTTCATAGTGCCCTTTATTAGGTTGAGAATGTTCCATTCTAAGTTTGTCAGAATTTTAATCAAGAATGCATGTTATATTTTGTCAAACACCTTTTTTTTGTCTATCAAGATGATCATATGATTTTTCTTTTTTTGTTTATTAATATAGTAATACATTGATTGGTTTTTAAATGTGAAACCAAAATGCTTTCCTTGGTAAACTCTATTTAGTCATGATATATTAACTTCTAAATAGATTGTTGGATTTGATTTGTTAAAAATGTTTTAAAGAATTTTTACACCTGTGTTCATGAATAAAAATTGGTCTGTAGTTTTCTTTTGATCTATTTGTCTGGTTTTATTATCAGAGTGATGCTGGCCTCATAGGAAAGGTAGGGAAATATTCCCTTTTCCTCAGTTTCTTAGAAGAGTTTGTGTAGAATTGTTATTATTTCTTTTGTCTTTTCTTTTCTTTCTTTCTTTCTTTTCTTTTTTTTTTTTCTTTTTTTGAGACAGAGTTTTGCTCTTGTTGCCCAGGCTGAAGTGCAATGGCGCAAACTCAGCTCACTGCAACCTCTGCTTCCTGGGTTCAAGCGATTCTCCTACCTCAGCCTCCTGAGTAGCTGGGATTATAGGCATGCGCCACCACGCCCAGCTAATTTTGTATTTTTAGTAGAGATGAGGTTTCTCCCTGTTGGTCAGGCTGGTCTCAAACTCCTGACCTCAGGTGATCCGTCTGCCTCTGCCTCCCAAAGTGCTGGGATTACAGGCATGAGCCACCAGGCCCGGCCTGTTATTTCTTTCTTAAATGATAGGTAGAATTTGTCAGTGAATCCATCTGGGCCTAGAGTTTTCTTTCTGTGGAAAGGTTTTAAATGAAATATTCATGTTCTTTACTAAATATTGAACTATTTATGTTATCCATTTCTTCTTGAGTCAGCTTTGGTAATTTATGTCTTTTCAAGGAATTTTTTCATTTTATCAAAGTTGTTGAATTTATTGGCATAAAATTCATATAATATTCCTTCATTATCCTTTTATATCTATAGAATCTATGGCAATTCTATATCTGTTGATAGCCTCCTTTCCTCCCCTCTTCTCTCTCTGTCATATCAGTATGACTGGGAGTTTATTAATTTTATTGATCTTCTTGAAGAACAAGCTTTATTTTCATTGATTTTTCTCTGTTGTTTTATATTTCATTGATTTCCTTCTTTCTGCTTACTTTAGTTTTACTTTGCTTATTTTTCTGGCTTTTAAAAGTAGGAGCTGAGTTTGTTGATTTAAGATCTTTCTTCTCTTCTAATATAGCCTTTTGATGCTATAAATTTACCCCCAAATATTACTTTAGCAGCACCCCAAATATTCTGATCTGTGGTATTTTCATTTTCATTCAGTTTAGAGTACTTTCTGATTTCCCTTGTGACTTCTAATTGAAACACTCCAAATATTTTAGGGGTTTTCCAGGGATCTTTCTAGTATTGGTTTATTACATTAAATCAGTCAATTAATTAATTAAGAGACAGGATCTCACCCTGTCATCCAGGCTGGAGTGCAGTGGCGTGATCATAGCTCATTGCACCCTTGAATTCCTGGTTTCAAGTGATCCTCTCATATCAGCCTGGCTTTTAAAAATCTTTTGTAGAGATAGTGTCTTACTATGTTGCCCAGCATGGTCTTGAATCCTTGCTCTCAAGCAGTTTTCCCTCCTTGGCCTCCCAAAGTGTTGGGATAACAGGTATGAGCTACTGAACCTGGCCTGGAATTGGTTTCTTATTTAACTCCATTGTGATTTAAGACAGACAAACACTTTAACTGGGTATGGTGGTGCGCCTATAGTCCCAGCTGCTTAGGAGATGGAGGTAGGAGGATCACTTGAGCTAGTAGCTGAGTTTAGCCTGGGCAACATAGTGAGACCTTGTCTCTCTAAAAACAAAAAACAAAACACACCTAGAAACAACATTGCTTGTATGACTTGTATCCTTTTAAATTTATTGGCACAATTTTATGGCCCAGAATATGGTCTTTCTTTGTAGATGTTCCCTGAGCACTTGAGAGGAACGTAATTTTCTTCTGTAGTTGGTAGGAATGTTCTATAAATGCCAGTCAGCCCAAGTTGGTTTATAGTGTTGCTCAGTTTTATTATATCCTTACGGATTTTTTGCCTGCTTGTTCTATCAAGAGAGGTATATTGATGTCTCTGGCTATAATTGTGGTTTTGTTTCTTTGTTCCTATTGTCCTGTGCTATTTTGAGGCTTTGTTATTTGGTACATAAACATTTAGGGTTATGTGGTATTGATTGATTGATCCCTTTATTATTATGAGATGACCACCTCTATCCCTGGTAATAGTCTTTGCTCTGAAATCTATCTGTCTGTCTGTCTGTCTATCTATCTATCTATCTATCTATCTATCTATCTATCTATCTATCTGCCTGCCTACCTACCTACCTATATCTGTCAGTCATGTATCTCACTTTATTATCTCTTTTAATTGGAGTATTTTCCATTCAAATGTTAGGTTTGAGACTTTCATGTTGCCATTTGTTTTTTGTTAGTCGCATTTTTTTTCCTTACCCTCTTTCCCTGCAGCCTTGAGAATGAATAAAGTATTTAAGATTTCATTTTATGTCTTTTGTTCCCATATTAGCTACAATTATTTTCCTCTTTTTTTTGTGGTTGCATTAGGGAAATACTATATATACACTATATATAATAAAGATATATAAATATATATAAAATATATATAAAGATATATAAGATATATAGTATATATAAGATATATCATGTATATATAGTATATACATATAAAGATATATATAAAGATATGTAAGATATATAGCATATATAATATATAGTATATATCTATCATATCTTTATATATATAAAGATATATAACATATATATTATATATATACAGTATTTTCCCTAAAGCACCACGAAAAACAAGGAAATAAAAAATTGTAGCTAATAAGGGAGCAAAAGAGATAAAATGATATGTTAAATACTTTATTCGTCCACAAGGCCGCAAGAAAGAGGGTAAGGAAAAAAATGCAACTAATGAAAAACAAATGGCAACATGAAAGTCTCAAACTTAACATTTGAATGGAAAATACTCCAATATATTTATATATATATATATATATACATACTATATATATCTTTAATTTACAGTGGTCTACCTTCACATGATGTTATATCACTTCATGAATAATACAAGAATATTATATTTACTCTTCTATTTACTTACATTTACGCCTTTATAGCCTTTATACTGTCGATGACATGAGTTTTACTTTTGTATTTGTTAAAAAGGCTACAAAACATTGTTACTATTTCTGCTTAAACAGTGAATTATCTTTTAAGGATATTTTAAATAATTAAAAAAAAAATCTTGTATATATCCCCATGTTTTCACAGGATCCTTAGGGTGTCACTTCGTCAGCCAGAAACCTCTGTGGCCAGCGTTGCCTCTGCTTCAGTTTTTCTCATTCCTGCTGGGCTCATTCCACCCACTCTGCCCGACAGGCTGCGCTCAGCTTGTGCTACCAACCTCGGTCCTACGCCAAGGGTGAGCCACATGCAGAGTGGCAAGGATTGTGTGAGCAAGTGAGCGCAGGGTCTGGCCACTGCACACAGCCAGGCTTAACGGCTGCTGCAGTGGGGAGGGCAGCTCCAGGTGCCCGCACAGGTACCGGCCCCATGTGAGGCTGTGGCTGGACCAGATGTACCACAAGTGGCTTCCACTGTGGGCACCAATGTCTCTGGATGAGGGGAATGCAGTGGCACCTGAAAGTGCAGAGACCGCCAGGAACCACAGAGCCCCAAAGAGGGGTATTACCGGGCTACCTGAAGGGCTGCAGGTCTTCTCTCCTTTTCATTGCCTGTGGTGGTGGGGTGTTATCCCATTTGTGTTACAGCTGTCTTAGTCTTGCCATCTGGCAGGTCCCAAGTTCTTGTCTCACATCCAGGAAGAATGGGTTATGTGGACAATTGTAGGGTGATCAAGGCAGAAAGGAACTTTATTGAGTGACAGACCAGCTCTCAGTGGAGACCTGAAGTGAGTAGCTCCTATCTGCAGGCAGGTAGTCCCAGTGAGTCCCTGAGTCTGGCTGAGTCCAGGGTTTTTATGGGCTCAGAATTTAGGAAGTGTGTGCTGATTGGTCCATGGGCAGCCATGGGTGGGCCTGGAAAAAGCACCATTCTAGTGGCCAAAAGGCATCAAGGAACTTCTCACTCGGGGTTATGGACTCCACTCAGAACTGGCAGCCCAGCCCACAGACTTCATGCCATCCCTGCCTTGAAGGTGGGATTTCACTGCGGACCCACCCTTTCCTGCCTTGGGACCTGTCTGCCTCCTGCCGTGATCAACATGCTGTCCACAGTAAGGCTGTCTGTGCCAGGAGGCACCTGCAGGCCTATACTGAGCTGCCCTCAGCAGCTCCAGCCTCCCTCCTGTGCTTACACCCAATGTCTGGAGGGGCCTGAGGTAGCAGGGGGCTGGTATACCAGCATGACCCTGAGTGTGCACATATGCCGCTAAGTCATAACAGTGCCCAGATTGGCCACAACTTTGCTCCATGCTGCATTAGGCACCGAGAGAGCAGGGAGAGGCCAGAGAAGCAGGAGCAGGCACTTCTGAGCCTGCAGGGCTTCCCGAGCCCCCAAGAACACATGGATGCTTGGGTCTGTAGCCACATCTAGGCAGCTGCAGCTGCAGCTGCACCTGGGAGTGTGGGTTCCTGTCCCGCCAACTCTGTAAGGTGCAGGGCTCCTGCTAGGATCACCTGTTCCTGGCCCTTGCTGGTTCTAAGTGAACAGGCCTTCCCCACTGCAGCGGGTGTCCTCGCAGTGGCCAATCCAGACGGGCCACCATTGCCACCATCAATGTGGTTACCATTTCTTATGCCCTTCATTTCTCTGGGTAGATCCTATTTACATCTGAGCGTTTTTCTTTTGCCTGAAGGCCTTCTTTTAACATTTCTTACTGAGAGAATTTACTGATGATGAAATCATTCAGCTTTTGTATGCCTGAAAACATCTTCACTTTGCCTTTGTTTTCAAAATTTTTTTCTGGGAATATAATTTTAGTTGGACAGTTACTTTTTCTTTTAGTAATTTAAAAGTGTTGCTCTACTGTTTTCTCTTAGTGTTTGCCATGACAAAATTTGTGTCACTCTTAGTTTCTGGTAATGTAACTTGTCTTTTTTTTTGACTGCTTTTAAGTGTTTTCTCTCTAGTGCTGCTTTTGAGCATTTGGTTACATTGTGCCTTACCCTAGTTTCCTTCATGTTTCTTGTGCTTTAGGTTTGTTGAGCTTCTTTGATCTAGGATTCATCATTTTTATGAAGTTTGGAAATTTTGGGTTATTATTTCTTTAAGGTTTTTTCCCCTTCTCTTCTGCTTTACCTTTTCAGGGACTCCAATTAACCAGATACTAGATAGTTTGAACTCTTCCTAGAGTTTCCTGTGCTACTTTGATTTTTCTTCATTCTTTTTTCTCTTTGCATTTCAGTTTGGATAGTTGCTGTGTCTCAGGTTCACCAGTCTTTTCTTCTGCTATGTCAAATCTGTTGTTAGTCCTATTCAATGTGTTTTTCATCTCCGACAGCAGTTTCATTTCTAAAGATTTGGTTACAGTGTTTTTAAAAATACTTACAAGTCTCTATTTAACTGTTTGAACTTTTGGAATACAGGTACAATGATTGTTTCAGTGTCCTTGTTTGCAATTAACCTCAGTGCCACTTCTGGGTTGTTTTCACTTTATTGATTATTCTACTCATTATGGGTCATGCTTTTCTGCCTCATTGTGTAACTGGTGATCTTTGGATGCCAGACATTGTGAATTTTACCTTGTTGGATGCTAGGTATTTTGGTATTTCTATAAGTCGCCTTGAGCTTTGTTCTGGGATGCAGTAAAGTTACTTAGAAAAACTTTGATCACCTGGAGTTTTGTTATTGGCATTTGTTAAGGGAAATCTGGAAAAGAGCTTAGTCTAGGCCTTGGTTATTCCTCATTACTTTTGCAAGACCTTTTTGAGTATTCAATCTAATCATCTGTGAAGTATGAGTTTTTTAGTCTCTCTCATGGGAACAGGCACTGTTCAGAGTCCTGTGCGAGTCCCAAGAAATGTTCTCTATAATTCTTTTGGGTGTTTCTTTCCCCAGCCTTGAGTAGCGTCCCCCTGCTTTCGAGCCAGTCTGTACTGTGTTGCAGGTGAACCCTCTGTAGATCTCCAGGGCTCTCTCTCTGTGTAATTCTCTTCTCTCTAGTCCTCTATCCTATGAACCCCAGCTGCCTTGATGTCCTCAGACTCAACTCTGTCTCCTCAATTCATCGAGTTGGCCTGGTTCTGCCCCAGTTTCATCTCCTGGTATTGCACCCTGGAAACTCTCCAGACAATAAGGTGGGTCAGTTATAGGGCTCTCATTTGTTTCCTGCATCTCAGAGATTACTGTCATTAGTTACTTCATGTCTGGTATCTTGAAAACCATTGTTCATATATTTTTCTGAGTATTTTTTGTTGTTTCAGGCAGGAGACTGTATCTAGTCACTGTTTCTCCATCTTGACCAGAAGTGGTTCTCCCATATTTCATTTAACAACATCATGAAATCTCTTTCAGCCAAGCTCAAGACCATAATTTGTCCTTCTCTGCCTTCTCTTTTGACCCAATGCCTTGTTCTTTCAGTCTTGTCAGTTCTTACTTCCTAGTATATTTGACATTCTTTTGTACTTAATGGTAAAAATCTTTAGGTAAACATCATCATTATTAACTTACACTAAAAAATAGTAAAATCATTGGAATGGAGGGAATATTGTCAGAATAGTTATAAGTTTTGGTGCCCTATCCCAGTGCCATCTTTAAGGTGAGTATTCAGGGAATATTTCTTATACATCTTAATTCAGTGTAAAATTTGCATGTTTTATATGTTGATAGAGCAGAATTATTTCAGGATGAGTATATTTGTTTAGATCTTTTAAAAAATGTATCTTTAGGGAGGTTTGTGCTTTTCCAGACTGAGCCAGAATGCTCGTACTGCATTTTGGATTTACACACACACACACACACACACACACACACACACACTACTTTTTTACTTTCCAGTTTCCCCTGTTACTTGGTGTGCTGCTTGAAACCAGACTTGCCATTCTTACATCTCCAGAACCTCATACCATGCCTGGCATAGTGGCACTCAATTAAGGTCTGATGATTTGTACTGAGTAAGCTATAGTTTTAGGCTTGGAGCATTGTTAAGGCTTTGCATAGAATCTCTGCATTATACAGAATCTTAACTGTCTCTACATTACAGTATAATCCACATCTGCATCTTTGCAGCTTGCTATTATACATCTTTGGTTTGCTGTGAAAGAGCTGTCAGAGAATGAGCTCTTTATTGCTTAGAATTACTAGTTAACTATTGTTTTGCCATTGATCAGAATGTCTCCTTTTTCTGTTCTGCTGTATTCATTGTGGTATTTTGTTGTAATCAGAGATAGTCTTGGAGGTGCAAGACTTATTGGATCTCCGTTTGTGCCATTGTCGCAACATCACTGACTTGGTGAGGATCAGTCAGGGGTTTCTTCCTTCTGTTTTTGTCATGGCAGTCTTACTTTTTGAAACATTTGTCACCTTCTCTGATCCTGCCTCCTGCTTTTCCCCATCTGCACTCTGACCTATACTGTTTTAGAAGGAAAAGATAATAAAGGTCAGATTTTATAAAACTCTGTTCAAGAAATACTGCATAAAGGGCTCTTCAAGATAAAAGACTACCCCGCTTGTCAGGCAGCCTGCTAATTTGAGAGTGCTGACGACTTACCTTGATGAGGCAATCTTCGAATTGATGACTCTTTTTAATTAATTGTCTTTTCATTGATAAAACAGAATTGCTTTGTTTTCCTTTTACTGCCCATCTCTTCCTCACAAAATATGTTTCCTCTCCGAACACACAAACTGTGTTTTCAGAATCTCCCCTGAGTCTGGAGGTCTGGACAGTAGTGTGTTTGTGTGCTTGTGTGTGTATATGTGTGCACACACATGCACAGCTTGTGTGCATGGTATCTGTGATTTCTGTGTGTGCTTATATTTTTCACTATTTTGGATTCATCCAGTTCTATAAAGACATACTTGCTTGCTTTGCATGGTTCTGGCTCCCTCTGCAGCCCCAAATGGAAAAGTGCTTTGTTGTCTTTTGTTGCTGAAAAATCCAGCTCTCGGCCTTCTTTCTTTGAGTAGAGCATCCCAGCTGGTATACAAGTATAGATTGGATTTCAGATTTAGCAATGCATTGTGTTTTGACAAAGCTTATTGAAGATGGAAGTCATTTTTCAGGAGCGCTCTAAGAGGTGAGAAAATGGCAAGGGAGGGTGGGGAGGAAAGGGAGAAAATGCAGAAGAGGCAGACACAATTGCAACATTGATTTGGTAAATAGAAAGTTAATGTAGCTACAGGTATTGACAGTAAACTTTGGCTAAGATATTGGAGAATTGCAGATTGGAAGGCTAGAGCTATTTCAGAATTTCCAGGGCCATTTTATTGGATTATACACCTTAGAACCTTAACACACAGCTTCTGTTGATTAGTACAGTTTGGCCTCCAGTGTGAGTTTGGCTTTGAACACTCAGTGTGACTTTGGCTAGGGCTTGGCACCTGTGGACTTCAGCTTCTACTTTAGTAAAATGAATGAGTTAGAACAAATAATTGTTACATTCAAATCCAGATTTATGAGTGTACGATAGTGGCTTCACATTATTTGTTTTAAGTTACCGTTGAGAATTTGGTTCTCAGTAATCTAGAGCTACTATTTTAGCAGAATTATACATGGGATGCAGAATAGAAGCTTTTAAGCAACAGTCAACCAGATTGGTCTATAATAACTCCAGGATAAATACAAGAAGAATTTCTGGACACATTTTGCCCCAGTGAAGTAAAATTATTTACATTCAAGGATGGATTTGGAAATGCAGGTATTTTTCTGTTGATCTGCACGTTGGTTACACTGGTGTGTTCAGTGTGTAATTACACTTCCATGCAGTTATTTTTGTTTTTGTGTTAGATTTCAATAAACTATTATTTTTTCTAACAGATCTTAAACTTTAATGCTTCTTTAGAGTACTAATCAAAGTACTGTTACATAAGTAATGGCTCATGTGTGCGCACAGGTGTCTGCTCTGTGAAGTAGTCCATTTCAAATTATACCACATTAAATTGTGTCTGCTTTAAAGGGTTAAAATAAGTACATGTATATATTTAGATATATAAGATGACTTCTATTTAATAGATAATTAGAATGTTTATGTAATAGATTTATGCTTTCAGAGATTTCATATTCACAAAGTAAGTTTTGGAACCTTGAAACATGGATAGGTCAGTGTCATTTGGTTTCTTTTTTCTTCGTTTAATCCTTTTCAGGACTTCGGCTCCCTGTGAGTTGTTAATGTATAGTGTTTATGAATCCAAATAACATTCATTAACTTTCTTGGAAGGTCACAGTTATGTTGGTTCTGTTCGAAATAAGTACTATAAATTTTTTAGAATAAAAAAGGAAAGTATTACAGTGAGTTTTGCTATCCACTTGCCACTTTCCTTTCCCTTCCTTTTTTTGTTTTTTGTTTTTTGTTTTTTGGTAGGGAGGGAGGTCTCCCTGTGTTGTTTAGGTTGGTCTCAAACTCTTGGCCTCAAGCAGTCCTCCCACCTCAGCCTCCCAAAATGTTGGGATTACAGGTGTGAGCCATTGCACTTGGCCCTTTCCCATTTTTGTGCTTGACTAGTATAAGTGTCATTTTTGTTTTCTTGAAACCTTTGTTCTTTCCCATGTGAATACACATAGGATGACAATAGTCACAAAACTCTTTCCGTACTTAGAAGACTAAAACCAGAAATTGTTGCTTGAACATGTAATGGATAATTGTTAAAATTCTGCACTGGTTTGTACTGTTCTCGAATTTTTATGTAAAGGTCTAGTTTAGAGATTTATTATTTTTATTGTTTAGACTTAAAAGGAAAACAGTTAGCTGCGGAATCTAGTTTTTATCCTGGAGCGAAACTCATATAACCTTGTTGATTTTAGTGGGAATTAGAAAGTTCAGACTCTTTTTTTAGAGGTCTCCCAAAATTGTTTCCACTCTATGTTGAAAGGAACTCTAATCTACAGAAGTGGAGGTGACAGTAAGGAGGGCAGGGGATGCTCTTCCCAAAGGAGTTTCTACAATGCAGCTGAGTTAGAGTGCAGTAGAAAGAGCGAGATCTCATAGTGGCATGTTCCTGTCACAGCATGTGTATAGCAGTCACAGACTCTGAACCCAAAGACTGTATTTCTAGTTGGAGCAGACATTGACTCCTTTTTCTGGGCTGAAAACAGTGAAGTGTATTGGTTTTGGTAGCTTGGGTTATAAGAAACCTAAATTAGTTTGAAGTGGAATTATCCTGATGAAAGGGCAGTTGAAAGCCCTTGACACTGGACAGAGGATTGTCTAGTGTCTAATCTTGGCTCAAAATGCACCAGACATAATGAGAGTCATTATGAACTGCTGATCTCCTACCCCTCCCCTCAGCAGACCCTATTAGACTTGCAAAAATAGCAAACACTGTGTGTGTTTGGCATGGTGCCTGCTGTGTAGTAGAGGAAGAAAGCGTACCTTGTTTGCACCACAACCAGATACTGGTGCATCATGTTACAGCTCTGCTTGGTTCTGAGCTCCTCTGTTCAATCTCGTCTTGACAGATGCTGTCGTTGCCACCCCTTAGCAAGACAAATGCAGCCACTCTGCAGGAGTTGGCTTTTGCCCAGCTGTGCTTGCCAGGGCCCCAAACTGATGTGCGTGTGTACCTGTGGAAAGGTAACAGGCTGTGGGTGTGTTATCCTCTGCCATTATGTGCATTACCTTTTGAGTTTTTGCCATTCCCGAAGGAAAAGTTACGGTTTTGTTTGTTCAGATAAATCTGAACCCTCAATTTCTCTTACTGCTTTTTTCACAACAGATGTTGTTAGGCACCCACTAAAGATCCCCAGGAAGGGTCCCTGCCCCATATAAGCTCACTTTCTCTGTAGGTAGAAAGAAATGCAAACAGTCACATAATCACAACCTTAATAGCTATGTGTATAAAGGACTCTGGGAAAAAAGGACGGAGGGGATCTTTGGAGGTGCATGCCAGGAGAGAGTTGTCTCATACGAGCTATGAAGGTTAAGTATTGCTTAGGAGGTGTAGATATATGTGTTGCCAGGGTCCAAGGTGAAAAAGGAGAAGTGGTTTGAAATGAGCTTGGTGAACCTAGGTTTGGGCCTGGTTTTGAAGGCTACTGGCAATAGGGAATCATCATAGAATTTTAAACTAGGTGAGTAGCCTTTTCAAAATTTTTTTAGGAAGCATTATTCTGGTTTCAGTCTGGAGAATAAGATTATATAAAAAGTGCTGAGAGTTGGAAAAGTGCCAGCCTATTATGTTGGGAGAAGGAAGCATGGAGAGGTTTTAGATGTGACCATTAGTTCAGATAGAGTAGTGAAGGGAGATAGGACTTAACCAACAGGAAGAGAAATTAAAGAGAGTAAGAAAGGAAGGTCTAAGGTTTTCAGCTAATACTCCCCAGGCATAGTATTTATAGGGAAACAGGGAAGGTAGATTTCAGTTTGGGGCAGACTGGATTTAAAATACCTGCGGAATATGTAGGTATTAATGAGTAAATTTCAGTGTGAAGTTTGTACCCAGAGTTGAGAATAGAGCAGGCTGGGCACATAGGGTTCTGGGATAATTGATGTTACAAATTAGAGTCTGGTTTAGCGGTTAGAGCCATGAGACCCTCTAATCCAAGTTTGATGTCCCATGGCAGTTTGATGCAGGATGGGACCAACATTATAGACCTACTGTTACCTGCTAAAAAAGGCATTTAGTATATTTCACTCCTGAGTCCAGAAAGCCATTTACCAAGAGCATATCTGAATTTGTGCGGCAGGGAATAATATAACAATGAGTTCTGTGTATTCACAATTTAGGAATTAATTTCACAAGACCACAGGTTGGAAATTCTTGTCCTCTAATGGGATTGAGCCTTTGTGGAAAGAGTGTCACCTGTATTTTCCTCATCTCAGTAGATGAAGTAGTTACTGTTTCTTTCCCACATTCAGCCAATAGCATACATTTTGTAGAAAGCAACTAAAGTTTTTCCTCCAAAGCTTTAGGCCTCTTCTCTTTCAGTTCCTCTTGGTAAGACCTGGCCTGTATTGGTCAGTCTGCCTGTTCTTTCTACTTGGCTTACACCATCTGCCCATTGGGACCTACAGATTTTTTTTGTTTTGTTTTGTTTTGTTTTTGAGACAGAGTCTCTCTCTGTCGCCCAGGCTGGAGTGCAGTGGCGTGATCTCGGCTCATTGCAAGCTCCACCTCCTGGGTTCACGCCATTCTCCTGCCTCAGCCTCCCGAGTAGCTGGGACTACAGGTGCCCGCCACCACACCCGGCTAATTTTTTGTATTTTTGGTAGAGATGGGGTTTCACCCTGTTAGCCAGGATGGTCTCGATCTCCTGACCTCGTAATCCACCAGCCTAGGCCTCCCAAAGTGCTGGGATTACAGGCGTGAGCCACTGTGCCTGGCTGGGACATACAGATATTTTTTGGCTGCTTATAAGTTTTTGTTCTCCTAGGGGATTTCTGGGACACTTAAATATGATTATATCCATCAGTGAATGAACAATCCATAGAGTTGACATCAGTGGTAAATACAGTAATGTGAGAGTCTAAAACGTGAGCCAAAGTTCCATTTAAAAGATCTAAATGCAAATTATCTCACTAAACTTGAGAATTATTGATCATCTCTGTCCCTTTCTCCTTTTTCTCTCCCTTTTCTTTCCGTCGTTCCTCCCTCTCTTTTCCCTTTACCCTCTTCTCTTCCTTTCCCCGCTCCCTGTTCTCTCTTCTCTTTCCCCCTTTTTTCTTCCCCTCCATCTTACTTTCCCTTCTCTCTCTTCTCATTTGATATAACTGACAGATTTGAGCAGAACTGTGAGGCTCTTAGGAGCTGTGTGTGATGTGGAGTGGCCAGATGACTTTATGTGAGTATGCACGAGGGACTGTAAAGAGGCTGTCCAGAGGCCAGCCTCCCTCCAGGTTGTTCCTAACCCTGGAGAGTCATCATATGTTATTTCTCATCTCAGACTGCCACAGAATTGAGGAGGGAGATTGAAGGCAGCTCATTAAACCACTTTGGCCACAGATAAGAGTGTTAAGAGATTAAGAAGTAGATTTATCTGGGGGAGGGGTTTGGTCCCGGATGAAGCCTTTTCCTGCCGTCGGAAACCAAAGATTTCCTTGTCTCTTTTGTTCTGATCCATGGAATGGTGTGGCTTAGCTGCCTCTAAATCTGTTTTGGCAAGGTTGTTTGTAAGGAGACATGGCAGGGTCTGTCTGGAGGGAACAGAAAAGAGAGTACATATTGAATGTAGATGCTTGAAACTAGATCATAGTTTACCTAATTGCAGACCTTGAAGAAACTCTTGGGGCCACTTGGATGGGGGTGCTTCTGGAAGTTTGTCTCTGGGGGTATGTGAGTATGGACCTCTTCCACACTGAGAAGAGGGCAGAGCCCAGTCATCAGTTTTCATGTCCCTGAGTACAATATTAGGCTTCTTTTTATTATTATCATTATTTCAACTGGTAACAATGTTTCCCCTCAGGAAATGTCTTTACCTCTCTGAAGAGAAGACCGTGATGCCAGCTGTTAGTTTGAGAAATGCTGCAGGGTCCTCTCCTACCTGCTGTTTCTGTGCTCTTTCCATGTGTTGTGGTGAAGCCCCTACCTCTCCAGCCATGGGGCCTTGTTCTTCATCATTTGTTCCTATCTTCAGTTTGGGATGTGGCAAGGAGAGGCAGAGTGCACTAGAGAAATCTGATACTGTAATGTGCTAGGAGACAGCATGATGAGAGGTTTTGGGTGGGAAGTCCATGCTAAACATCTTAAATGCTTCAGAAACTTCTTTACAGAATTCTCTGCCTTTAGGATTCTCCTGTTCAATAAATATATTTTTCACCACTTTAGAAATAATCTTCTTAAAGCCCTTCCTTGAACTCATGCATCTGTAATGACTGCCCATGACCAGCAGTACTACATTGTGGAATGCAAGACCTAATTAGTCTAAGCATGAAAGACCTTTTAGTTTCATCAGCTAAGCCCCCTTGTCCTCCCAGGCATTCCTCTTTCCAGGTGCTGTCTCCTTCTGCAGCTTCCCGTAGGCCTCTTCCCACTGCTCTTTCTGCTCTTCTATAAAACTCCACATTTAATGCCTACACCTTACCAAACTCCAGGAAACTTCCTTGACTCTTGCGGGCTATATGGATCTCTACTTATTTTAGTTTTTGCTGTTGCAGGAGGAAAGTATGATTTTTAAAATACAATAATCCTTTTGTATGTCTACAGAAGAATGTGGTTTGGTGAGTTTTACATTTGATGCATGATTGTATCCACCATTGTGAGATTATAAATAAATCTCAAGACATGACCTTGCCCTGAACCCAAAACTAAACATGAATGAAACTATAGAAATAACTGGATAACCTCTGGTACATAGAGGGTCGGTGTTACAGGGAGATAAGCAGTACACCCTAACCTAGGGAAGTGCAATGAGCAGAGAGGGGATGGAGTATGTAGGTGGAGAAGTGGCTAAGTGTCTTAGATAGACAAGGTGGAACCAAAGTACATAGAGCCTGGAAGCTGCAGAAAAGAACGTAGGCTAAGAAACAAGATCAATTATAGGTGGTTGAGTAGGTGAGTAAGACAGAAATGTGTGAGGTGATTGGAAGGGACTGCTACGATAAGCCAGCTGTGCTTACAATGGTGAAGATAAGGAATGGTGACTTGGGAAGATGTATTGGAGAAAAATGATAGGGCCTGCTGACTGAGCAGCTCAAGCTTTATGGGAACTGCTGATCATGTTTTTAACTGCTATAGATATATTTGATTTAAGTAAATCAATTTGTAAAGATTTAGATTTCATAATGATATCTTAGACCATATTTGCACAGCAAGTGAAACTTAAATACTCTTGTATCCCTATCACATCATGTTATCTTTAACATGTGTATCAACTTTCTTACCTATAAATGCTGGTGACACCTCCCAGTTTTCTAGGCTTAATTTGTAGAGGGCTCAACATGTGAACAATGAATTTGGTGCACCATTCAAGAAGTAAAATTCAATCATTTTTTTCTCCTATTCATTTCTAAGGATAGGAATCTTTGCCTTATAGAAATATTTTAAAGGAGCCCCCTTAAATGTCACACTCTCTTTAGGCTTAAACTATTCTTATTTCCAAAATGTAACATCAGAAGTTCAGAAATTCTTTCTACTTAGGTTCTCTGTGCCCCACACAACCTCACATTTTTGCCTGAGTCTCCCCAGTCTTGCTGCAGGAGCTGGGGTAGCTTCAGCCCACTTACATCCTGCCAGGGGATAAACTTGATACCTTTTGCTTTCATGAAACACTATCTGTGTGAAGTGAGCTCTTTGATCCACAGTCTTTTATGCTGAAGCTAAGGGAGGATTAAGGAACACCTCTGAGTTGATGAATATTTGATGAGGTTTATATAATTTAAAATTACACTCTTGTTAACCCTTTCACTCAATGGAGAGAGAAGAGAAACTTGTATAATCGTGGTTCCTACTTAGGCATAAGGTACTGTGTCTTCTCTGGGTGCATCCTCCTTATCTATGTAGAGCAGAGCATGGGAACTTAGTAAATGTCAATTGATGATTGGCATTTTTTACAGCTTCATAGAGAGAAATATCTCTTTGCTTCATTATAACCATACTGAGTGAGATGCTGAAGTGGAATTGGGATCACACAGTATCTGTGTATTTGACATTGCATGTATAATGGTGAACAAGGCAGATATTCCACTCATCATAACAACAACAGTAGTAATCATACCACCAGGAAGCATTCTTTCAGTGCTTACTGTATGCAAGGCTCTATTCTAAACTCTTTTCATCCATTTTAATTCTTAGAACAAACTTATAAGGTAGATGCTATTATTATCATTTCTATTTTATAGGTAACACAACCCAGGCACAAAGAGACTAACTCCCACAAGGTTTCACAACTTACAAATAGCAGAGTCAGGATTTGAACCTGGGCAGGCAGTTCTCAGAGCCTGCGTTCCTAACTTCTGGCTGGACCCCTCATGGTGAGAAGGGCAGAGAGTTGACAAATCCTCTGAAGTATGGTGAGTTCTGTAGGAGTCTGCAACAGGGCGAATTAACCTAGGGAAGAGGAAGGCTGGGAAGGCTTTCCTGAGAAAATGTCTTTTGGGATGAAACATGAAGGATGAGTAGGTGCTCTCTAGGTGAGGGCTCATGGACAAAACTATTCCAACATGTGTAGTGGCCACAGGCTGGACAGAATAAAATAGGTGATTTGGAGGAACAACAGAGAGAAGCCCATTAGGGGTAGAGAAAGTGAGAGAGTGTGTGTCATGGAGTGATGCCACAGGGGCCAAATCATGAAGTCCTCCGTAGGTCCCACTTCCAGGATGTGGGTCATGGAAATATAAAGGGCTAAGGACAAACGGAGCATTCAAGGGGTAGAACCATGGGTATAACATGATGAGATGTAAGCTTTAACGTGTTTCTCACTAGTGATGTGTCTAAGTCATAGAGGGAGACAGTAGAGGACAAGAGTGCAGTCAGGCAGCTGATGCTGTAATCCAGGTGAAGGAGGATGGCAGCCTGGACCAAGGTAGTAGAGGTAAGGATGGATAGAAGCTTAGGAGCTTATTAGGATGCAGATAATAGGAGTTCTGGATGTGGGAGATGAGGGTGAGGGAGGAACCAGTAACAATGCCTATGTTAACAGTCAGAAGAAGGTTACAATGTAACCAGACTGGAACATGAACAAATTATCTGCAGTGGAGCTTATTTGCTCAAAAGAAGGATCCTGCAAGAGAACATGGATGGCTTGTGTCATCCAAATATGGATGGCTTTGCCCAGTTAGAGAATAATTCCTGCTGAGAGAATACACATGCACGCAAGCATGTACACACGCACACACATTTGTTGTAGAGGGTTATACCCTCCCAAGTTAAGGTAATTTCATAATTGAGGTCGACCCTCTCGATGTGGTACCATTGATAAGCCCCAGCACTACAGTTCAGCTACCAACACTGAGTTTCTCATTGAGTCAAAGCGTGGGATGATCTGACAGCGTCAGCAGCACTGCACAACAGTGGGAGGGACGGATGAATGCCACATCTATAAGGAATTGCCACTTGGATTCAAGAGGAAAAGGGGTAATTATCCACATGGGTAACAATTTCAGTTTCATTTCTCCCTTGAGCTAACTCTATTCACCTCAAACGTCTTTCCTGTCTAGAGAACCACCAAAAGTGTCATTCTGATTACCATTTGTAACTAGGTGTTTTCTGCTTAACATTTGGAACTGGGTGGGGTGAGATAAATTCCAAGAAGATGGGAAGTTTTTATATTGCAGTTTATACTACAGCAGCAGCTCCAGTCTGCCCTACAGACCTTCTAGATTTTTTTTTTTTTTTTGGCTGTGTGACAGGTGCCTGTGGAGTTTATATTTTGATATTTGATCAAACTTTTTAAACCTGAGCTTGTAGTAACCATTATAGTCGTCATGCTTGAGAATGTGTATTTGCTAGTAGTATAGAGTTAACCTCAGTTTATGGGGGCAGGGATTACTTTGTGAGGAATTAAATGTGGTGTTTGAAAAACTGGGAAGTGAAGATCTTCTGCAACACAGGAGTTTCTAAAGGAAAAACAATTGGGCCAGACTGGATGAACTGGTTAGATTAAATGCTATCTTCCTGACTCAGGGTTATTATTTTTGGTTGCTTATTTTATTTTTAATTGTTGAAGATTTATTGTACCATGCTTTGCTCAGGACAGTGTGTAAGGTATTTAGGGAAAGACCTGAAAGAGACAGGAAGCATGAGCCCTTCCATCAGGCACCTGAATAACTGATGGTGGACATATTGAGAATACGTAGAAAATTTGTATCTTATGGTCATATTGCACTTCAGACTTTTCACAATGCCCTTGTATCTCTGTTACTTGATTCTAGTTTTCTTGGCTCAGCATGCACAGTTGTTTTCTTTACTTGTTTATGGTCTGTCTCTCCCACTTAAATATCAGGTCCTTGAGAGCAGATACTTGTTCTCAGCTACAGCCCAGCACCTAGATCAATACCTGACATATTGTGGGCACTCAGTAAATCTTAGGAGGATAAATGAACAAAAAACCTATCTTCTGAATATCAGTGATAATCATATAAAACAGGCTTGGTATGCTACCATTTATGTACTTCTGATTTTGTGTTTTGACAGGTTTTCACCTAAGGTTTGTAGTAGTTGGTTTTCCTCAGAGAAGTTTTTGGGCTATTTTTCTTTTTAAGAAAGGGTGAGTGATGTCATTATGAAGTTGAAGCTATAGGACTAATCATATACTTGCCCTGCATCTATGGTGACTTTTTTTTCTACTGGAAAGAAAGCCCGCTATTAAATAATTATTACTTCCAGGTCTGAGGGAGACTGTCCAGCATCTGCAAGAGTTTTGCTAGGATGCAGGGCTTTGTTCCCCCACTGGGCTGTGATTCCATCCATGGAGTAAGCTGCATTGTGGTAGCAAGTCATCTTGACAGTGGCAAGTATAGCATATTTCAACTGGTGATTTCTGCATGATTTGCATGAATTTCTGTATGACAGGAGTCACAACAAAACTGTTACGTGACTTGTGTCTAAAGCTATCAGTCAGCTGGAGCTGTGAAAATCAGTTTGCATGTGTCAACAATTTAATCTTCTAATATGCTTGCCAATAGAAAACTGACACTAGAATTATTTTTCTGTATTTACTGACTAGAAAGATATGGTTATCAAGTGCACTGATTGAAAAATCTTTAAATTCCAGTCTTTAAATCGGGACCATATGTGTGTTCTTTCCCTAGCCAAATCTATTTGTGCATTCACCCACACATGTGTATACATATACACACACAGTACAGTTACATTGATATGTGTTTGCGTTATATATGTATGTATTCACACAGAGCATGCATATGCCTCATGCATATTCATGAGCTTTAAATGTGCTTATAGATTAAGATATAAGGATGTTGGGGAAGTTTCCCTATCTGTTAACTGAGAATAATACTACTGCCTACCTTCCAAGCACCTTGTAAGAATTAAATTAGTTAATATAAGTAAAGTTCTTAGAACAAGGCCTGGAACATAGTATGTTTCCTATAAATATTAGCTTTTATTATTTTAGAGTATGTCTTCATTCTGTCAGCTTCAAATGGGCTTCAAAATTTAGCTTCAGAGGCAGTATGGCAAAGCCTCAGAATTATTGCATAATTCATTTGATGAATTTACTGTTATTCTAAAATGCCTGCAAACAATTTATATGTCATGCAGGAAATATTGGTATTTGTATTTCTAAATCAAAGCCATTTATTAAATACCTTAGTCATATTGATTCCTGTTATAGTAAATTACTTCTCTTTCTATGTCATCATTATCTCCTAGGGTCTATCAGGGAGATATTTTCAGTGAATTTGTCTTTCATTATCAGACTAAAACTAACTTCACTGAAAACATCTTCATTTGGGATTTGAAAGAGAACAAATTTTCCATTTACTAAGAAAAAAATAGGTGTTTGTGTATTGGTATAAAAATAGGTATGTATGTAAGTGATCAAATAGAAAATAATGCAAAGGGACATAGAAGAATTTGGGAATGGAGGTAACATACACCTAGAAAAACAGTGACAAGGGCACATACTATTTTGAAGCAGGTTTTAGCAGGTAATGATGGTACTCACTGTGGGAGGAAGGTGTGAATCATCAGTCAAAACGAGTGTACAAACTGGTGATATGAAATGCTGCTTAACAGTTGTTTTAAATAATTAGATTTTTGTTGGGGATAAATAGTTCATTCCAGACAAAAGTACTAGGGACTCTATAGCTCATCTAACTTCATAGATTAAAATGAAGGCCCAGATAATTAAAGTGAAGACCTCAGAGTTAGTTAATGGAAGTGCAAGTTTCAAAACCAGGCTGCGATGTGGGGGAGACAGTGTCCTCCATGACAGCTCTTTAACAGATGGCATAGAAACTCGACTTGTGACCTTGAGGGGCTCACTTCAGCTCTCTAAGAATAATTCCAGCCCAGAGCTACACCATATATAGAGTCTGTAGACTATTCCTAATAAAATGGTTTTCTTGTCTTAGAGAAGAGAAACTCAGCACATACCTACTTTGAGTCAGGTTTGGGCATGCTCGAAAAGGGGGCAGCGTTTTTAGATGGAGACTGCTGGAGTAGACTCAGGGTCTCTTTCAGCATGGCTGCCTGTGTGATTTGATTCATGTGCACTTTAAAAACCTGTTTTATCTAAGTGTAAGACTGTAGAAGACATATATATTTAGGGTATTGCATTGATTTTTGGAAACCATTTGTGTAGGGTACAGTATCTTTGAATTTCACTATAGTAACCGAGTTACAAAATGGGCCACTGGGTCTGCTGGGCTGAGAACCATCAAACTGAATGGTCAGCAACTTTGTTCATGCTTCATCTACTTTTTCTTTTCAATCATTTGGGGACAGATAATCTTTTGGTCGCTTTTTAGACTAACTTTGAGATTCAGAGGGGCAGTGTATTCTTGGCTAAAACTTTTTGTACGAGGCACACTTTCTTTTAAGGTTTGTGATTTTACCCTTACGTATCAGATTTCATGGTATCCAAATGCAAACATGTATTTAACAGTTGGTAGGGATGGGAGAGTTTGAGGACAGCAAAGCAGCCTACTTTGATGAAAGGGTCAGATAGATTTTAGGATCTGCACCCTTTCTTAGCATCCTAAGCATTTTGAGAAGCAGTTGTATGTAGGTAAAAACAAACAAACAAACAACTTGGTAGTTGGTGTCAGCTGAACTGCTTTTTACTGAATCTCTGCTGTACTAGCTGTGTGGCTCTGAGGCTTACTTCCCTAGTCTGCAAAGTAAAGGTAATGATACCTGTTTCACAATTTAAAAAATAGATTTATTGAAATATATTTCACATACCATAAAATTCCACTAATTTAAAATATATAGTTCAGTGATTTTAGTATATTCACAGAGATGCAGCCATCACCACAAGCAATTTTAGAACATTTTATCACCCATGAAAGAAATCCTGAACCCAAAAGGGCCATTTCCTCCCTAACTTCCCTAACTCTAGGCAACCACTGATCTACTTTCTGTCTGTGTGGATTCACCTGTTTTGGACATTTCATATAAATGGAATTATATAATATGTTGTGTTTTATGACTGCCTTCATTCACTTAGCATAATGTTTTCAATATTCATGTTGTAGCATGTATCAGTACTTCATTCTCCTCACCCCCCAGCTTTATATTAAAGTATAATTGGCAAAAAAGTACATATTTAAGATGTATAATGTGATGATTTGATATATGTATATATTGTGAAATAATTAGCATAATCAGGTTAATTAAACACCTTAATCCAAATCCATTGCCTTGCATAGTTACCATTTTTTGTTGTTGTTGTTTGTTTTTTTGGGTTTTTTTTTGGT
Organism: Homo sapiens; assembly: GCF_000001405.40. Taxonomy (NCBI): domain Eukaryota; kingdom Metazoa; phylum Chordata; class Mammalia; order Primates; family Hominidae; genus Homo; species Homo sapiens. The sequence continues at coordinate 69,945,641 of NC_000007.14, forward strand.
GATGGGAACACTAAGAATCTACTCTTCTAGTAAATATCAGGAATACAATACAACATTATTAACAGTAATCACCGTGACTGTACATTAGATCTTGAGAAAGTACTTATTTTCACAAAGTTTGTACCCTTTGATCACATCTTCCCATTTCCCTTGTCCTTGCCCTTGGCAACCACCATTCTACTCTCTGTTTTTATGAGTTGGATTTTTTTGTTTTGTTTTGTTTTCAAGATGGGCTCTTACTCTGTCACCCAGGCTGGAGTGCTGTGGCTCACGGCAGCCTTGACTTCCTGGGCTCAAGCAATCTTCCCACCTCAGCCTCCTGAGTAGCTGGGATTATAGGCTCGTGCCCACCATGTCTGGCTGGCTGATTTTTTATTCTTATTTTTATTAGTGACAGGGTCACACTATATTGGTTAGGCTGGTCTCAAACTCCAGGCCTCAAGTGATCCTCTCATCTCTGCCTCCCAAAGTGCTGGGATTATAGGCGTGAGCTACCACACACAGCCGAATTTGATTTTTTTGAATTCTACATGTAAATGAGATCATACAGTGTTTGTATTTTTATGTCTGACTTCTTTCACTTAGCATATGTCTTCCAGGTTCACCCAAGTTGTTACAAACTGCAGGGTTTCCAATGGTGTGTAGTAAAGGGGATCCTTGTATCGTGTTGATAGGAATATAAATTGGGACAGCATTATGGAGAACCGTGTAGAAGTTCCTCAAAAAATTAAATATAGAACTGCCGTAGGCTTTATCAAATCTGCTTCTCAGTATATATCTAAAGGAAATGTAGTCCATGTCTCAAATAGCTATCTGCACTACCATGTTCATTATGGCATTATTCATAATAGTCAAGACGTGGAAACAACCTTAAGTGTCCATTGATGGATGAATGGATAAAGAAAATGTGATGTGATACACACACACACACACACACACACACACACACACACACACACACACACACGCACGCACACAGAGACACCCTCTGTTATATGTGTGTATTGTATTATGGAATATTATTTAGCCATAAATAATGAAGTTCACTAATTTTTATTGCCAAATCATACTCCATTTTATGAATATATCACATTTTGTTTATCCATTCATCAGTTGATGGGCATCATATTTTTGTGACAGTGAAATAAGACGAAGTATATAAAGTGCTTTATGATGTCTTGAATATAGAAGCAACGTGTGTTTTGTTGTTTCTTTTCGTCTGGTTGGTAGATTTCTGGTGAATTATCAGCCGCCCCTCTTGCCTTGTGAGGCAAGGAAAGCAGTCTTATTGAGTAGACCATCTGTCTGCCAGTTCTCTCATGTTAGTCCTCAACTCATGGAAAATCCTGGTGGGCACTCGTTTGATACTAGAATTCACACTGCTTTTTTCAGCAGCCAGAAGTGTTTGAGTGTTACCAGCAGTGCTTGTTGTCGTTACAGATGCTCCGTACAAAACTGTAAATGCTGGGTTTAAAGGGATTGAGGGAGGGAGCCATTGCGGCTTACACAGATGTCAACTAATCTAGTGTTGATCCTCATTCTGAACCTGAGCATTGACACCAATATCAAGCTGTGGGGTAGTTATGTTGTGTGCAAGGCTTGGAGGGAAATAGTGCTTTGGCAGTTCAGTGCTTGCCGACTTCACAAAACACAGAAAATTGCTGAGGGCTTATGTGACAGAAAGTTCATGTTACACATATGGGCATCTTGGCGAGAAAAGCCACTGATCGTCTCAGTGTAAGGATTTGGAATTTCAAAATCCTAAATGATTACTAAATGACAAGTAAAATCTTGATTGAGATAGATCGTTGCTAACGTCCAAAGAGATTATCTAAAAGCATTGATTTTTATTTTGTTGGCTGTGGAAATACCGTGGAATTCATTTATTAAAAGTAGTATGTCTAAGTTTCTACTTATTTTAGATACTGTAATATAAAATTATAAACAAGGCCCAATTGTTGTTACCCACTAGGCAGATTTTTTTATTATCCAAGTTTCTGTTTCGGGCCATGAAACAAGTTAAAATCAAAACTTTCGCTGGTTGCCATTTTAAAGATAAATTTGTTATATAGGCTTTCTAAGCTTGGTTGCCTTGCTCCACAAAGACAAAACATTAATAATAGCTTACATGTATTGAGCAGTGAATCTGTGCTAGGCTTTGTGTTAACCACTGTATATTTGGATTATCTCATTGATCTAAGGTAGGTACGGTTGTTATTCCCTTCTTATAGGTTAGGAAACTGAGGCTCAGAGAGATTAAGTAACTTGCCCAATGTTACACAGCTTGTAAGTGGCATTTCTGTTTAAAGCTTCCCATTTTATAAAGTTTTGTGTTTTTAAATATGCTTTAGAATTTTAAGTTTTTACTCTGTTATTATTTCGCGAAGTCCTATGTCTACATACACATCAAAGCAATTCTGTGGTTCTTAGGGAATTATTTAATAAATGAAATAGCCATAGACTGTAATTACATTATGAGTGGCATCTTTTAGCTGTGCCCAGCGGTAGCCCAGTTGCTAATCTTTATCCCTTGAGTAGTCAAGTAGATAAGAAGTGGATAAGCAAGTGGAGTGGTGGCCACTCAAGCAGGCCTCCACCAGAATAATTCCAAATAACTTCACACAGTGAATTGCAACCCACTCAATCCACTTCACTGGATAGCATTGCTCAAAAGATATTCTTTTACTCTTTTATCTACCTTGTTGGCAAGCATCCCCAAGAGGTCTTATGCCTGTGGCCTACAGATCAAAGATATTTTCTCAAATACTGGGAACTTTGCTGCTAGTTAGAATTAAGCAAATAAAAACATACACCTCCAGAATGTAAGCAAACTAGTTTAAAACACTCCAGCCATTGTATTACTTATGCTTTAAAAGTTTCCCCACAAAACCTCATTAATCATATAAATATTTTGACAAACAGAAAGGGGACAGAGCAGACTTATTATTTTCCATCTTGTATGAATGGCTAGACTTTTCATCTGTGCTCTTATCCTAACATGTCTTTAACTCTTCTGTGCTAAGATTTTTATTTAAAAACAAGGAAATTGAGACTCAGTGAGATGAACTGCTTTATATCACTGTGGTAAGATGTGTTAATAGCATTTGAAAAGGAAAAGCCAAAATTTTCTTTCATTTATTTATTTATTTATTTATTTATTTATTTATTTATTTATTTATTTTGAGACAGAGTTTCACTCTTGTCACCCAGGCTGGAGTGCAATGGCATGATCTTGGCTCACTGCAACCTCCACCTCCCGGGTTCAAGTGATTCTCTTGCCTCAGCCTCCCAAGTAGCTGGGACTACAGGCATGTGCCACCACACCTGGCTAATTTTTGTAATTTTTAGTAGAGATTGGGTTTCACCATGTTGGCCAGGCTGGTCTCGAGCTCCTGACCTTAAGTAATCCGCCTGCCTTGGCCTCCCAAAATGCTAGAATTACAGACATGAGCCACCACGCCCAGCCTATTTCTTGATTTTTATTAGTCACCTAGCCTTATTGTAATTTGCACTTATCTACCATTAGAACATCATAAACCCAAGTGATGAACAGAATGGATGTAACTTAGTGCGTGTATGTAATGCATATGATGTAACATACATAAAGACAAATGGAAAATGCCTGCAAGATAGTTTCCCTGTTGTCTCATGCCTCAGCAGTAATGAAACATATACTGAGTGCTTATTGTGGGTCAGTTACTGTGTTAAATGTTTGTCACGAATCATCCCATCCAGTTCTCACAATCAACCTGTCATGTAGGTGCTATTTTTGTCCACATTTTTATAGATAAGGTGGCTGAGACTTAGAAAAAGCTAACACCACTTGCCTGTGGTCATAGAGCTAGCAATTAGCAAAGCCATTGCTTCTAACCAGTGTGCATTTTGCCTTGCACAATAAACTACATTAAAAGATTTACTTTAGTTTTTCTACCTCCCAATTGAAGCCACTATCAGATATATAGTCTAAACTTAGATTTGATTCTGTTTAGAAACACTTAATGTTCCTAATGTTATCAGGAAATTTGCTGTTCATTTTTTCAAGATCTGAGTAGAATGTCACATTCTCCATGAACTTTCCATGATGCTCTTCTTCCAAATGTTTCTGTAGCACCTGGTTGTAGCCTGGCTCTTAGGATTCCCCTGTCTGTGCTCTGGACTTCTTTAGAAGCACCTTGTCTGGTTCAGTTACTGCCTTTGTTTGTATTGCTGGCACATTCCTTTGTGCTTGGTGCATAGTAGATAATTAATAGATATTTGTTAAATTGAACTGGATGCTTAATAAATGTTTGGATCTAATTATGATCTTAACTCTGGTGTGTACTTCAGGTACTTCAGGAAGGTCATTGCAGCATTAGATGACTATGGAGACCCTCAGTGTTTTAGACTGAGATGACTTGCCATTCCTACAAGAGATCAATTGAATGAATAATTGGGGCTGATTTTTCCCTAAGTATTGCTTAGAACATATACTGTTTTTTTTCTCCTCAAAAATTGCCAGTTATATTGCCATACTGGACAAAATAAAACTGTTAGCTATATATCTATATCTATACCTATATAAATTTTAAAAACGTAGCACAAAGTTTCTGCACCATACTTTGTGAGCAGCTCTGTGTATTCCAAGGCTCAGAAAATCAGACTTTCAAAGCTAAATTTTACCAATATATATCCCATTGAAATTTGCATGAGCAAGCAGAAATAATGTGGATGTTGGAGTTAGGTAAATGAATCAAATCCTGGTTCAGCCACTTTCTAGGTATGTGATTTTGGGCAAGATATTTAATTTTTTTCAACATAGTTTTTTTATTTTTAAAATGGAAAAGTTATGCACTGGCAGATTTGGAGGATGAAATAATATGTTGGGAGACAGTGTGTTAAGTTACTTCTCAAAAAGTTCTATTATAATTATAGGTTGCTAATTTTTGGCATATTTTCATTTTAAAACTTTTATTCTAATTTCATTCTTAAACAGTGTAAGCATATTCACAGTAGCTTTTCTGATCACCTTATACCCAAGCACTGCCACATGACTTCTGGTCCAGTGTTCCAAGTGAAGGCCAAGTAATGTCAAGGTATGCTGTATACGGATTTTCTAGGAGTGTGAATAAAGAAGAGGAATGGAGCCATCCATGGATGGCAAAGTCATGCCGTTGCAATAAGTACTACATTTACATATTTAGTACAGATCCCATCTTAGAAAGGGTGGATTTGGTCGGGTGCGGTGGCTTACGTCTGTGTGATTTCAGCACTTTGGGAGGCTGAGGTGAGCAGATCGCTTGAGCCCAGGAGTTTGAGACCAGCCAGGACAACATAGCAAGACCTGTCTCTCTCTTTCTCTCTTTTTTTTTAAAGGCTCCCTGCTCATGAGGAATGGGGAGAGGGAAGAAAGGGTGGATTTGGAGAAGGTTATAGCAGTGAGTATGGCTGTAAATTTGCAAGGAATAACTTTTTTTATTTCCAACAGTGATTGCTTTAGATAAATATTTTATTGTAGATTTCAATATTGTTGCAATTGTATTTGACTCAGCAAAAATAGTTTTTATAATTTGTCAACAGAACTTCTTTAAAATGGCTTCCTAAGTTGTTTCAGCTAATTATGAGGTATGGTGATCTCAACCTCCTTCCAACCACTGGTCCACTCTTGAGTCTTCAGGCTTTTTTTTTTGCTTCAAGAGTAGCATTGTAAGTTTTTAGTCTTCAGAGAACAGGAAGAATTCTAGTTTCTCAGTTCTTGTTCTGATCAGGATTGTATTTTCTTTTCGTCAGTTTGTGCTCTGAAACTGCAGGGCCAGGCAGAGTCCATGCTACCTGATAAAGCATCTGGAACCATGGAAAACTGAGGGTGGATATGATGAGCCTCTCTAATACCAGAGATAGTGGACAGAAGCCATCCGTTTTGCATTTGGCTTTTTTGAGGACTCAGTAAATCCACACAGAGAATTAGCTAAGGCTGTTTGAGAAACAGCCTGTGGGATAATGAACACTTTTATGCTTTTTAAAATGACCACGGGGAGCCTCATCAGAAGAGGCGATTCCAGGATTCCAAGATGGCAGCTGGGTTTTTCATTGTTCCTGTGGGACTTGCACTGTGAAGTGTGATTGTAGCTGATTTTTCCTTTCAACAGGAATTCATTAGGGGTATCCATTAGCTAATGAACTATTGATATAAGAAAAAAGGTCAGTTATTTTAGAGAGGAAAAATGTGGCTTTAACTCTCGATTATTTGTGTGTTGGGTCCATTTGAAGGCTTCTTCCCCTGGCTCAAAATCTGGAAAACTGATTTGAAAGACCTTCAGTTTTATTTAGAAAGAAGGAAAAACAGATTATTTCAGTTACTTTATGTTTTGTGATTTTTACTCGATTTACCTAAAGAGAAAGTGCTCAGATTTAAATTCTAGGTACCTTCGTTGCTAATTATTTTTTACTGCACTTTTATGGCCATTTTTTATTTCTAAGGATTGAACCCTTTTTTTTGTAGTTTTCTCTCAAGGGCTAATATTTATATTTTTTTGCTTCCAAAAACTGTTAAAGTCTGAAAGTGTAAATTTATATTTGTGGTGTTTACTTTGTCCTTTAAATGTTTTTGTGTACCCATACTTTTTGTCATAAAGATGGAAAAATGATATTAAATTAACCAAATGAAAGTAATTAATGCTGAACATTCACTAAATTATTAAGATGTTAATGTGATTCCAAATGCAGATAGTTCATGGGCAGCAGCATGTGTCCTGGGACTCCCCCTCAAAGGTTGGCAAGGTTTGGGCAATTTTGAGGGAGGGAGTTAATTCTTAAGTAGTAAGCTTTTTCGTTTACCTCTACTATTTATAAGCTAATATGCAGGATCATTGTAAATTAGTGAAAAGTGCATTCCATTGAACTAGTAGTTGTAATACTGGGTTAAATATCTAAGTTGTGTGACTTTGGGCATGAGTTTCTGCCTCTGTGGGTCTTATTTTTCCCTGTTATCAGAACTGTAGCATTGGACTAGATCATGTTTCCTTGTGTGTTTTTTGGAAAATGTGACAATATACTAGGACCTACATGAAGTCACAGTATAAACACCCAAGGGACACAACAGGCATATCTTCCTGCCTTTCATATCTATTCACTTGAGGCTTTTGGTAAGACATTAATTTTATACTTAAGCAAACATATTAAAGACTGAAAGGAACTCATATATCTTCATATAGTGTTAAAGATATTAACACAAAAATGAAAGAAATATTGTCCATACAGCAGGCCACAGATAGATATCCCTTGTTTTGTGATCAGTCTTTTCTGCTATGGAGGGCACTTTGGACACATTTGAGGATCACTGCATTAGATGACAGGAAATGTGTTTCTTCCTATGCTCAAGTTGTGTAGCCATGACATTTGAGGATATTTACATTTTGAATTTCCCTCCTCCCTCCCCTAAATTAGTGGCATGTTCTAGAGAAGGGTTCATGTGCTTTATTTACATAAAACCTATCTCAATGTTGTTTGATAAGAATCTGTTAAGAGATCTTGTCCTAAAAGGATGGCACTTAGTGTTGGAACTGGAGAATGGTGGGGTGTGAGGAGTTAAAGTAATTCCCTAAGCACACTAGACACGCCTGATGCCCCTTTCAAGCCAGTCTGCTTCCACGTGGTGATTCTTTCTGATTCCCATTATCACTGTGTCCCCCTCACCCCTGCCATTTAGCCTAGATTCTGGCAGAATGGAAATCCACGTTTCTGAATTTAGTATGATTTTTTTTTCTTTCCTTCTATTCTCAGCAACAATAAGTACTCTTGATGGCAGCTGCTGTATTAAGCCCAAGAGCTTAAAAGATTAAAGAAACCACTAACAGCAGTAAGGAGGAAGTTTAAGGGCCTGTTTTTCTGAAGGTTTGTGTTTTCATTCTGATGGTTGAGTAGAAAATTACAAACAGGTTGTGTTCGGCAGCTGGAATGCTCTCCAACATCTGGGGAGACCCAGCCTTCTGTTTATTTCCCATTCATTGGAAGGGTGGCCAGCCAGTAGCAGAAACTGCAGGCAGAGATACTAGAACTCTTTGGGTACATAAGCCGTTAGAAATTCTTTTTTTGTAGAAATTTCTTCATAGAAATACCTTGTTCTCTATTTTTTCATAAGCTTGACTGAGCACTTAACTTCAGGTCAGTTGCTGAGGAAGAGGTCTGAAGGTAATATTAGTACCCCCCCAACTACTTTCAGCTGGAAACAAGAGTTGTTTGGGCCCTTACTGAGTTCCTACTTTAGAGTCAAGGGCTGGCCTTCCCCTGCATCTGTCTGCATATACCTCACAGCTGAGCAGATAACATATTTGTGCAGCTATTCCCTTATGATTTCCTCTCTATTAGAGAGAGGTGGAGCCTATGACAGACTGCAGAGTGTTTGCTCCATTCTTCCCCACCCCGTAGCTTTACTGAGGTATAGTTGATAATTAAAGTATTTACATATATTTAAGGTATATAGCTTGATTATGAGATATATAAGTATACATTGTGAATATTCAAAATCAAACTAATCAATCACTCCACATAGTTACCGCTTTTCTTTTTATAGTGAGAATACTTAGTATCTACCTTCTTAGCAAATTTTATTTATGCCACATAGTGACTATAGTTAACAATATTATATACTCAAACCCAGTTATTTTAATTTTTAATTTTTTTAGAGCTAGGATCTCGCTCTGTTGCTCAGGTTAGAGTGCAGTGGTGCTATCATAGCTCACTGCAACCTCAAACTCCTGGGCTCAAGCAGTCCCGCCATCTCAGCCTCCCAAGTAGTTAGGACTACAGGTATATACCGCCATGCCTGGCCTAATTTTTATTTTTAGAGATGAAGTCTAGCTTTGTTGCCCAGACTGGAATGCAGTGGCATGATCATAGCTCACTGTAGGCTCGAACTCCTGGGCTTAAGTGATTCTCCTGCCTTGGCCCCCCAGTTGCTGCGAGAATGGTGCCTTGTTCTCAAAACCATTTTGTAAAAAGTAATGTGCTGGCCAAATAAAACAGAACGCCAGTTTGTTATTTTTGGACAGCTTCATTATTTTGTACATGGGAAAAGAGAAGTTCGAAGTTTTGCCTTATGCAAGGTCATAAAGCTGGTCAGTGGCCCAACCAGGTTTAGAACCTTTATCTTTGGGGCTATTTGAGAAATTCAAGTGATCCCAGTTCAATCATTAGTGGCATTTGTGGTCTTCAGTCTGCACTGAGCAAGGGTTTCATGTTTGGTGTCTAATATTTTAGGATTATTAGAGCTAATCTAGCCTTTGGAGAAGCCAAATGGATTTTGGGGGTTGTCTGTAAGAACCCATCATGATGGCTGGAACAGCTCTTAAGTGGAACTTCTACATAAATCAACTTGCATTTGTTCTGTAACACCATGTGAATTTTCCTGAATTTCCAAGTAAATATATTTTGCATATTGCTTACAAATTGCTTAGGCTGTCTTCATGAATAATGAAAGCTGTGCTGTAGGAAGCTGGATATTAAGAAGGGGTGTTTTTAAAAACAGTATTTCATTTCTTTTGCTTATATTTTCTGTAGCCTCAAGGGTGTGTTCAGAGGTGGTAGGGAGGGAGGGTGCTGTTAAGGTTTCTCAACACCTGTGTTCCTTTACAGACCATTATCTCTTCTGCTATCAAAGAGGACTTGCCAGTTAGGTCAGGATGCATAAACCTCTGGACAGTGCCTTCTCCTATGCTTATCTTTGCTATATGTCTTGTTGTGTGTTTAGCTTCCATAACAAGGTTCTCTACTTCTCCAGTTTAAGAAGAAATCATCTGTTGTGCTGAACCTCTATTCATCTCAGTAGGGAAGGCACCAGCTTCAAGAGGCTGAGAAGAGACCCAGAGCCAGCAAATGAGACATGGGGTTTTATTAGGGGCTTACATACAGGGGAGAGAGTCCAGTGGTGGCAGACTGGACAACATACTGGCACCGCTCAGTGGCAGAGGGCTGGGCAGGAAAACTGCAGCCGCTTTGCAAACAGCATGCAGTTTATATAGCATTTTCAATTAACACCCTCCCCTTAACAACTTTCACCTGGCAACTTGCATGCCAACCCAAAGTTTAGGGCCTCAATTCCCTGTATGGCCCATGTTCCGTGGCATGGGCAGGGGGCTCAGATGTTCCTCCTAGACAAGGAATGAATCTCTGGATTGGCCACTGTGGGACTCCCTAGCTCGACACACACATTCAGGTGCATCTGCCATACAGTGTCATTTTAAGGGTATGCTCAAGTTATTGCTCTCAGAGGTGTTTACCCTACTATTATCATTTGACAATAATACCTATATGTGACGTACATTGTCTAGTGACAGTCCTGATTTCCAGTAGCTCCCACAACAACTTCATAAGTATCATAGCCCCACTTTTTAGGTAAAGAAAGCAGAGGTTTGGGGATTGTGTCTTCCCTAGTCGACACACCTTGACAGTGTAGAACCAGCATTCAGAGGCAAATCTCACTTAGGCCTGGTGTTCTTTCCAACATGCCTCAGCTGCTGCTTTGCCTTCTCTTTCTCCCTTCACCTGGCATTTTGACCACACTAATTGTGCTGGCATCTCATTCCAGGGAGTATGGGATGAGATGCCAGCACTAGAGTATGGCTTTCAAAACATTTTTTGTCCCAGCTCACAGTTACAAATACAGTTTATGTCATCAAGTATACATACATATGCACATGCTCAAATGCACATACATACCTGTGCTTACATGTACTCATATAAAACTGAAAGTTTAATTATATATGCAGTAAACTCTAATATTTCCTTTTCTGTTTTACACTGTTAATACATACTCACCTGTAACCGTTATTACTCACTAAATTGGTTTTACAATCAAGATCACCTGCGGTTGAAACAGTGCTATAGAGTGGAAATCTTTACGGTGAGTTATGTGCTCTCTCCCCTCAACCCCTTACGAGATTTTTAGGATAATCCATGGGAGCACGAAAAAAACGGTTGAAATTATATTTTGATTTATTTCCATCTTAAGGAAGAGATTAAATGTTGCTGTTACTTAATATCCGAGTTGACAGTGCAGCATCACTCGGGCTGTGAAACAGTCAGTCCAGTGCTCTGTAGAGTGTGGCAGGTCCTGAAGGAAGAGTGGGAGTTCCTAAAGTGGCACACTCCTTCAGCCTTTCGTTGTGTGATGTGCTCCAGTTTGTATGGCTCATAAAGCATGTTAGTAGGTTATATTATTTACTTTTGGCAAAGAGAACAAGTGGTTTTATTTTTATTTTTCTTTTGAGACAGGGTCTCATTCCATTGTCCAGGCTGTAATGCAGTGGTGTGATCACAACTCACTGCAGCCTCAACCTCCTGGGCACAGGTGATCCTCCTACCTCAGCCTTCCAAGTAGCTGGAAATATAGGTGTGGATCACCACGCCTGACTAAGTTTTTTCTTTTTGTTCTTTCTTTTTTTTTTTTTTTTTGGAGAGACGGGGTTTTGCCAGGCTGGCCTCAAACTCCTGCTGAAGCAATTCGCCTGCCTTGGCCCCCAGAAGTTCTGGTATTACATGTGGGAGCCACCGCAACTGGCAGAGAGCAAGTGATTTTTAAGAGTTTCATCAAAGAAACTGTGGAATGAGAGAACATAAACACAGGGCAACAGCAGGAAAATGACAGAGTTGACTTTTTTGTTTTAATGAGCTCCTTATCAACCGCATCGCTGGGTACAAACAGCGACTATATAGTCATATCTAGTAGGGAGTCAGACAAAAAATTGAAGCTATTTTAACAAGTGAGAACTTAGGTTTATATCCATGATTGTTAATGATTTACCTTGTCCTGAATGGATGTTGTACCCTGAGATATTAGCTAATATCATTATGTTGGATAAAATATTAAAAGTTGTATTCATTTTATCTTTGTGTCATTCCTTATGTTTATTTGTATATTTTATGATATATGTGATATATCTGTGCCTTATAGTTACATATATATTGGGGAATATGTTAGAATTTTTTTGTACTGATAAAGATTCCTAATTAAAAACATTTGGAGACCATTTCTATTCTGGAGGACTAAGTAATTATTAATGGGTATCTTGGGGTCTAGATGAAGAGAAGGAAAAGGTGAGGACACAGGAAGGGAGTGAAACAGGGAGGGTGTTTGTGTACAAATTAGATAACAACCCTCCCAAGTGGATTCAGTTCCAGGGGCACATGGTTTGGTGAGTGGCCTGTGCCTTCGTGCAGGTTATAAAAAGTCTCCCCTTTCTCCTGGCATAGCAGCTCTACACTAGGGCACATGGTTTGGCAAATGGGTTGTGGGCTGGAATTCAGCACCCTTTCAGCCCTTCATCCTTCTGCAAGTGTAGCCTACACAAGTAAGTATATGTAACAGCCCTGGTGGTGAGGTACTGAAAATAAATAAATAAAAGGGCGAAGGACAGGCATTCATGGATGTAGTGAGCAGCAACAGCTAGTCCTCACTCTTTTATTCATTCATTCATTCCTTCACCAGAGTATTTATAGAACACCTGCTGTGTGCCAGCCATCTTCAACAGCAGGAGTTGGCAAACTATAGCCCACCGGCCAATCCCGACCTGGTATCTTTTTTTGTAAATCGGGTTTTATTGGAACATACCTGTACCCCTTGGTTTATGTATCTTCTGTGGCTGCTTCTTAGCTATAATGGCATAGTTGAATAATTATGACAGAGACTGTATGGCCTGCAAAACCTAAAGTATTTACTTTCTGGCCCTTTACTGAAAACAGGCGTGAACCTCTACTCTAGAATATAAATCAGGACTTGCTTCTGGTGCCACTGCATGATAACTTAGCCATGGACTGTTTGGCTTCTATCTCATGTTCCCTACTTGCAAGAAAATACTTCCATCAGGGCCAAGTGGAGGTGCAGTAGAGCAGGGGCAGAGCTAAAAGCAACACAGCTGGGCACATTTACTTCTTAGGTCTCTACACAAACCATGTAGTGTAAGGAGGAGACAAAGGGCTAGGAGTCCAGAGACTGACACTGTGTGGCCTTCTCTCTGGGCCTGTTTCAGATAGTCACTCTGCAACTACAAGATGGCACTGGATTAGTGATTCTCAGACGTTTTTCTGCACCAAAATCACCTAAAAGGCTGGTTTAACCGACTGCTAGGCTCCACCTCCAAGGTGTCTGAGTCGGTAGGCCTGAGGAAGGCCTGAGAATGTACATTTTTAACAAGTCCTCAGGTAATGCAGGTAGGCAGTATGACTGGATTGTTTTTGTGGTTGCCTGCCTCTTTTTGGCATTGGAAAGGGGAAAGCCAGAGTATTCCTTGAGGAATGACATTTGGAGAGAACCAAATTTTAGATGCTTCTGTGATATGTACACCAGAGCTATTCTGGACTAGATTGTAAATTCTCACATTTCACCTATGCAAAAGGAAATACTTTCTGGTCTCCTATTAGTAATCAGTTGTCTCAAATTTTGCCCGTTACCTCTGGAAATTCTGGACCCTCAAGTGATCAGTCTTTTAAGGCAGTGTGGAAGAACAGCACCTATTATGGCAGTTGATTTTTCATGGTCTCTACCCTGTCCTTCCTAATATAACTGCTATTCTTTACCTTCCTGTTTTTCAAAACTCTCGTATTGTTCCTGTTGTGTTTTTTCTAAATATTTTCTTGGTTACAATAAAGTGCTAATATTTAAAGAGCTTTTGGGAGCCTGCTGGTGCCAGAAACTATTCAAGTTACTTACAGAATACTCTCATTCAGTTCTCTCAAAAATCCTTGGGGAAGTTTTATTTTTCTCATTTTACAAATGAGCAGTAATTACAAATTTGGAGTCAGAGAAGCTAAGTAATATGTGATCTGGACAATTTCAATATCTATGTATATCAAAAACCAAGCTTCCTAGGTCTTTGACCTCCTCTCCAGTATCCCTCACCTTCACCTGCTAAGTATCCATTCTCATTTTGGATCTCGGACTTTGTTATCACCTAGGATTCGCCCAGGATTTCACTTTCTCGGATCATGACCTTCCACATCATACTGTCACTGCATCTCAGGAGTCTGTTTCTTGGAAAAGCTTTACGTCTCTTATCCTTTTTCTTTTCCAACAGAAATACCTTTCTGAACTATTTCTCTCTCTTAAACCTCTTTTAAAATCTGCACACTTCATACTAAATTGTATTGATTATGCTTCTAGTTCCCTAGTACATAATAACCTTTGGAAAAATTGTTTTGTCTTACTAATTGTTTCTATAGAACTCTGTACTGCACCTGGTGTATAGAAGGCACTCCATAAATAATGGTTTAACTGAGCTAGAGAATATATGGCCAGGGTCTGAGTCCGAGTCTGTCTTGCTTCACAGTATGGCTGCTATAGTCAGGTCTGCCACAGCTCTAGGCCTATTTTTTTTTAATCTGTCTGGATGAAGAAGGAATTGTTTAGTAGGTGATGTCATTTGTGGGATGCTTTGTCTATTTCTGCGTATCCAGCATGCTTTTAGTGATTTTTCATTTTGTCAGACTGCATTTTCTCTTTTCAACTAGAGTTCAAACAAAATAATTTTAGATAACATCCTAAGAACATTTGGAAACATGACATTTCAGGTCTATTTTCCCTCTTTGCCTTAAAAAAGTATATACAGCTATAATTACTAATTGCTGCGCTCTAAGTAGAGACAGATGATACATATGTTTGTGACAATTTTCCAGAGGGAGAGCTAAGTAACCAGGCTCATTTTTCCATAATGTGAATGTTATTCACAAACTATTACCATAATTGATGCACCAAACCACTGTAGAGTAAATAATGTGTTGTGTGTGGGAAGCAAGCTAGTAGTCAATGAATATTAAAGAACAAAACCTCATTTTAAAAGAGAAACTGTAATTAAAATCATTCTGAATTCATGCTGCACAACCAGTTAAAATAACTTGGCTGCCATTTATCTGTGTAATTCTGTGTATAAAGGGAGTAGGTATATGATTTGTTATATAGAAGTAAGTATTTACATGCACATTTTTATGAAAAGACACAATATCGAACTTCAGAATCAGTCGTTTTCCAAAAACATTTGTTGGAGAGATGAACATGCAGAGTTAATCAGTGAAATATATATTGACAGGAAAGATCACCATTTCCGTTATCTTATCTTTTGCTTTTCTAGGTGTTTTATGTCTACCTGGAATGTCGTGTCCCTTTCCGTGGACCTAATCAGCTTCTGTATTTTCTCCAAAGCTTCCTTTTCATCAGAAGTTGTTCTTGTCCACTTTTAATCCCTCTTACTGCTTTCTAGGTGCTCATCAACTTCTGTGTGTGGTATATTGATTTGCACTTTTGGGATTTGTTGTTTTATAAGAGGAGGTCATAAGTCATTTCTTGTGTGTATCATTAGTCTTCTCAACGAGACTGCCTAGGATTTCAGTCTCAGATTATTCTATGTGTGTGTTGGGCGTGTATGTATGTGTATCATTCCTTCCGGTGTACCTTGTGGAGAATGGTTTGCTGTCCATGTGTTCGCTAACTCCTCAGTATGTATTGTTGGTTACCTGTTTTCATGCACCAGATACTGCATTATTTTTGTAAAATCTTTACATTTTGTGTTTGGCTACCAGTGTCTCCACAGAGTCTTGAATGTAACTGGTAAGGATCAGATCTGTTGGTGTAGAGTTTTTGATGGAACACTCAATCAGCAATCTGTAGTATGGCTTATGTAAAATGTATAACTCCCTCTATCTCTGATAAGTTCTGAAGTCTAAGGGGAAAGTGCTTCCCTGTCTCTTGAATTTGAGTGTTTTGGGTGAGTCCATTTTATAGATAGACAAGGTGATTGTATCAGAGCTTACTTTTATATTTTAAAATGGATCATAGTGTACCTATTCTTAGGAACCTTTTAGGAAAATCTCTTTAACATTGATCCTGTTGTTAGTTGTAATCTCAGTATATTCTGATAATTTCCTTTGAATATGTAACTGTTCCTTTCATACTGTGGGCATCTGTTGTCTTCTCTTTTTATAGCAATGAAAGTATGAACAGATTCCAATGTGGGTTCTTAGCTCAAAATTCTCTGGCTCTAATGTCAGGCCAATTTATTTAGCTAGTTTATACAACTGGACATATTTCTATAATAGAAAAATGACTAAATGTTTCTTAACATATTGTTTACAGAGATAGAGCCCATGTTGTAAGGCTATGTAACTCTTCCTCTCAAAAGAAGATTATTGGTTTTAGCATGTTTTCCTCCCTTTAATTTAATCTTAAGCAGGTGAACCTTTTTGAGGGCTTTTTGGAAAGCTCTGAGGAAAAAAAATAAGAAAACTCATACAACCTCAAGGAATTCTAAGTATCAAGGAGCACCTCTGTGAAGGTGATTGGTTCAAGCATTGAACACTATTTTCTATCCTTCCACACATGGCAGGGCATTATTCATGTATCCAGCTCTGTGATAGCTTGTTTTTGCTTGCCCTGATGATACGTATGGCAAGGGAGGAATATTATCCAGGAGTGGACACTGTAGAGAGGGGAAGGAACCTTGGAACTGACCTTTATAGAGGCGGTTCTCATCCTCAACTCTTCTTCCTTACAAGATGGCTTGGTATCCCTTGAGATCATTCTCCCACCTTCAAAATCCTGGATGGGCCTCTTGCCTGGTTCCCTTAAGGACTCTAAACCACTTAGCTTGGAGCTGGTGCCATTTAATTCTGTTCTTGGCAGTGGGCCCTGGCTTCTTTCCTGCTAGGCCCTGTACCTCTTAGGAGCAGAGAAGAGGTCAGATGCAGATAATACAGGCATGATTTCTGCCTCCTGAAATGCTCAGATGATATGCACTTCTCCGTCCCCCTAAAGATTTAAGGAAGTACACATTTATCATGGGATGTAATGAGTAGGAAAGAGCATGGGGCTTTCTTTTTCTGCTGAATAGCAGATTGTAAGATAGAAACAGTTTTGTTTACAATTCAGCTCTATCTTTGTACTTTGCATTGCAGTTGAAGTTATTTTTAGCTTTACTGTTAAGCTAAACGTCTGAGTTGTTTCATTTGCAAATTCTTTCTTTGAGGGTCAGGGGAGGCTTTTGTAAAATGTTCAGGTCTGAGAGAATTTTGAGTTAGGTAAAGGTGAGTGTGTGCATGCATGCATGTATGTGTATGTGTGTGTGTGTGTGTGCACAGCTCGTGCATAAATGCCTGTGTGCTTGCTTGGGTAGGGACTAGGAGGGCTGAAAAAGAGAGAGAAAGTCATTCTTAGCAGAAGAAAAGCACGTACAAAGGGTGGAAGACGTACGGTTTTTGACAGATGAATGAATCCTTCTAAAGGTTTTGTAAGAGCTGTGACCAGCTCTGTTTGCTGAGAAAAGGGAAAGTCCTTGAGCACCCATCATACCTCTTCAGACTCTCTTAAAAAGCATTCAGATGTTCTGCCAGAGGAAATGATGTGTTCCAACTACAGCTGCAGTGGAGGGTTCTTTTTGTGCAGCTGAAGCAATTCCTCCACATAGATTGTCCCATTTTAACAGTAAACTGTCTGTTTAAAACAAAACAAAAAAGGTGGGTGGGAAATGGAAGGAGAAGGAGTTTATGCCAGGAAATGAAAATAAGTTGCTGCAGAAGCCTGTTTTGGTTGTGGTTTCAGAGTTAAGGATAAGTTATTAATAATAATAATAAGAGCCCACTTGATAGTTTGTTATATCTCTGTGTGTGTTTTTATGAACTTTTAATTTTCCAGAAAACATTAAAGATAAATTAGAGAACACACTCCTGTTGGAGGAGGTGACCATCTTGCAGCTACCAAACCATAGAATCTTTCACCACTTAACACCTTCCAAGGAACCGGGTAGACTTCTGGTGTCCTCTCTGGTCCTCTTCCCTTCCTTATAGGATGTCAGGCTTTGGACTTAATCAGAGGATAATTAAGGCTCTATCATAGCAGGTGAAGTTTCTGAGTGGAAGTCTAAGAAGTGATGTTTCTATAAGTGTCTTTAGCTGACTGAGCTACTAAGCAGAGGTTAGGAGGTTGTGATGTAATTTAAAGTGACATTGTGGTTACCTTTTATCAAGCTCAATTGTGAGCCTGGAGCTATGTTAACTGCTTCACAGCTATGAGCCTATTTAATTCTTACAGGAATCCTCATTTTAAGATAGGTTTGATTACCCTCCGTTTACAGATGGGGAACTTGAGGTAGAGAGATAAGTGGTTAGTTTGCAATTACACCCAGCATTTGGCATGGCTGGGATTGGAACCAGGGGCCTTCAGTCTTCAAAGCTCTTACATGTAACCACTGAGTGATGCATTGTACTCTCTCCTGTAAAGTAGCCTTTTCTCCCTGCTGCCACTGGTTCATTTCCTTTTCCTTTTTTAAGATGCTTTAAAAAGAACAAAAACCAATAACGTACCTCCTAAATTGAGGTTGATCTCCCTCCTTCCTATCCAATAAGTAATGTTCTAGACTCATGCAAATATTAGATATTTGGGAGAAAAAATGAATAGAACATGTCCCTCCTCTCTTTAGCTCTAAGAAAATTTGTGTGTTCTTATTAATTCCTACTGTTCCACTATCCTACCATATTACCTGATACATATAATACAGTTACAGTCTTCTCAGGGAGACTCTTCTATGCAGTGGCATGCTGGAGCCAGGAAAGCTTGTAAACCCAGCTCAGACATGGACCAGCTGTGAGACCTTGGTGAAGTCACTTTACCCTCCGGGCTTTACTTCTTTTATCACTGTAGTGTTTGATCCAGGTCAGTTCGCAGCCTGGAAGGCACAGCCTTTTCCAGGACACTAAATAGGGCACATGTGCTACCCATTTGCGTGCACACTATCCTTAGGCATTTGTTGAAGAGATGGTTAATAAAATATAAACTCATTAAAAAGCATTACTAAATTCTTACATTTTGTGTTTCTTTGATCAGTGAATGACTGCTAAAATTTAGTACGTTATCAATGGGGAATTTGTTATCTCTTTTTGCATAAAAGGGGTCCTCGGTTTTCGTGAAGTTTAAAGTCCCTCCCCAGGTAGAATATCCATAAAGCCTATGAATGAGTCTTAACTACTTGATTACCCAGATTCTAGCTTTTTGGAATCTTTCATTACCTTACTTTTTTCCCTTCTCGGTGAGCTTTTGGACTTAGGACAAACGGGGAACGATCACAAGGAAATGGATTGACATCTCTACTCTTTCACAATCTTTCCTGAAGACATGATTTTTTTTTGCTATCATGTCTCTAAGTACAGTTGGTCAGTTGTCACTCTGTCACCTTACCTTCCAACCCCATAATTCCTGTGAAACCCTGGACACCTCACTCTTTTTGCAGACCATGAGCTCCTCTGGCCTCACTCCTTTCCTTGTCCAGCTTGCAGTACTTGAGTAATCCCCTCACCCCTCACCACCTTCCTTATTAGTACCCCCAGTTCCCTGAAGCTCTTGTCCTGCCCATTTCCTCCCAGCAGCATGTCACTCATCTGCCCTCATGAGCCTGTGTTCCCCTTACAAGAATCACATCTCTATCTGTACTGTTATTATAGATCAGTGAACTTCAACATCTGATAGCTTTTTCAGTGTTGCCCATCAGTGCATTTACCGAGTTGCTTTTTCTATCCTTTTGGTGATAGTTCCAAATGCTCCCCACTGTCCCCACGGCTATAATGATAGGAAACATTAATACAAAACTTGGTTGTGTTGGAGAAAGTGTGCTAAGAACTTTACATGCATTGTCTCATCTCCGTTCTTGCTAAAGGATCTAACTTTTCCTTCCAACCATCCAGCAACTACTAGCGAGGCATCAACTGTGTCTATGCATGGTGCCAAGCCACAGACTGTAGCTATGATTGATGCAGATTGGGTGCTTGCTCTCAAGAGACCTCTAATTCAGAGGGAGATGCACAGAAGTAAACAGGCAGCAATAACATTGTCCGATAAGTGCTAATGAGGGGAGAAGTTCAATACGCTATAGATGCCCCCAACCCAGACTTAGGGTTGAGGATAAGGAAAACTTGCAGGAAGTTACAGCTCAGTGCCAATCTAAAGGACGAGAGACTATGAGGGAGGAACATAAGGGCATTCTGGACAAAAAGAATACCTGGCTGCTGGAAAGATTTCAGGGAATTGAGAGGGGCCAGTAGGAACAGAGCCATTCTTCTCAGAGAAATTAGAGGTCTTATTTTTGGTGTGAATTCCATAGACTCTCTTTTCTACCTCCTCTGTGATCTGTATCCTCACTTGGTTACTAACTGGAATTAGAATCCCCTGCAATCCTTCACTGTATGCAGATCTCGTAAGACACACTTTCTGTCAATCTCAGTGTGAAGTTTTACTATGCACTTGTATAGCTGCTCCACTGAAATACTATTAGACTGTTAAGGTGAGTGTAGAGGACAATGCTTCTTCAAAATTATTACAGGGAAGTTTATAATAATGGTGACTGACTTGAGGTAGGGGTAGGGTTTTTCAGGAGGGTCTTTCAGTGGTAATCACGCCTAAAATTTTGAATGCTTAAATGAAGCTGCTGCTTAGCTCAATGATAAGTAATAGCAGCTTCTTTTTCCATGAGGACATTTATTAAATGATGTTTTAGGTCTCAGCAAATGTTACGCCTTCAGACACCTTGGCTCAGGAAAGCCTGATGTGCCTCCAGTGAAGGATTTGTAGGTCCACATCTTCGATGCTTCTGCAACACAGAGTTAGGGAAATGAAACAGTGGGTCATACATGCTCCTGATCCATTGCCAACAGCAAAGGGACTTGAGCCCCCACATACCTTTTGACCCTTCTGGTCATGATAAAGCCACCCACTAGCTATAATGCTATAGTCAGCAGTAGAAATAAGAGGGAGCACAAAGCAACTGAATGGTAAAATATTTCAGACCTTTTTGGACCACTTTGGAAGATGGAAGCTGATAACATCATACATCCAAATTCCTCTGCATTGCTGTCTCTCTCTTTACAGGTGGGGAATAGTTTACAGCAATCAGTAGAATCTACTTTTGATTCCAAATGGGTCTTAATTATTTTGTATTTGGGAAATATTTTTTACTTGGCAATAGAGATGTGCCATAATATTATTTAATATTTTGGAAATCACTGTTTCCCAT
Source organism: Homo sapiens (assembly GCF_000001405.40). NCBI lineage: Eukaryota > Metazoa > Chordata > Mammalia > Primates > Hominidae > Homo > Homo sapiens. Next base: position 69,966,658 of record NC_000007.14, read on the forward strand.
GTGCCTGAACATCTCGAGCACATTTACCCTGAGCGTGGCAGTGCCTGGGTGTCTCACATCCATGTATGCTCAAACCATGCTCCTTGATTTCACCCCTTTCTCTCTGTTTCTTTCATCTCGTAAACTGAGTGCTGATGCCATTTCACACTTTTTCTTGGAAGTTTAATGAGTTAGTAGTAGTATAACAAAAATAAAAATATTTTCTTTACGTTTCTGAAAAGAAATATGTCTATAAAGCGTCAATCATTTTTCCAAGCTGTTAGTTCCTGCTGCTGAGTACTAGGAGCTGTTCTGTCAGCAAGACCACGTAAGGGGGAATAGTAAGAGAAAGCTGTCCCAATTTTCTTTCTCTGGTACAAAAGGTTAGAAGATGTTGTTTCAGCTGGAGAACTTAAGATGGATTCTTATTCACTATTTGCTAAAGAGACTGGACTGTTTTTAGTGTGATAATTTTCTGTAGGCGTGGAGAAAGGTCACCTCCTGATCTTGTTTTGGAGATCATGGGGTTAAATCTGTGGCAGTGTCCTTTTCCTAGACACAGCCTCTTGTCAAAATAATGTTTGGCCAGGTGTTAATCTGTGTCCTGAGGGGAGTGCTGGAATTCATTATTCATCCCGTGGGAGTAGGGGTCAGAGGAGAAGGTTGTCCTTCTGGGAGGTACCAGGGGACATAGCCTGCCTCCTGCCTTTACTGACATGTGCCATTTGTGAGGAGGGCAGTTGAAGTCCATTTGAGGAATTCTCTTGTCAGCCGGCCAACACAGAAACACAGAGGGAGTGGGAGGGAGGGAGAGGCAGGCAGCTTGGCAAGGCAGTCCTGGAGTGCAGTTTCCGGAGCAAGATCACACACAGTGTTTTAGGAGCTCAGGGAAGGTGTGCAGGAACATAAAGGGGAAGGGGGCCAGGTTTGAAAGAGTGGATTTTTCCTATTTTTTCCACCTTTTATTCCTCCTGTCTTTGAATACTTGTCATCCTTTGGAAAACTCAGCATCGGAAAGAAGCCTTTGCTGACACACTGCTTTTTCTCCAGCGCTATATTGTGGGTTTTTTGTTTTTGCTCTTTTCATTTTTCTTTTCCTCTGAGGGCAGGAGGTGAGACAATGATCAAGTCAAGCTGGTTCTATGTTAAGTTCAAGTATGCAGAGAAGGTAAGTCAATATGGTTTCTTTTCCCAGGGGAAACCTGCCACCTCCCTCCAGTCTTGTCATGTTGATGGGCTCCTCTGGCCACTTGGGGAAGTGAATGAAGCTGAGAAGTTGTATTTGTGAATGTATTTCCTTTGGCTTAATGATCCTTGGATGAAGCACAAGCTCTTTGCTTGCAATCTGACGTTGCCGCTGACCAAGTGGAAGCAATCTTCAGACTCTGTTCCGGAGGCATGATTTAGAGTTTAAAGAGGGGAAATAATGAAACTACAATAACAGGAAAGGCAGGATATTCTGCTTTAGATTGAATAGAGAATTTTCAAGGTATTATTTGTTACAAAGGTAGATATATTTTTGGTTCTGAAACAAATTGACAGTCACTTCCTATTACCTGTTGGCTTAGAATTTTTTTCCTCTTTCAGTTAACTAACTGCTTACTCATTTGTAGTCTTACTTGGTTGTAGAAAGAATCCCCATAAGGTTGTCTGACCATATATGAGATGATCTCTTTACTGTCTGTCAGGGGATTATATTTTATGAATGAATTTTGGTTGTACCTAAAATTTTGATGTTAAACAGTTCCACTGTATTTTAACATACCATTTCTGGACTTTTAGGGGAAAAGTGTACTTTCTAATACATCTTCACTTACCGGGGCTGTTTGACATCTTTTTGGTTCCACATCCATATGTGTCACTTACTCTGTTGGGAATTTACAGGATTAGAAATGAGGTTTCCAGGAGAGGATATAGCTCAGAGGTAGAGCATTGGACTGCAGATCAAGAAATGAGATTTCCAGGAGGATCCTAACGTGTGCCTCCCTTTTGAAATCTTCCCTCCTTGATTTGATTGTTGAAAACGTTGGCATATTGATTGTAGAGTTAAGCTGAGGCTCTATAGAATGGAACTGTGATGTGGCAAGATGGAAAATTGTGCGACTGTCTTTATACTCCTTATGATTATATGCATAAGCACATTAAATATGCCTCTTCCATTCACCTAGTTTAAAAAAAAAGTTAGAACATTTTCAACTCCTTTTTACTGCATTTTTTTTTTCTGTGTGGACTTGTTTCTGCTGTGTTTTTAAGACAGCAAAATTACTCTTTCTTTACCCATGTTGAAATTACAGGATTTTTATTTAAAATATCCATTTTTTATTTTAAACTCACTTGCATTGTTAACTATTAAAGCTATTATAAGTAAAATATTATCTATTCATGCACAGGATTGGGAAAGATTGTGGTTTGGGATTTTTTTTTCTCAGTAGATTACTTTCCTTTGAGAAGCCGACCATCCATTGTTTGCTGTTATGAATTTTGATAACTGAAAACTGTACTCTGCCTTCTTATGCTTTCCCTTTTATCTTGAATGTTCTGTCATGGGAACCTGAAACTCAAGAGTTAAGGCACGTAAATAAACTAATGTGAAAAGGGGAAAAGCATTTCCAGAAATGATTGTCATAAAAAGAAAAAGAAGGAGAACGTTAAGTTAATTGCTTCATTTGAATTACCATGCTGCTATTCCTTTAGCAACCAAACAAGCAGAGAATGCTTCCATATGGCAAGGCACAAGTGTAATGTAAAGCTAAGTAATGTAAGGCTCTATACCTAATTGAAGGATATTCGTCTTGATTTTATGAGGATAGAAGAAAAAGAGAAATCTCATTCTTGTTCTTGGCATGGTTATGGTGCTCAAGATCTCAGTGATTCTCTGCAGAACTTTTGTTCTTTCACAATGATTCAATTTAAAAATTTTCATTGGAGATTTTTGTTTTCCAAAACTCATCAAGATGGATTGAGTTTTAACCTAGAGAGATAATAAGTCTTAGTGTAAACACAGGGACAGCATTGATAACAAAACAAACTAAAACCATCTTTTTTGTATTCCTCTAAAAAGCCATTCTTACAAAGGCTTTTTGATTTGGAATTTCCCTCACTATCTTTAAAAGGACAAAAAAAGAAATTCCTCTCTTGATTGTCAACTACTGACCATTTTGATTTGATATAAGCTTGTAATTGTTGGAAAGATATTTCTGCTGTGATGTTTGTCCAAAACTATAAGAAAATACATCACACAATCTCTTCAATATCCATCTCCTAGTTTATCATTTAGGAAGATGATTTAATCAGTCTTCAGTAGTGAGAAAGAAAAATTAAGAATGGCAAGTAACGCATGACCAAAAACATTGGCATAAGAGAATACTGTTCACTTGTGATCACTGGAATCATGATCCCTTTCAAAAATTAAAATATATAATAAAACAAACACTGTTTTTTTAACCACCACCACACTAACACACATGTTCCTCTGTAAGAATTTCCATCTAAATTATTTATGAGTTGTCTCTTTCTTGAATTAGATTGGTGCCTAGCTATCTTTCTTTCTAAAAGAGTGCTTACTTCAATTAATTTCATCCTATACCCCCTTTCTCTTTTTATTCTACATATTCTCCCTGAGCAATTTCCTTTTTGGTGTGTTTTTCTATGTCCTATAAGTGATGATTCCAAAAGCTCTATATCTAGCATAATATCTTTCTTGAGTTTCTGAGGTATATATTTAATTGGTTAGGTAGATATCTGTCCTGAAGTTCAACAGATTCCTCAAATGCAGCATTTCTAAAGTATAGTTAATTTCTTCTTCCTTAACCAAGGATTTTCTTCCTCTTACATCTCCTAGCACAGCTAAGGCATCCCTATCCAGCCAGTCATCTTTGTTCCCAAAGGAGCTGTTTTAGTTCTGTTCTTATCATCTCCCTTCTGGCTTATTAGAGGAGCCTCCTAATCGATCTCCCTGCCACATTCATGGTGCTTCCAGTGCTCCAAAACCCTGCTAGAGGTATCTTAAAAGGTCAGTCTGAGTCTGTTTTGCTGCTTGTTAATGGTTCCCCTCTCCCATCTAAGCATTCTCACTACATCTCCCTCAACAGTGCTAGCCCTTGACCTTGTATATACATAATACACCTTATTGTAATTTCTTATTCACCTGCGTCTTCTATAGTAACATATGATCCTAGAGATACAGAATTACATTGTGTTTTTGATTTTGATTTTTCTATCCAGAATCCCTGCACGTAATAGATATTTATTCCCTGTTGGGTGTTGTGGCTCATCCTTATAATCCCAGCACTTTGGGAGGCCAAGGCGGGAGAATCCCTTGATCCCAGGAGTTCAAGACAAACCTGAGCAACATAGCAAGACCTCATTATCTGCAAAATTAAAAATTAAAAAATTAGCTGGTGTGGTAGCGTGTGTCTGTGGTCTCAGCTACTTGGGAGGCTGAGGTGGGAGGTTCACCTGAGCCTGGGAGGTCGAGGCTGCAGTGGGCTATGATCCCACCACTGCACTTTAGCTTGGGCGACAGAGCAAGACCCTGTCTCAAAAAACCATTTTTCCCCCCTAAATGCTACTGAGTAAATCTGTGACTTTTTCCCAGGAGTCTGGCCGACCTGAGTTTGAATTCTGCTTCTGCCATTTACTGGTAGTATATGACCTTGGGCAATATATTGAAACTCAATTGAATTGTTTTCTCATCTATTAAATGAGGAGTATTATCACCTAATGTATTTTTCAGTTAAACTTCTTATTTTGAGATAATGGTAGTACGTAATAATAGTACAATATGCAGTTTTAAGAAATAAAATGTAAAGATCCCATATGCCCTTTACCTAGTTTCCTCAATGGTAACATATTGTAAAACCATAGTAAAATATCACAACAAGGATATTGACATCAGTACAGTGAAAATACAGAACAACCACATCACCAAAAGTCTCTCTCCTGATGGCCTTTGATAGCCATGCCTCTTTCCTTCTACCTTCACAACCCCCATCATTAACTCCTGATATGCAATCACTTTTCTCCATTTTTATAATTTTGTCGTCTCAAGAATGTTATATAAATGGAATCATACAGGATGCAGCTTTTTGGAATTTTCTGTTTTTACTCAGCATAATGTTTTAGAGATTCGTTCAAGTTGTATGCTATTAGTTTCTGAGTAGTATTCTATGGTATGGGTGTACCATAGTTTATTTAATCATTCTTCTGTTGATGGACATCTGAGTTGTTTTCCTAGAAGTACTATGAACATTTGTTTATAGGTTTTGTTGTGAACATAAGTTTTCTTTTCTCTAGGATAATTGTCCAAGAGTGCAGTTGCTGGGTAGTATGTATAGTATTTGCGTGGTTAATTTTTAAGAAGCCACCAAACTGTCTTCCTGGCTGACTCTACTATTGCATATTCTCTTTAGTGCACTGTATTAGCGATTCCGTTTACTTGCGCATTCACCAGCATGCAATGATGTTGGTGGTGTTTCTGGTTTTTTATTTTAGCCATTCTATTGGTGTGTACTGATGGTGTCCAGTGATGGGTTTTAATTTGCGTTTCCCTAATGGCTAATAATGTTGAACATCTTTTCATTTGCTTATTTGTCATTTGAGTATCTTCTTTTGTTAAATGTCTCTTGCTCTTTAAATGTCTTTTGCCCATTTTCTAATTGGATTTAAAAATTTTTACTGTTGAGTTTTTCACAGTTCCTAATATTTTCTAGACAGTAAGTCTTTATTGGGTATGTGGTTTGCACATATTTTCTTCTAATTTATAGCTTGTCTATTCATCCTCTTTCAGAGTCTTCCTCAGAGTAGAAGTTTTAAACTTTGATGCAGTCCAGTGTATGGATCCTTTCCTTTATATTCTTGCTTTTATTGTCAAGTCTTAAAACTCTTTGCTTATCCTTTGATCCTGAAGATTTTTCTTTTCCTTTTTTCCTAAAAGCTTTATATTTCATATTTAAGTCCATGATCCATTTTGAGATAAATTTTTTATAAGATATGAAACTTAGGTCAAAGTTTTTCTTTGTGTGTGTGTGCGTGCATGTGTGTGTGTGTGTGTGTGTGTGTGTGTGCACGTTCCTGTATATGTCCAGTTGTTTTAGCACCACTTATGGAAAAGACTATTCTTTCTCCATTAAATTGTTCTTGTACCTTTGTCCAAAATCAGTTTACTGTACTTAAATGGGTCTGTTTTGGGTTTCTCTATTCCTCAATTGATTTAATGTCTGTTCCTCTACCAAGATCAAAAAGTCTTGATTACTGTAGCTATTCTTTTTCAAAATTGCTTAAGATAAAATAGTACCTGTGTTTTTTCATATAAATTTTATAATAACCTCATCTGTGTTTACAGAAAATCTTTCCGGTGTTTTGATAAGAATTGTGTTAAACCAGGATATTGGTTTTGGGAATTTTTTTTTTAAGTACTTTGTTGAGTCTTTCTCTTCATGAAGAGGTTTGTCTCTCCGTTTATTTAGATCTTGTTTGATCTCTTTTATCATTTTGTAGTTTTCAGCATACAAGTCCTATATGAATTAGATTTATAACTATCACTTTTGGGGGGCACTTGAAATGGTATTGTATTTCTAATTTAGATTTTACATGCATATTGTTAGTATACAGAATACAACTTATTTTCAAATGTTGTTTTTTGTATCCTGTAACCTTGATAAATGGAGTTATTAGTTTGAGGAACTTATTTGTAGTTCTTTGAAATTTTCTGTATAGACAATTATGTCATTTGCAAATGAGGACAGATTTATTTCTTCCTATCTGATATCTATGCTTTTTAAATTTCCTTTTCTTGGCTAATTGCACTGAGTAGAACTTCTCATGCGGTGTGAACTAAGAGTGGTGAGAGTGAATATCCTTGTCTTGTTCCTGATATTTGGGGAAAAATGCATTCAGTCTTTTGCTGTTTAGTACAATGTTAGCTGTAGGATTTTTCTCTATGTTCTTTATCAAATTGAAGTAGTTCCTTTCTATTCCTAGTTTTCTGAGATTTTTTTTATCATGAATGGATGTAGAATTTTGCCAAATGCTTTTTCTGTGTTAATTGATATAATTATTAGGTTTTTCTTTTATAGCCTATTAATACGGTAGAGTACATTGCTTGATTTTCAGATATTGAACCATTCTTGCAAGCCTGGAAAAAGTTCTATTTAGTCAATGTGTATAATTCTTTGTATGTATCGCTCAATTTTATTTACTTATATTTTGTTAAGGACTTTTGCATCTGTACTTACGAGAAATACTGGTCTGTAATTTTCTTTTTGTAATGGTTTTATTATGAGGATATTACTGGCTCCATAAAATGATTTAAAAGTGTTCACTCCTTATTTGTTTGCTGGAAGAGATTATGTATAATTGGTTTTCATTCTTCTTTAAACATTGTGTGGAATTCTGTAGTGGAAACCCATCTGGGTCTGGAAACGTCTTTTTTAGATATTGTTAATTTAAGAAATTAAATTTTCTTAATTTAAGTTATTGGGCTACTTAAATTACTGTTTTTCATATTTGGTGGGTTCTGGTAGTTTTTCTTTGTAAGGAAGTGGTCCACTTCATCTAAGTTGTCAAATTTAAGTGTGCAGAACTGTTGATAGTATTCTTTATTGACTTCTTGATGTCTGTATAGTTATATTCCTTGTTTCATCCCTGATATTGATAATAATGTCTGTGTCTTTTTTCTGTGTCAGTCATACTAGATGTTTGTCAATTTTATTGATTTTTTTCAAAGAACAAGTTTTGTGTTCCATTGATTTTTCTCTCTTGTTTTCCTGTTTTCAACTTATTTTTTTCTATTCTGTTATCTTAATTATTTCTTCCATCTGCAAGCTAGAAAACCAGGAAAGCTGGAGAGTGTAGTTCAGTCTGACTCTGAAGGCCTGAGAATGAGGGGTCCAGTGGCGTAAATCTCTTTTCAAGACTGAAGGCCTGAGAACCACAAGGGCTGATGTTCCATCTCCAAGGGCAGGAGATTTGGATGTCCCAGCTCAAACAGAGAGTAAATTTCTCCTTCCTCTGCCTTTTTGTTCTGTTTGGGTCTCAATGGATTGAATGAGGTCCACGTGCCCAAATAGGGCATCTTCTTTAATAAGTCTACCAATTCAAATGCTATTCTCTTCCAGAAACATACTCACAGACATACCAAAAAATAATGTTTTACCAGCTCTTTAAGTTGACACATAAATTTAACAATCACATGTATCTTTTTTTAATTTTTGCTGCCTATATTGTTTTATTTAAAGAGAGTTTCTTATGGATAGCATAGAGTTGATTCATTTTTACAAGTTACTGTATCATTGCTCTTTCTTCTGTCCTAGTGACTTAAGATCCTTTCTTTTAGCTATTTTTTTTTAAAAATAGAACTTCCTTTAGCCATTCTTTTAGGGTAGTTCTCCCAGTAACTATTTATTTATTTATTTATTTTTATATGAGGTTGTCTTGATTACCTGTTGCTTACTGAGGAATGTTTGCACTTGATGTAGAATTTTGGTTGACAGTTTCTTTTGTCTTTTTCTTTCTTTCTTTTCTTTTTCTTTCAAGCCATTGAAAAATGTTGTTCTCTTTCTTCTGGCCTTCAGGGTTTCTCATGAGACATCCACTATCCTTCTTTTGTCTAGATGTCATGACTTCTTTCTCCCTGGCTGCTTCCAGATTTTTTTGCTATCTTTAGCAAAGTTTAACTATGATGTGTCTTGGTGTGGGTATCTTTGAGCTTATTCTGTTTTGTATTATCATAGCTTTTTGAATCTGTAGGTGTTGTTTTTGCCAAATTTGAGAATTTTCACCCATCATTTCTTCATGTACTTTTAAAGCCCTATTTTCCTTTTCCTCTCTCTCTGGGACTCTGAAGACACAATTGTTAGATCTTTGGTTATAATCCCACAGATACCTGATACTCTGTTTTTTGTTGTTGTTTTGTTTGTTTGTTTTGTTTTTCAGTCTCTTTTTTTCTCTTTTGTTTAGATGAGTAATTTTAGTTGTTCTTTCAGTTCACTGATTCTTTACTCTCCTCCACCTGGTCTTGAGCCCATCCGTTGAATTTTTTTAATTGTTTTTTTTTTATTTTTATTTTTTTGAGGTGGAGTCTGCTCGGTCCCCCAGGCTGGAGTACAGTGGCATGATCTCGGCTCACTGCAACCTCTGCCTCCTGGGTTCAAGCAATTCTCGGGTCTCAGCCTCCCAAGTAGCTGGGATTACATGCGTGCGCTACCATGCCCAGCTAATTTTTGTATTTTTAGTAGAGACAGGGTTTCACCATGTTGGCCAGGCTGGTCTTGAACTCCTGACCTCAGGTGATCCGCCCACCAAAGTGCTCTGATTACAGGCTTGAACCATCTCGCCCAGCTGATTTTTAAAAAAAATGCATTTTACTCTGGTAAAGATGTATTTAATGAAATTTACCATGTTAACGGTTATTAAGTATACAGTTCAATACTGTTAAATATATTCACATTGCTGTGAAACACATATCCAGAAGTTTTCCATCTTGCAAATCTGAAACTCTTTACCCATTGAACAACTCCATTTTCCTTGCTCCTCTCAGCCCCTGGTAGCCACCAGTCTACTTTCTGTTTCTCTGAATTTGACTACTGTGGATACCTTATGAATATGGAATATACAGTATTTATCTTTTTGGCACTGGCTTATTTCACTTCATAATATCCTCAAGTTTCATCCATGTTGTAGCATGTGACAAGATTCCTTCCTTTCTAAGGCTATATAATATTCCATTGTATGAATATACGGCATACTGTTTGTCCATTCATCCATTGGACATTTGAGTTGCTTCCACCTCTTGGCTATTGTGAATAGTGATGCTATAAGACCCTGCTTTTAGTTCTTTTTGGTATGTATGTAGAAGTGGGATTGTTGGATCATATGGTAGTTCTGTGTTAAATTTTTTGAGGAACCTCCATAGTGTTTTCTATAGCAGTTGCACCATTTTACAATCCCACCATTAGTGCACAAGTGTTCTAATTTCTCCACATCCTCTTCAATACTTGTTCTCTGTTTTTCTTGATAGTAGCAATCTCAATAGATCTGAGGGGATAATGCATTTCTCTAATGATTAGTGATGTTGAGAATCTTTGTTGGCTACCTGTGTATTATCTTTGGAGAAATTTCTATTCAAACTTTTTTTCATTTTTTAATCAGTTATTTGTTTTTCATTGTTTGGTTGCAGAAGTTCTTTACATATTCTGGATTTTAACCTTTTTTCGGGCATATGGTTTGGAAACATTTTTTCCCATTCCATAGGTTTCTTTTTCACTCTGTTGATTGTGTCCTTTGATGAACAAAAGTTTTTAAGTTTGATGTAGTTCCATCTGTCTGTTTTTGCTTTTGTTACCTGTGCTTTTGTTGTCACATCCAAGAAAGATTGTCAAATCCAATGTCATGAAGCTTTTCCTCAATGTTTTCTTCTAGCAGTTTTGTGATTTTATACTTTTATGTCTTACATTTAGGTCTTTATCCATGTTGAGTTAATTTTTGTATATGGTGTAAAGGGTCCAGTTTTATTCTTTTGCATGTGAGCGTCCAGTTTTCCCACACCATTTGTTGAATAAACTATCTTTCTCCATTGAACGGCTTTGACACCTTTGTCAAAGATTGTTTAACCATGTATGTGAAGGTTTATTTCTGGGCTTGATATTATATTCCATTGGTCTGTTTATCTGTCTTCGTGCCAGTACCACACTGTTTTGGTTACCACAGTTTTGTAATATATTTTGAAATCAGAAAGTTTAAGTCCTTTAACTTTGTTCTTTTTCTAAATTGTTTGGTGATTTGGAGTCCTTTGAGATTACATATGAATTTTAGGATGCATTTTTCTATTTCTGCTAAAATTGCCATTGGGATTTTGATAGAGATTGTATTTATGGATCATTTGTGGTACTATGGACATTTTAACAACAGTAGGTATAACAATATTAAAGCCCATGGTCAACCACAAACATGGAATGCCTTTCCATTTATTTGTAGCTCTTTTATTTCAGCAGTGTTTTGTATTTTGGGAGCAGTGTTGGAAGTCTGGACTCCAGTACTTGTCTTTACAGTTTCCCTCTTTTCTGATTCTTTGGCTAAAGACAACAAACTTTTCTAGGGGCTTGTTTTGGTATGTGTCATTGACATTACTGGGTTTCTGTTTTTTCAACTCCAAATCTGATGACATCATATATCATATCGGATATATGAGACCTATAAAATGAAAACTCCTGGAGAACTCACCACCATGTCATTTTTGGGGGCCCCCAGGTTTTAAGCCAGTACGTCATCTTCTTTTCACTTTTCAGAGTCTGTTTATATTTATTTTATGTATAATGTTGAGGGATTTTAGTTGTACTTAGTGTGGATAATAGGGAAAAGTATGTCTACTCCATTTTCTTGGAAGCAGAAGTTCCCTAAGATGCTTTTAAAACAGTGGTTAAATAACATAATGTTGAGAGTATTTGCATGGTGCAAGGCCTGAGTGCTCAATAGAGGGTGATAATTGCCTTTTATTATCTTCATCTTTCTCCTATTTGAAGTATCAGTCACACTTTGCTATAGAGGCAGCTCCAGTTTAAGTTTACCTTGCTTTAGATAAATTGTATTATCACTAACACATACATTTGCATCTTCATACCCTTTATTGCAATTCCATCAAGATGTAGATTCCAGAAACAACATTGTCTTTTCAGTATTTTTCTTTTTCCAGGCAATTTTGACAATGCATTTTTGTAATAAGACTGGAATTACTAATTCTGGTTTTATTGAAAAACTGTTAGCCATTTCAGCCAGAAGAAGATCATGGAGGAAACAATAAATTTTCTTCATGAGCTATTCAATCCAACGAGATACTGAATTAAGTGCAGGAAATCAGTACACTTTTTGTTTGATAAGAAGTGTTCCTCTGAAAAACCATTCTTAGATCATTATAAATATTATTGGTTGGATGCAGTGGCTCATGCCTGTAATCCCAGCACTTTGGGAGGCCAAGGCAGGATGATTGCTTGAGCTCAGGAGTTTGACACCAGCCTAGGCAACATGGTGAAACCCTGTCTTTATAAAAAATAAAAAAATAAAAATTTAGCTGGGTGTAGTGGTATGTGTCTATGGTCCCAGCTAATTGGGAGGCTAAAGTGGGAGGATCTCATGAGCTCAGGAGATTGAGGCTGCAATGAGCCATGATTGCACCTCTGTATTCCAGCCTGGACGGACAGGGCAAGACCCTGTCTGTCTCAAAGAAACAACACACACACACACACACACACACACACACACACACACACACGCACACACGCACACACACACGCACACACACCCATTACCAGTCTTCCTGGGAATTTTATTCTATATCTGTCTATAAGTTTAAAGTTATGTACTCTAGCTTAGCCTTTAACTTCAGAGTTAATTTGAAATTTATTTAAAAACTATTTTTGGAAATTTACATAATCATGATGACTGCATGTAAACTGTTAGTAATATTTTATAGAGTTTCCTTGGGTTTTCTGTTAGAATGAAGTAATAAATTTGTGTCAGAAAACTATTTGGGAAATTTAGAAGAAATTTAAGCTAAGGAACATAAGCTGTGGAGCATGGCCCTAAGAATCCTTTTATTCTCATTTGATAAACAGTAGAATCCAGACAGGGAAGAACCTTATTTTCTCTGCCTTTGCTAGTTGGTGGAGGAAAACTTGCTGTTTGAGACAAGTAGGACTTGATCTTTCTATCCTGTACTTTTTTCATCATCCTCAAAGAGGGCTTATTTCAGTGGATAGACCATTCATAGTTTTGACAGCTCAAATAACCCTTAAGGATGAGCAACAACTGAAAAGTTCCAAGGGCTTTATTTCCAATGGAAGGATTTCAATTACAGTCATTTTTTCAAGTTAGTACAAGGAGGTAAATGGAATCACAGTTTCAAATGTTAAATTTGAAGACTACACCATTACCAGTGTATTTTGGAAATAAAAGATGCAGCCAATCTAAATCAAAGACATGATTCCAGATTACCTCATAAGAGTATGAGGAAGACTACAGGCAGCAATTGAGCCACTTGATATGGAAGAGTATGCAGTGCATCAAATGTGACTTTCATTAAGCCGTGTTACCCTTGTTTGCTACTGAGGGCAGGAGGCATCCTTTTCAACAGCCTGTAATAGCTTCTTGTTGAAAGGCTGCCTGCTATACAGATGCAGCAGCAGAGAGAGAAAAGAGGGATACAGATTCACATATTCGCCTTGTTTTTTAAATGCCATTTTTGCCATTTTTGGAGTTGGTTTCCAGTGCTTAGAATAGCTGTAAGTATATAGTAGTTATTTACTGTATGTTTTTGTGTGAGTAAGTAAGAGAAGGAATTAATGAATTAGGCTTTATAAACTGGAAGTTTTTGTTGTGCACACATTAAGCTAAGCTTCTATCCCTTCTCTTCTCCACATGGTACCACCAGACTTTTCCCCACTTCACCCCCTCATCTACCATTTTTTGTTTTGTGTTTTTGTTTGTTTGTTTTTTGAGATGGAGTCTCTCACTCTGTCGCCCAGGCTGGAATGCAGTGATGCCACTGGGTTCCAGTGATCCTCCAGCCTCAGCCTCCTGAGCAGCTGGGATTACAGGCACCTGCCACCATGCCCAGCTAATTACATCAACCTTTTAAAACTTATTTTTCTCTCTAGAATTTGTTTGTGTGCACTTAAAGAGTAAGTGGGAGGATCTCAAGACAGTACAGAAAGAGTTGGACATCTAGTTCAGTTTTGCAGAGGGAGTGCAGAGAAACTTCCTTGGAGTTATATAATTGATTTTTGGAACCTCATTTGTAGGATAGTTGTGTGGAGAAAGGCATTCAAATTGCATTCACTGTACTTCTTAGGCCAAGGTAGATCTGGTTATGTACATACTTGTTATTTGGTAGAATACTGCTTATGTTGGCATTATCTTTTCCATACTACATTTATGAACTGGAAACAGTTAAAGCTTGAAACTGTTAAAAAAAAAAAGTGTACGCTTACATTGTATGTATTAGAAGTCATATGATTACACATCCTCATCCTCTCACCAGTCCTTTCATGTAGAGCAGCGGTTTGCATCTTTGGCTATACATTGGAACTACCTTGGGAATTAAAAAAAAAATTGATGTCCAAGTATCAACTCTGGAGATTCTGATTCAGTTGATCTGGGATGAAGCCTTGGCGTCAATTTTTTTAAAAAGATCCCCAGGAGTTTACAATGTGCAGTGAGGGCTCGTTTTAGAATGGTATATTGATTTGTGTTCCAATTGTTCTTTCTTGCATAAATCACATCTGTAATTCATTGACCACAGTTGTCTATGAGGCTTATTAAAAATGGTATAACAACTTACACATACATGAATAATTGGAATGCAGAATCATTTTAACTTCCCTTTCCCAGTCTTTCTATAGTCAGTTTGTATTTAATTCAACAATTGTTTTTTGAGAGGCCCACATTTATTAAATGTTTATCTTGTCCAGCTTAATTTCTCTAGAAACAAAATCTCACCTTCATTTTGTACTTATCACTGGTTTACATGTGGTAAATAAAATTAGCAGAAACAGGTTTGGGTATGGTCCACTGTGGTACACGGGTGTCTTATAGAGATGAGTATTCATTGGCTATGAAATGTTCAGTAAGTTTTACAAAGGAAACGAAGATCATCAGTTGATCTAGCTGGTCAGTTGGGGTCAGTTAAAAGAGCATTATTGTAAAAGATTTGTGGTTTGCCTGATTTTAGATCAGTTAACATTCACCCATGAGAAGGTAGGATGTATGTCATTTTTATTTTATAAGTGAATATGTAACTGTATTTTTTTATTTTGTATTTAAATTTTTATTCAATATTTCAAATTAATTAATTTCTAATGTTAATACCTAATATACATAGATATAATCAATATGATCACTGTTATCTCTAGAGTGAAGACAGTTTCTTGCCAACAATTTTTATATCCCATTATAACCATCCAGATGAGTTCATTATGGGCTTTCAGTACACACTATCAGCGCTTAAGAGTCTTGAGTTCATTCTGGTCTTTGATTATCACATGTCTTGAAATACACACCACATTAGATTTGTAAATAAATTGTAGAAAAATCTTAAGACTGAAATTTAGATATTAACAAACATTATTTCCTCTTGAGATATGCTAACAGACATCAGAGCATTAGTAGGTCACTAAAGAGTGAAGATGAGTCAGACCCATCAAAATACATATACTCGTTCTACCACTTGATATGTACACACTTCGAGTTGGTAATTTATTCCCAGTTGTTTGTGACGGTTGCATTTGTGCTTATCTTCTCTTAGTTTCACAAGGGTAGCTAATCATGAGTTTTTGTCTGTTTTTGCTGAACTTTACCTACTGTCTTATTAATCTTGTTTATATCAGTGTGAGTTTCTTAAGGACAAGGACTCGTAGGCACCAACACAGAAAGCAATTTTAGGAATATACTGTCTGAATTAAATGTATTAAATCAGTCAACAAATAGGAACCTTTTGAGAAATGGTCCTGAAAACATTTTTGTTTGCTTTTTTTCCTAGAGAGGAAATAAACGGGTTTATAAGCTGCTGAGTGCAAGTATCATGGTCTGTGCCTTTTCTTCTTGACTGCTCTGCTATATTCTCTTTCAGAAAGCTGAGTAGCTCAGCACAGTGAATACTAAAGGGAATGCATTCCTTCTCTCTCAGGGGACTGAAGCAGTGTTTAACACCACTGTAAAATCCTCAGCTGTGGCTTTCTCTGGTGTAGAATTTGTCTAAGAAAGATTAAAAGAACAAGGAAAGCTTTGTGTGCTGTTTCTCTTTCTTTTCTTCACCCCTCCTGCTCCAGGCTATCCTGAGGGGGGAAAAAAAACGTGGAGTATTTTCCTTGGACCTCTGGAGTATGCATGTTATGTATGTGTGAGTCTTAGAGAAAAATAAAGGCAAATGCAAGGCATGCCTGCTAGTGGGAGTCATCACCCATGGGTGAAATGAAGAAAACTACATGAGTGCGTTTGCGTTTATACGGCCACTTTTTCCATTGAATGACCCAAACAAGATGCCAGTGACAAAGCATTGGTCCTACATGTGATAAAACAGCGGCCTGGCCATTTGCTTAATTGGTGGAGAACTCAGGTGTGTTACTCTTGGCAGAGGTGAAAGCCTTCATAGAGAATTAGAAGGGGTATAATTTGGGCACTGTACTCAGAATCTTTCTTGGTATATTGTTTAAGAGCTTCATTGCAGTGACTGCCATTCAGCAAGAAATAAGAGATGACTTTTAAATATTTGGCCAGATTTTATAGTGGCAAGGACAGAGTTTTAGAGCTGAAGAGCCATTTAGTTCAATCCCATCAATCTGCAAATGTGAACAGTAAGCCCAGAATCACATTTAGTGTTAGTGGCCAGAAGGGAGACCTTGGCTATGAACATTTACCCTACCGGAAACTAATGGCGTAACCAGATTTGAACCTTTTCTTCCATTCTGTACTAGGTTGTCTTTTCTTTGTTAGGAAAAGCCTATTATAAACGGAACATTGACATGAATTTTAATTTTTGCATATTTTCTTACAACATTTGCCCTTACTGCATTTTATAACTAATTGTATATACTTTTATATTTTCCTTTTTGTACTCATGATTCTAATGTTTCTATGTGGCATTTCTCACAATCTCTGTGGGGTTTTATTATAATTTGCTAAATTATTCCCTTGTTTGGGGGCATTTATATAAACTTTTTTTTTTTTTGCCATGAAAGAGAAAGCCACAGCAAACAATGTATATATGTAGCTCTTTATTCTCTCAAGTTATTGTTTTTGTTCTCATCATCTGAGTTATTGGGGGTGACTTCATTACAGCAGTGGAAAACACATGGTAACCTGCCAGCATCAGAAGGTGTCGCTTTGTACTGTGTGTGTGTGTGTGTGTGAAGGTTATGTGGGTATGACTGTGTAGGAAAGAAAAAAAGTGCTACTCTTTGTAGATCAAACAATTGATGAGTCTTAATGTAGGATTACGTGTTGCCTGTTAAATTGCTATTTCTGCTGAGAAAGATAAAGGCATTTTTATTAGTGTAGTTGATTAGCTTTATTAATGTTGGACAAAATCAATGTTATGAAAATGAAATCTATAGTTTTGGGGTAAAATAAAATTTAATAGGTAGGTGACCCATTCATACACTTATGTGAAGTAATTTTTGAAATGATAACATGCATGAAAATTTACTATCTATACTAAATGTATATTCAAAGATATTCTTCCTCTAGGGTTCTAGTTATAAACCCTTATAAACCCTTATAAAATACTATGATTCACATATACAACTTATAAAATACTGTGATTCATCAGACAGCTCTAGTTTCATTTTATCTATTGACTCTGATTTAAATTATCACTCTTTTTTATGCAGGAATATGTGGTAACAAGTTATATGGTAAGAAATTTAAATGTAAAGATTTTGACCTAACGTTGATTCAGATTGTAGAGCTGTCAGTTGAAAAGGGAAACTTCATGTTTAGAAATTTGAGTTCTGCTGGGCGCAGTGGCTCACGCTTGTAATCCCAGCACTTTGGGAGGCCAAGGCGGGCGGATCACGAGGTCAGGAGATCGAGACCACGGTGAAACCCCGTCTCTACTAAAAATACAAAAAAAATTAGCCGGGCATGGTGGCAGGCGCCTGTAGTCCCAGCTACTTGGGAGGCTGAGGCAGGAGAATGGCGTGAACTCAGGAGGTGGAGCTTGCAGTGAGCCAAGATCACGCCACTGCACTCCAGCCTGGGCGACAGAGTGAGACTCTGTCTCAAAAAAAAAAAAAAAAAAAAATTGAGTTCTAAAATGTTTGTGAAAAATTTGATAGGTTCTTTAATAAATGTTTATTTCCAACAAAAATTTTCCTGGTGGAGGAGTTATTAGGACCAGTGAGCATGCATTTTTTTTTACCGTCTTGATTGTATTATCATATTAGCTTCAAGAAATGTTTGTTTCACGTTACTTATCTTTGTTTGTCAATGAGGTCAGACACTTTCCCCCACGCTGAGAACAGTATCCACTGCCTCTGAGGTGGATAGTCTCTAGAAATCCTTTCCCTGTCCTGGAGCAGTTTGCCTGAAAGTGCCATAGTTGGTAGCAAATTCCCTTCCACTCCTCTTCCTGCCTGTTAACACTTTCTGGAAACCCAGGTCCCCATGTGCTTTAGCACTCTCTGTAATCATTTGTGGGCCTCTGCAGATGAGCAGTCTGGGAGCTGTGGATGAGGGGCTGGGCAACTTCTGTCATGTGCCATTGCTGTGAGATCTTTTCTTCACCAGAATCTGGGGGTGATTTAGAATAATGGTTAGTTAGTGACATGAAGTTTTGGAAAGTTTTTTGTTGACATTTTTAAGAAGAAGAAAAACTGATGATGAACTAAAATAAAGCTGTTCTTTCAGCCATGTCTCTGAAACCATTGAGAAGGTTTCCAGGTACATTTTGGGCAGTAAAGAAGATGTGGACTGGGCATTCCTGTAATCCCAGCGCTGTGGGAGCCTGAGGCAGGAGGATCACTTGAACCCAGGAGGTCTAGGCCACAGTGAGCTATGGTCATGCCACTGCACTCTAGCCTGAGCAACAGAGGAAGACTCTCTAAAAAAAAAAAAAAAAAAAAGAAAGGAAAAGAAAACGTGCCCTGTTTTTCTGTTGTTGAGCCTTATTTATTTTCCTTGCTCTCAGCAGCTCTGTGGTTCCATCACTTGGCTGCCTTCACGGTGCCTCTGACTAGTTTTGGAAATAGAAGTGGTGGTACAAACAACGGGGTGGAGTTGCAGGATACATTGTGGTGATATAGTCTTTTCATTCTCTATATTTCAGCCAATATGATCTTTTCAAAACACAGGTTACATTATAGCATTCTCCTGCTTAAGATCCTCTAGGGCTTCTTATTACGCTAAGAATAAAATCCAAATACTTGGTCATGGCCTATGAAGCCGTATGTGGCTCCCTGCCCACTTCCATTCCCACTGTCCATCTAGGTCCTCAGGATTCCCTTATCAAACTTTCTTCAGTTGCTCTACCACACATCCCCATGTGGTGGGTTCCATTCTGTACTGTAGCTCTTAACTCAAACATTAGCTCTTTAGTGTGGTCTTATCTTACCAACCATCTAAGTTTGCCCCCTTTACTTTTTTTTTTTTTTGAGACAGGGTCTTGCTCTGTGGCCCAGGCTGAAGTACAATGAAGAATATGATTCACTGCAGCCTCGAGCTCCTCGGTTCAAGTGATCCTCCAGCCTCGGCTTCCCGAGTAGCTAAGACTACAGGCACGTGCCACCATGCTTAGCTAATTCTTAAAAAAAGTTTTTTTTGTAGAGTCAGGGTCTTACTATGTTGCCCAGGCTGGTCCTGAACTTCTGGGCTTAAGCGATCCTCCCGCCTCGACCTCTCAAAGTGCTGGGATTTTAGGCATGAGCCACCGTGCCCAGCCGCTTTACTTATGTCTTACTCTGTTATTGTTTCCTCTGTATCTTCTTAATACCACTTATAAACATCTGAAATTACCCCTTTGTAAATGTATTTGCTTATTTATTATTATTTTCTTCTGACTTCTTTCATTGAATGAAAGTAAGTTCCATGAGAGCAGGACCTTAGGGATGTTATTAACTGTTACATCCCCAGCACCTAGTGCTATGCCTAGCAGTGAGTAAGAACATTAATATTTGTTGAATGAATGCTTGAATGGCCAAAACAAGCCCCTGTTATGTGGCAGGAGCTGTGCTAGCAGTAAAAAATTTAGATAAGTTGAATTCAGTCTCTGCAAACAATGTTTTCCATAATCTGGAATTGTTGTTTGGAATTCTTTACAGAAATTCACATCCAGGCTCACTTGGAAAAATAATCTTGCTGATTGTAATTTTTCTCGTTATGGTTGTTCTTGGCAGTAAAGTCAGTTTCCAGGTGAGAATGTTACTGCTCTTGGCCAAAGGCCACTGTAAACTTTCCAGTATTCCTGAGGGTCTTCAGGCCTTACTCCTTGAATAAGACAGTGCTCCTTGCTTGAAGAACTAAGTTTTCTGAGAGTAGAAGGGAACAATAGAAAGTGTACACATCAGCATTACCAGTTTATTGTTTTCTGGACAGTTATCCAAATTTGCTTAAGGACTTAATTATTACCAGATCAAATAATGTTCCCCTCACTTTTTAGTCTAGTATATGCTGTATGCTACCCTGTCTGTGATTCTGATTTCAAAGTGAGAAACAAATTAGCAAGCAGTTGTTTGGTGAATTTTAAATGCAGTGGTGACCCTTGCCCAATCTTTCATAAAAATTATTTTATATTTAATGAGTTATATCTTGGGGTTCCACAAATAGTAGGTTCGATATTTAGGATTAGGTGCATAATACCTGGAGTTAAGCTTTGCAGAGCTGGAATTTGGACTGTGTGTCTTGGCCAGACCCTGGAAGCACAAGGACAATGTTGAGATGAAAAGATTGAGAATTTAAAATCTGTAAGAATTTAAAGCCATTTTACATCACACCATAATTTCTCTTCGCTGGATTAAGACATTTCACAGCTATTTATAAAGGAGTGATTTGCTACTATAATTTAATTCACTTGACAATCGTAGGACATTGGATCCATAGTTATGTCAAGCTAGATTAGATGCAAAATTGGTAGGAAGACTTTTGTAGATTAAAGACATATGACAGTGAAATGCAGAATTTGAGCTTCTATTGAATCCTAGTTCGAGGGAAATGCTGTGAAGGTCATTTGGGGACAACTGGGGAAATCTGAAAGTTGGACTGCATTAGATAGTATTGAATAAATATTAAATAACCTCTTGAGTGTGTTAATGATATTGTAATTATGGAGGACAATATGTTCCCTTTCTTGTTCTTTTTGCTTTCTGATAGGGTCTTGCTATATTTCCCAGGCTTTTATAGAGCAGTGGTGTCATCATAGCTCACTGCATTCTTGAACTCCTGGGCTCAAGGGTCCTCCTGCCTCAGTGTCTCTGTAGCCGGGACTACAGGTGTGCGCCACTATGCCCTGTAAATTTTTTTAAAATATTTTAATAGAGACCAGGTCTTGTGATGTTGCCCATGCTGGTCTCAAATTTCTGTCCTCAAGTGATACCCCTGCCTTGGCTTCCCAAAGTGCTAGGATTACAGGGATGAGCCACCATGTCCGGACTTTAAAAACATTGTTTTCCAATACGTCATGACTATTTTGACTATTTGATTGGTTTTAAAATATCTAGTTCATTTTCATGTTGTTCCAGATGAATTCACTTTTATATTGTATCAGTTGATGCCATTTCAAACTTGAAAGGTAAAAGTAGTCACTGTTCTTCAAACCAAAATGACTACTAAGAGGTGTGCGTGTGTATGTCAGGGGAGGTGGAGGGAAATTGTGGATATGAATGAAAATAATGAGTGTAACTTTGATCACACAGATAATACATCTACAGCCTTTACTAAAGCTGCCTTTACAGTTTCTGGCTTCAGAGATGTGGTAAGTGCCTCTTGAAAGGTTGATATATTACTTTTAACAACATAAAAATGATATTTGCCTTTTTTAGAGTCTCTTTTTTGTTCACTCAGATTTAAATGTATCATCTAACAGTCTTCTCTTTGTGCCCATGTTCTTCCATGAGACACTTAGAATGTCTAAAAAGATGAGTTTGGTATTGTTCTAGCCTTCCCTTTGTTTTTAAGGGGGACTTTGAGTCTATCAAGAGTGTGTGTGTCAGCTAAGATTGTATAGCTGGCTGGTGCAGGAGCTGGAATTTAATGTTGTTTTTTTCTGGCCTCTCAGTACATCACATTGTCACTTAAGTGAGATGGCAAGCATTTCAGGTGCTCTTACATATATCTGCAAGCATGGATAACATTTAATGCCAGCTCTCATAATTATGCATCACTTGTTGAATTATTTATTGTACATACCCTACTATAAATTGTAAACTCCTCAAGGGCAGGATTTTTGTCTGTTTTATGCATTGCTTTTTTTTGTGGTATGTAGAACTCTGTCTGGAAGGTGATAGGCACTCAACAAATATTTATTGAATGAATGAGTGAATCAAAATAGAATGAACTAGGAATAGATTAATGGCTGCTCACTTTGCAGGATTTCAGGGAAATAATTGGTCAGCTTTAACAACACATCCCCCTCTAACTAGCTGATCTAAACTGAAAAATTAGACACTGGCTTCCTGTTTAATTTCCCGTACTCGTGGGAGTGATAATACATTAAGCTCACTTAGGTCAGTGATTTGACAACTTAGAGTGAATGATTTCAACAACCCCTTTCCTAGGAGCACTTTTTGTTGGGGGCAGGGAGGACGGGTGGAGTGCTACTAAGTTGAAGAAAAGTACAGATGGAAAGGGGCAGGAAAAAAGAAAGACAAGGAGATGCAAAGACAAACTTTGAGCGTATCATGATTTTGAGCAGGACAACTTTGCTGGTATGTGGGTTAAGAAATACTTTGGAATAAATGGCATGGTCTGATCTGTCAAACTTGTTCATGGTCCTGTGGTCCCAAGAATCTGTACCATGTAATTTGTAACTCCAGATAGTCAAGACTTGAATTTGGTAACTCTTGTAATTCTTGGTATTGTGTATGGATGCTCATGTACAGTTTCAGGAGAGTAAGCTGTTGTTCCCATCTTATGTGTGGCTTATTATATCATGAGTTATTACTGTTTGTCAGTTATTCCTGGGTAACGCTGTTAAGAAAATGCTGGCACTTCAAGGGGTTTGAGGAAATGTTGAGGATCAGATTTATTTAATATGTGCAAAATTCTAGATTAGGTAGAAAGTTGTTGAAATCATGGATCTAAAGTGAAAAATTGAGCTTTTTAGAGCACCTATTAGAGATCAGACAATTTCTAGTGTAGAGCCTGACACATAAGAGTTACGTAATAAATATTTGGTGTGTGGGATGAGAGGGAAGGAGAGAGGAGGAATGTTGTGAGCAGCTACTCATTGAAGTTGTGAATGCAGCCAAGCTGATGGTTCCATAGATTGTTTTTCTCTATGTTGAGGCTTTAAATGGTATCCTTAATTTACTGCTACCTTTCAGATGAATGCAACTGGACATCAAGTAGACTAGGGGAAGAAGAGTACATCTGTTTTCCCTAGAGAACAGGGACCCCCCGCCCCGGGCCATGGAACTGGTACCTGTCCATAGCCCATTGGGAACTGGGCCACAGAGCAGGAGGTGAGCAGCAGGCTAACAAACATTAAGGCCTGAGCTCCTGTCAGATCAGCGGCGGCATTAGACTCTCATAGGAGTGCTAACTCTATTGTGAACTGTGCGTTTGAGGGATCTAGGTTGCCTGCTTCCATGAGAATCTAATGCCTGATGATCTGAGGTGGAACAGGTGCATCCCAACACCATCGCCCTCCCATCCCCAGGTCTGTGGGAAAAATTGTGTTCCATGAAACCGGTGCCTGATGCCAAAATGGTTGGGGACCGCTGACATACAAGAAGAGTAATTCAAAAAACAGAAATAGCAATACAAAGTTGCAGTCTGAATTTGTGCATGCTATTTTACCTCTTGGTGCCTCAATTTCCTTATCTGTAAAATAGGGTTACTAATGTATATTTCATTGGGTTTTTTGGGTAGGAGTAAATGAGGTAATTGGTAAAAAGGAGTTTAGATACAGCATCTACTGAAATATCAGCCAGTAGAAGTATTTTGCGGTCAATTTGTTTTGTATGTGCCCAGAGGGAAGGGAAATATGCTTACCAATTTTGTTCATTGTTACCGTCTGTATAGAATTTTGACTATTTGATTGGTTTTAAAATATCTAGTTCATTTTCATGTTGTTCCAGATGAATTCGCTTTTATATTGTATCAGGTGAGGCCATTTCACACTTGAAAGGTAAAAGTAGTCACTGTTCTTCAAACCAAAATGACTACTAAGAGGTGTGCGTGTGTGTTTGTGTGTGTGTATGTCAGGGGAGGTGGAGGGAAAATGTGGATACAAATGAAAATATGAGTGTAACTTTGATCATACAGATAATATATCTACAGCCTTTACTAAAGCTGCCTTTACATAGTTTCTGGCTTCAGAGATGTAGTAAATATCCACTGGAATGTTAGCTCTTAAAGCTGGTGGTCATATTTATATAGGTTGGGTATCCCTTATCTGAAGTGCTTTTGACAGAAGTGTTTTGGGTTTGGGATAATTTTGGATTTTGGAATATCTGCATTATACTTATAAGTTGAGCATCCCAAATATGAAATGCTGCAGTGAGCATTTCTTTGGAGTGTCATGTTGGTGTTCAAAAACTGTTTGGATTTTGGAGCATTTTGGATTTTCGATTTTCAGATTTGTGTTCCTCAATCTCTGTGGTTTAAGGCTGAGAGAATAGATCTAATCAGCAGTCAGTAGAGCTCATTAGTAGAGGAGAGAGGAGAGTTTTCTTTTAAGAAGGCTATGGGGTCTTGTGAAGAGACGAGATAGCTTGTATTTAATTCACCTGACAGTCATTAGCTAGTAAAAATGAAAGAGAGTCTGGGAACTGGAACAGAGAGCTGGAAATTCAGCTCCTTCCAGGCAGATCTGCCTTGAAATTCCGGGGAAATCAGAACAGGAACCTCTTCATTTCTTCATTTCCCTTCACTGCGTAGTAGTTTATTTTGTGCTTTTGGTAAAATGATTCAAGGTCCAGGAGACATCCTGAGGTGATGCAGTGTAGGAAAGCATTTCAGAAAGGTAAGATGGAAGACAGATCTGGGCACAGCAATGTGAATTGGACATTTCGTTCATCCTTTGGGCTTCCTAGAATTAGCTGTGATCCATAGGACTGTCCTGTCCATCCTGGTGTTCTCTCAGAATCAGGAGCAGCTCACTGTGCGAAAACCCATCTGAGGAAAACAAGAATGAGCTGATGGTCACTGTATCCCAAATTGACACACTAGTTAGGTAGCCCTTGGGTGTGAACTTCCTTAAAATATTTAAGGAAAGAGACTGCTGTTAACATACTCAGGGAACAATTATATGTTGTTTACCACATGACAAGAGAAGAAATAAACGTTAGACATATTTCTGGGAGCTTAGATAAGTTGAAATATGGAGGAATTAAATGCTATATGGTATGATAATATAAATCATTTGAAAGTTGAAAGTTTTGTTAGAGCTAAGAAAGGCCTTGAAACCATCCGATCTCAATCCTGTACCTTAAAAATTGGGAAACTGAAGCTGAAAGATGGGCAGTGATTTCTCCCAAAGTTTTGTTGCAAAATACAGGGCTTGTCTTGATATCGGAATACTTTCTATTCTAAGACATTTTTTTTGTCTTTAAGATAACCAGATATGTATCTGAGGGTAGAACATACCTCCTCTGTACTATACCTTTGAAGTTTTTGTTTATATATATGGTTTGTGCATACTTATGTAAGTGTTGCCCTCAAAATGGAAAAGATTCAATTAGGCAAGAATATCAGGTGTTGAAGTCATTTTATCCAAGAGCTATGAAGTCTCATATTAGTCAGTTGGGCATATCGTCTTCATGACCTTTTTGCTAGTGTTCCCATCTGTTGTATCATTGCTGATTGTGTCCATGTGAGACGGAAAAGGAGCATTGGACTCTTAGCCTAGGAACCATATAACAACTATAATTTAAAGCAGATGTTATTAACCTAGCATAAAAGATGTGAGAAGTCTGAAGTGTTAGAGCCAGAGAAAAGGTGAGATTAAACTCAAATCTTCTGAATCTAAAAGCCTTGTTCCTTCCAAAATAAAGATAAGCATATCCTTCTACTGGAAACTTTACAGACTGGCAAGAGTAAGAATAAAAAGAGCAGGTGATATATGATTGATTGTGCCATTATTGATAGTTACTGATCTGTTGCATAGTAATGGAGAGCTTGATTGGATGGTGATCCTCCCTGTGTGCCTCCTGAGTGTATTTGGAACATCATCCAGGAAGGCCTTTTAAAGAAGACAATACTTGGAGAAGGTTTTGAATGTTTGAAAAGAAGCATGGGCCAGGTGTAGTGGCTCATGTCCATAATCCCAGCACTTTGGGAAGCCGAGGATTATAGGAGTTTACCAGTCCTCCAGTGGGAGGATCCCTTGAGGCCAGGAGTTTGAGACCAGCCTGGGCAACGTAGCAAGACTTCGTCTCTACAGAAAAATGAAAACATAAGCCAGACATGGTGGTGTGCGCCTGTAGTCCCAGCTACTTAGGAGGCTGTGGCGAGAGGATCGCTTGAGCCCAGGAGTTGAAGGCTGCAGTAAGCTGTGATCGCACCACTGCACTCCAGCCTGGGTTACAAAGTGAGACCCATCTCAGAAGGAGAAGAAAAGAAATGTGGTTTCACTAGAGTTATGGAATCAGGTTAAAAGACAGTATTACCTTTAATGTAAATTGGTGGCACATCTCTGCATCTTAGCCTCAACTCAGAATATTATTGGTTTAAGAGTCAGAGAGCTTAGGGGTAAAAGGCTCTAAAAGCCTCTGAATTTCAGGAGGTTGGTACTTTCAGCGGTCTGTCTCCATCTCTCAGCACTACTTCCTCTATGGGCTTCTTGTGGTTCAGAGACAAAGACGATGACTGTTCTGCCTGCTCAGCAGTCCTGGGAGAGAGCAAGGCTCATCGTTTCTGTGTCCAACAACAATCTTGCAGCTTCCACTTTACAGTCCTCCTTTGGTTATGTGGCTATTCTTGACTGATTGACTGGATATATGTATAGTCATCCCACTATACCCTTTAGTGGGGCGACTCTCATGGCCCTCTCAGCATTCCCGAAACTGCTGGGACCCTGAGGCAGGTGGGGTTAATTCTTCAAAAGAGACTTCAGCTACTGTTACCAAAGAGTGAATAAAAGGGCTGAGGTGGCAAAAACAATAATGGGTTTTTGAATATATGTTACTAGGCTAGGCACAGTGGCTCATAATTCCAGCACTTTGGGAGGCCAAGGAGGAAGGATTACTTGAGCCCAGGACTTTGAGGCCAGCCTGGGCAACACAGTAAGACCTTTTAAACAAAAATTAGCCAGGTATAGTGGTGTGTACCTGTGGTACCAGCTACTTAGGAGGCTGAGGTAGGAGGATCGCTTGAGCCTGTGATGTACAGTCTACAGTGAGCCGTGATCATATTACTGCACTTTAGCCTGGGCAATAGTGAGACCCTGTCTTCCTGTCTCTCTGTCTCTGTCTCTGTCTGTCTGTCTCTCTCCCTCTCTCTCTCTGTATATATATAATCCCAGTATGTTTTTATTTCTTTCTACAGATAGGGGAAGGTGATCTATTTGAAAGTCTAATGCAGAATAAAGTAGTAGTAGTTATCCCCTGGCAGAGTAAAAAGATAAGCAAAACTTGGGACGTCAACTTACAGCAAGAGCTGTATGGAAGAGAACAGTGTGGTGTGTAGAGAGAAATCATAAAGCTGGCTGCTTTGGGCCCCAAGAAAGTCTCGCTTGTGATGGTTGTATACATGGCCGTGTGGAGCTTCAGATATAAGAAAAGAATTAAGAGATATGTATTAATAAGGCTGGGCATGGTGCATGTGCCTGTTGTCCCAGCTACTTGGGAGGCTGAGTCAGGAGGATCGCTTGAGCCCAGAAGTTTGAGGTTACGATGAGCTATGATTGTACCATTGCACCCCAGCCTGGGCAATAGAGTGAGACATTTTTTCCATCAGCTCAGTGTATTAAATTGGTTTTCTAAGTTAAAGGTTCACAACTTCATTATCGTTACTATGCAGAATTGCACTTGGTCCTGAAATCTGTCTGAATTTCTGAATAATAGTTTCTTGTCCTCAACTTGTGTGGTCTCAGGTTTTAAAACAAACTAAGGTTGTTACTGCCAATTTCTAACCACTGTTGCATTTGTAGTAATTGAGTGCCAGTGGTTGGAGGTTTAGAGAAGGTTTAAGATTAACTGATTCCAAAAATATCTGTGTGTGTGTTTGTGTGTGTTTCCATGTTGTCTGTGTGAATATGTTAGAATAGGAATAGCATATGTTTTGATTAGGCATTTTTCTTTGTTCAACATACACTTTGGAAAACCTAGAGAATTTCAGTGGGATTATAGTATATAATGACTATATTCTGATAAAATCGTGGAGTCTTAACATTTCGGGTAACAGATTATCTGCTATTTACTGGTATGTTGATTCGTGGACAGATGCTTCTCTGTCTTCAGGTAGGCTCCCCAGGTACACTTTCTTGCAGTCCCTTCTACCAGGTAGACATGCAAGAATTAACAATAAATGCCACACATGTGTGTTTTCTCTTTTTTCTGCTTGTGAGAGGTGTTTAAACTTTGTGGAAATTTATTAGAAAAGATCCATTGTTTGGTAGTTCTGATAGCATCAACTCGCCCTTTATCTTTCATGATGCATTGAGACTTCCATTACTTTGTAGCGCCTGACTGCTAGAATTGTTCCCAGAGTTCAGGGGCTTCCAAATGACAATGGGCTGTACCGGGCTTTGTGGCCTTAATAAGCCCTCTGTTACTGGAATTTTAAATATTGGCATACCTATCAGAGTCTGGCCGTGTGTCAGGAGAATGTTGGCTTTAGAGCCACCACTGATGGATCACATGTTTTTTTCTCAAGAGAGCAAACAAGCACTTTTTGTTTAGGCTTACTAATGTTTGGCAAAGAAATATAGCTGTAATTATATATCCTCGTTCTTGTTACTCTCTCCCCATCTAAATTTTACTCTCCCTACCCCTAACTTTATATAAAAGCAACTAGGGTTGGATCTGAAATAAATGTCATGAATGAATAATAATTTCTTTCATTTACACAGTAATTCAACCTGTTGAATGCTGACTTAATGCTTTACTACACTCTAATTTGACTGGAAGATTTGGCCTTCGTGAATGCAAAGAAGAGGTAAAAAATAGAAATTAAATACCGACTGACTATGAAGGAGGACATTTTTCAGAAGGGTTCTCCCTCCTTCTATTTCTCATCTTCTTGTGTTTGCCCCCTGCTTTCTGTGATACTTAATACTTAGGAGTTGTTCCACAAATCATTCTTTACTTTGTGTACCCAGCAGTATCCCAGCAGCAGGATTCTCCAGGGACAAGGCCTAGGTCTGCCACTGAGGGTAGTCTGCTTCCTTCATCAGAATTGCCGCTGCTGGCCTTCTGGACCATTAGAGTTCTTTCTGGTTGTTATCCACTTTTCATTCCTTCTCAACCCATAGAATTCCAGGTGGTGAGTCAGTTTTTCTGTATGATCATGCTTGACACCCCAAAATCTACCTGAAAGTTTGACAGATGCATGGAAGCCAGGAGCATTTTAGGAAGCTGTACTGCTCTTCTGAGATTTTCTGCCTACTTACTGTCTGAGCATTCAACCTGTCTCTCTCAAATTTTCTCTTTCTCTAAGGTGGGTCCAGTAATGCGAGTCGGCAGCCCACTTTGCTGTTCTTGGAAGCGAAGTACTTTCCAATAGAAGTCAGTTTTAATCTTCTTTCACCGTGAGGAATGAATGACCATTTTAATAAATAATTCATTCCTACAGTTCACTCCGTAAGGAGCTTCTAAGCTCCCTCCATGATGGTTTCTGATCCTGCC
Organism: Homo sapiens; assembly: GCF_000001405.40. Taxonomy (NCBI): domain Eukaryota; kingdom Metazoa; phylum Chordata; class Mammalia; order Primates; family Hominidae; genus Homo; species Homo sapiens. The sequence continues at coordinate 69,996,126 of NC_000007.14, forward strand.
AGGGTACTGCTATTTTATCTGTCAAATGTGGGTTGTTAGAGGTACTGTGTCATAAGAGGCAGTGCAGTTCGGAACCCTGGAACCCCCTTCATAAATTTGCAAAACACAGTGCATGGGGCCTGCTATGGCAAGGTATGCTACATGGAGCCTCAGCTGTCTGCTCCCTCTCTTCTGTCAGCACAGCTAGCAGTCAGAGACAAATGGCTAACCCTCTTTGAGTCTCTTGGAGTAAAGCCTGGTTGTGTTCTGCGTGGATTGCATCCTGTGCAGATTGTGGATAGCAAGGGCTTCCTTGCAGGCCTGTTGGGAGCATTGATTGAGATCATGGGTGTAGAAAGCCTGGACTATAGCCAGAGTCAATAATTATTAGTTCTTTATCTTGAGACAAAGGGAAGTGTTAAAATATTTTTATATCAAGGAATCTCCTACAAACACTGTCCTCCCCACTGCCCACTGCCAGTATTTACATGAATTAATTTTCTCCTTATCTTCTTACTCTCGCCCACCCGCTTCCCTTTCCTTCCGTTCCAAAGTTATACTACACTTATTCAGGATAGAAATTTCCTTTATAAAAAGTTGTAAAAACTTCAAAGTGCCTGTTGTAGTATATATCTTTAATAAATACTCCCCTGCTATATTTGTTAAACTATAATTATGAGCATACATTTCATAAAAATAAAGCCCATTTACTCATAAACTGTATGTTTACATGAAAAAATACACATTTTATAACCCACTCCAGACCTACTAAATCTGGGCGTTAGAATCTCAATCTTGGGTTTTCCAACCTGGCTCCTTTTTCGAAATAACCTGGAACACTTAAAAAAAAAAAAAAAAAAGCAAACTCCAGGCTCAATCCCAGATGATTTACATCAGCATATTTTCAGGGTTGGCCCTGGGCATCATTTGTTTAAGCTTCTCTGGTGATTATAAATGTGCAGCCAGGGTTGAGATTTAACGGTCTATCCTAAGTGCTTCTTAAGGTCTGAAACTATAACTATTAAGTGAGCTGGCTTAATTTATTTAATCTTTGCAGCAACCTTATGAGGCACAGCTGGCATTATCCCTATTTTCAGATGAGAAATTATAGAGGCTTGGAGAAGTGTGAGGTAATAATACCAAGAATGAGAGTTACTTGTTCTCCTATGTCTTATAATCAAATAGTATATATAGTATTAACATCTACTTGGGGATGCAATACCTTTTCACGTGATGGTCACAATCTATGTATTACACATTGGTTTTGGCATGAAATTAAACTGACCATCTCAATATGCCTTGGAACCAAGTGTTTGTGTGCTGAATCCTTTTGAAATATAGACACCTGGTGTGTTAGTCCATTTGTGTTCCTATAAACGAATACCTGAGACTGGGTAATTTATAAAGAAAGGAAGTTTATTTGGCTCACAGTTCTGCATGCTATACAAGCATAGCACCAGCATCTGCTTGCCTTCTCGTGAAGGCCTCAGGAAGTGTTTACTAATGGCAGAAGGGAAGGGGGATCCAATGTGTCAGAAGGAGCAAGAGAGATGCCAGGCTCTTTTAAACAACCAGCTCTCACGTGTGAACTCACAGAGGGATAACTCACTCATTCCCCCTGGAGAACACCAAGCCATTCATGAAGGGCCCACCCCCATGGCCCAAACACCTCCCTATGCCCAGCTTCAACATTGGTTGTCATATTTCAACATGAGATTTGGAGAGGACAAAACATCCAAATCGTATTACCTGCAGGTTGACATTATAAATTCATTTTGTTAAACTCAGTGGAAATGAGAATCAGGTTGAAACTCGGGGTTTATTACTGACTTATAAACCCAGGTGTGCTTTGAATGCATTGGAAAGCAGGAGCAATTTAACATTCTGTGATTTTTAGAGGTTTGGCAGTGAAACCCTTTGGTATTTATTTAATAAATCCTGCCTTCACAGTCATGGATTCTTTTTGAATACACCCAATTTCTCCTGCTTCCCAACTCTTTTTTCAAGTGACTTTGTTACCAGGTACCGTTGTTGCAGAGGAGTGATTTGATTATTCTTTCTCTGTAGAAATGGTGATGATGTGGGGCAAATCTACCTCAAACTGTAAACTATACTCACTTTTTCCACAGATGGGGTCTTGTTATGTTGCCTAGGCTAGACTTGAATTCCTGGACCCGGGTGACCCTCCTGCCTCAGCCTCCCAAGTAGCTGGGACTACAGGCACATGCCACCACACACCCAGCTATATTCACATTAAAAAAAAAAAATCATCTGTAATTCTAAGAGCTCCCTGTGTGGAGCCTTCCAAGTGGCCCACCTGTGTGGGAAAGCTGCCCTGCAATATGGGCCCAAAAATTTTCCTTGGTTTTCATGTATCTGAGCAAGTTGCTTAAAGGTGCCTGGTTCTGTGTGTTTGAGATTATTTATTCCATTTTTACTAATAGTTTAGAGAACCATGATTGTGCATACATGCACCTGTTTGTTTAGTAAATATTTATTGAGCTCCTAACATATGTCATGCATTGTTGTAAGTAGTATTGAAGTTACAGCATCCAAACCAAATAGACAAAATCTCTGCATTCGTGAAGCTTTATTTAATGGGGAATATAGAAAAAAGTATAAACACATAAATCTTAAAAGTATTTTGGAAGGTGAGGGATACTATTTAGAAAAAGAAAACATGTAAAGAAGAAATCCCCCTTACCATATTTGGGGAATGGTAAAATTTTTAATAAGGTGGTTAGGGTAGACCTCACTGAGAAGATGACGTTAAGCAAATGGTTGCTGGAGGTAAGGGTGTAAGCTATGTGGATGTCTAGGAAGAACACTGCAGACAGAAAGCACTGCCAGTGTCAAGTTCCTGGAGTGTTTGAGGCTTTAGCGAGGAGGTCTGAGTGCTATGTGATATGTTTACTACCTACCTATAAGAGTTTTATGGATTTGGAGAAGTTTTCTCTGCAATATGAATATATAGTCTCACAAATGAGGATAAAGTTTATAGCAAATTATCATGGATTTGATTATGTCATGGCACTTGAAGGAAAGAGAGGGTGGGCTGTGAAACTCCCTTAAAAATAACCCATTTTTGAACTCGACATAAATTTTCAGGGTCCTATAATTTTCTTATCAGGAGTGTCTCACACTGATTGCTAGGTGTAGAAAAATGTATGTTGCCTGAATCTGAAGGCATGGATTGTAGGCCTGGTTATACCACAGTTACTTGTGGGACTTTAGGAAACATGCTTCATCTGGTCCTGCTTCTGTTTCTGCTATCTTACAATGAAGATAATTTTCCCCCTACTTTTTAAACTTATTTGCAGTGAAGACTAGATAAAAAAGGATATGACTAACACATTAAATTCTGAAGTACCACATAAATATGACTTATTTTTGCAAAATTTAAGAGCACAGAATGTTGGTTATCAAAGAGTGTTTAAAATGACCTTTCTCTGTTTTTTGTAAGTGTTGTTTGAGAGCACAGTGATGACCACTTAATTCCTTTCCTGGAGCAAGACATGTTTCTTGTGGGTTTGATTTGTACATTATCACTGAAAAACTTCATCAGTGACAACAACAAAAAAGCCCAAAAGGAACCTAATGAAAATAGTAGTGAAGTTTTACACATTACATAGTTACCCCCCTGCCACACACACACACAAAGAACGAAAAAAAGAAAAGAACTTGGTGAAATATGGTACTTTATATTTTAAAAGGCCTAAATCTTGCTTGTGGAAGTGGGCTTTAGAAAGTTTGCAGCTTTTGAGTTATGGAGAGGTGGTGGAAGATGGATTATCTGGAACTGGATGGAAAGTTGTTCTACCAGGAGTGGCTCATAATGCACTTGGCAAACCGAAGTAGCTGTGGTGGATGTTTGAGGTGTGTGCACATGTGCATTTTGTGTATCCCTACACAGCTTAATTCGACTGGATGCAGTTTTCTGAATTCACCTGTTTCTTGCAGGTGAAAGTGCACACAAACATGCAAGATTCACATTGTGCTCAAAGTGTTCCTGCTATGTCAAGCACATTGAAACAAATTTATGTTTTCAAAGTAAGCTTTATAACAGAGCTGTCTGTACAGGGGATGATTCAGTCCGATACAGTCAGGGAACCGTACATAGAATAGAATGACTAGAGTATAATCTGCAAAGGATGGAATGGCAGAAGTAGTCAGAAGAGGTATGCAATGGTTGGATCAAAAAGAGCTTTGTATCCAGCGTCACAGGGCCTCAAATTGTACTGTAATCATATGTCTTTTACCTGTTCTCTGGCATTTAAATATTCTTGTAAAGAGCTAAGCCATTACTGATAAAATGTCTGTTGTGTACAGTTGTACAAATTAAATTCAGTCACAAAACTGAAAGAACAGCAGTGGGACATCTATCCTAGTGAAAGTTAGAATACACTTTTGTGGTCTTTAATAACAGAGTTGATTGTTTACCTTCTCCTTTGGTTAGAAGACTGGTATGGGGATTGTTTGGAATGAAGAGGTAGGAGAGAGAAATAATTCAATTCTGTATTCTCCCATCATCTTTATATTTGAACTGAGAAATGTGTGTTTCTATCATTCATTCAAATTATTAAACAAAAACAGAGATCAAAATAATAAGAACAGATGATTAAAGAGAGTCCCATCTGCCCCATATCCAACCTTTCTCTCTTCAACCTCATTTCTACTCAGATTAGCAGATGGCACCAGTTTTGGGCCATGGTCTCTCATTTTCTGATTACAAGGGGTTGTTCTTTTGCCCGCCTCCTTTAAAACAACAACAGAAAAATTGGTAATGACTGACTGTATGCCCATTGGCCGGGGCACCAATTCCTGAGGACTAGACAGAAGCTTGGCATTCAACCCAGCCTTCTGCCAGGATGGTTCTGCCTGGCAGCAAAAAGCCTGGTTGAATTAAGCTTGGGCTTTTAGATCCTAGAAGTCTTGTCTATTGGTGGCTGGAAAAATAGCTAGTACTAGCAGAGCCTAAAAATATCAGAGAAAAAAAAGCAGAGGCTCTTAGAAGTTGCTTTTCCTTTTTGTTTCTTTCTCAGACAGAGTCTCATTCTGTTACCCAGGCTGGAGTGCAGAGGTGTGATCTCAGCTCACTGCAGCCTTGACCTCTAGGGCTTAAGTGATCTTTCCACTTTAGTCTCTCGAGTACCTGGGACTACAGGTGTGTGCCACCACGCCTATCTAATTTTTGTAGTTTTAGTAGAGATGGGGAATCATCATGTTGTCCAGGCTGGTCTCGAACACGTGAGCTCAAGCGATTCTCCCTCCTTGGCCTCCCAAAATGCTGGGATTACAGGTGCGAGACACCACACGGCCAAGTTTTTTTCTGATAAAGACTATAAAGGGAAGGTAGGGAAAGGTGATTATTGCCAATGGTGGTTGGTATAGTGCTGAGTGATACAGAATGCAGGATTCATGAATTCTAATTTTGCATGTGACCTCTCTGTAAAGGAAAATGACCCTCTAACTAAATGGGAAAGTAAGGTTTCACAGATGAGATAGAAGTTCAAGGTGAAAGAACAGTCTATAAGGTAATACCTGCCTGTCTGCAGAGAATGGATTCAAGGCTCCTGATGCAATTGAATTATAGCCTCATTGTCATATTTTTTTTTTTTTTTTTTTGAGACTGAGTTTCACTCTGCCACCAGGCTGGAATGCAGTGGCCTGATCTCTGTTCACTGCAACCTCTGCCTTCCAGGCTGAAGTGATTCTCCTGCCTCAGCCTCCTGAGTAGCTGGGATTACAAGCACGCACCACCACGCCTGGCTAATTTTTGTATTTCAAGTACAGATGAGGTTTCACCGTATTGGTCAGGCTGGTCTCAAACTCCTGACCTCAGGTGATCTGCCTACCTTGGCCTCCCAAAGTGCTGAGATTACAGGCGTGAGCCACCACACCCGGCCTTCATTGTCATCTTTGAGTTAAATGCATTTTGGCTTTAATAAAAACAATATGAGTAAATTCTGAACCTATAATTTGAGTCCCAATAGTATTTCCTAACAAGTGATATAAGTAAACACTGAGAAAAGAGTATAGTGCTTACAGAATGACAGCATGAATTCAGCAATTCCTGTTTAGCAAGAGGTCTGGGCCAATAACTTGGGGATGTCATAGACAGAATGCATTTGGCTTTCAGCAAAATTTTTGGTCTGCTCTCCCATAATCTCTTTGTGAACAAGTAGAAAAATATAGGCGGGGTGGCATTATGATTATCAGTATTCATAATTAATTTTATAACTTTTTCCAGTGGTGATTAAATTTTATTTCACTCTAGAGATGACTTTCTAAGATTATCATAAATAATCTATCCTTGGCTCTATCTTATCCAGATTTTTGTCTTAGACTAGGATGAAGATACAATTTTAAATGGTACCAAAACTTCTTGGGTCATAAATATGGTAGATGGGAGGAACAGGACACATATAGATTTTAACTCTTTTGGCAGTGGCGAAAATAAGATTTGCTAGGACTAAAAGTGTGATTATGTTTGAAAATCCAACTGTGAAAATAGAGAATTGATAGAGATGAGACTTACGATTTTTAGACGACACTTACAGTGAGTCAGCAGCATGTAGTTAGCTGGCAATAAAGCTAATGGTATTTTCAAGTACCTTATAAAATATGTTTTATGTACCGGACTGTACTTTGTATTTGGGGAAGAGGGGATAGAAACATTGAAGGTAAGATTTGCCCAGAGTCACAGATACTGTTAATGTTCACATTCTTCACATTTTATTTGTACATCACTCTTAGTCTTTAAAATCAAAATACCTAAATAGCTGTGAAAATTCAGTGGATTAAAAGCTACTTTGGGAAAGACAGTAAAACTTTATTCAAATAGGGATTTTCATATAATGTTAATTTTTTGAAAAATCAACAATTTTAAGAAAAAAATAGGATATATGAAAAACTAGATAGTTAAGTTGAAGTTTGAGCATCTTTCAAAGAGTAGGGAAGTTTACATATTGCATATTATACATTTAAAAATCAGTTCCAGACATATTTTTGTTCATTCATATATATGAATATATTATATATGACTATATTATATATATTCATATATATTATATGAATATATTATATATGAATATATTATATATGAATATATTATATATGAATATATTATATATGAATATATTATATATGAATATATAATATATTATATATGTGAATATATATATTATATATGAATATATTATATATGAATATATATAACATATGAATATATAATATGTATGAATATGTTATATATGAATATATTATATATGTGAATATATATAACATATGAATATATATAATATATATGAATATGTTATATATGAATATGTTATATATGAATATATATAATATATATGAATATGTTATATATGAATATATATAATATATATGAATATGTTATATATGTATATATAATATATATGAATATGTTATATATGTATATATAATATATATGAATATGTTATATATGTATATATAATATATATGAATATGTTATATATGAATGTGTTATATATGAGTATCTATAATATATATGAATGTGTTATATATGAATATATATAATATATATGAATGTGTTATATATGAATATATATAATATATATGAATGTGTTATATATGAATATATATAATATATATGAATGTGTTATATATGAATATATATAATATATATGAATGTGTTATATATGAATATATATAATATATGAATGTGTTATATATGAATATATAATATATGAATGTGTTATATATGAATATATATATAATATATGAATGTGTTATATATGAATATATATATTATATATGAATGTGTTATATATGAATATATATATTATATATGAATGTGTTATATATGAATATATATATTATATATGAATGTGTTATATATGAATATATATATTATATATGAATGTGTTATATATGAATATATATATTATATATGAATGTGTTATATGTGAATATATATATTATATATGAATGTGTTATATGTGAATATATATAATATATATGAATGTGTTATATGTGAATATATATAATATATATGAATGTGTTATATGTGAATATATATAATATGAATGTGTTATATGTGAATATATATTATATATATGAATGTGTTATATGTGAATATATATTATATATATGAATGTGTTATATGTGAATATATTATATATATGAATGTGTTATATATGAATATATTATATGTGACTATATATTATATATATAATATATATATGAATATATATTCATATATATATTATGTATGAATATATATTCATATATATATTATATATATGAATATATATGTGAATATATAATATATTATATATATATATATATAAAATGCCATAAGCCATAGAGATTCAGAACTAATAAAAGGCAAGTTGCTTGCTCATTAAAAGCTAATAAACTAGAAGGAACTACAAAAAGTTTTAAGGTTAAGGGATGCAAAATTGATTAGCAAAGGCAGATCAGAAAGAGTTTCTGACTCATGCTTCATTGGTGAGAACAGCAAGGAAGAACTGGGAATGAGAATCATTGAGTTTTGGCCGACTTAGAGGCAGAGTGTTTTAAAACTGCTTTTTGGGGCCGGGTGCAGTAGTTCATGAGCTGGGGGAAAAAAAATTACTTCATTTTCCCACCTCAGTTTCAGTTTCCTCATCTATAAAATGAGATAACAACAGCGTGGAGTCTACACATGAATTAATGACTTTATTTATTTATTTATTTATTTATTTATTTAGAGACCGAGTTTCGCTCTCGTTGCCCAGGCTGGAGTGCAATGACATGGTCTCGGTTCACTGCAACTTCTGCCTCCCGGGTTTGAGTAATTCTCCTGCCTCAGCCTCCCAAGTAGCTGGGATTACAGGCACCTACCACCATGCCTGGCTAATTTTTGTATTTTTAGTAGAGATGGGATTTCACCATGTTGGCCAGGCTGGTCTCGAACTCCTGACCTCGGGTGATTCACTCGCCTCAGCTTCCCAAAGTGCCAGGATTAGAGGTGCGAGCCACCGCGTCTGACTTTGAAATATTTTTTTTTTAAGATTACACAGCTAAATGGAATTCTCTAGGAAGCACATCCAGCTGCTGAACCTGTGATATTTTTTTCTTATGGAACGTTGATTGAACAGCTTCCATGGGTGACCTGGTTTGGATTTCCGTAGGGCCTTGCTTATAATGCTGAATACACTGTTAGTTTTTACTTTTGTGTCACAAAAGTAAAGGTTCATAGTTAGATCTAAGCCCCTTGGGGGACAGGAACTGTGTTCTATTCATACTTTGAATTGCTAGTGTCTGGCATGTAGTAGTGATTAATATATTTTTTAAAATGAATGTCAAGTATTATGACAGGCACTGGTACAGAAAGATCAAGAAGAAATGACCTCTTCCCTTGTGAGAGGCTCACTATTGTGATAGACCAACCTCTGAACAGAGGAATTACCATCTAGGGGGCTGTTATAACAGGCATGTGCTGTTCGAGTTCAGGGGAAAGATGCACTTGCTCAAAGAGGGAAGTTTGGGAGGTGTACGGGAAGGAGGAACCCACCTGGATCTTAAAGGCTGAGCTGGCTGCTGAAGAAGAGAGGGGCACTTGGGCCTGGTCACCAGCTGTGCAAAATCAACAAGGGCAAGGAAGTGGCTGATGAAGCCTGAAACAGGGAGATTCCCAAATGTGATCTGTGACCTCAAAATTGAAAATTTTAGTTAGTGTAATTTTAGTATATTTTATGTGCATGTTCCAAAGTTTTTTGAAAATTGGTTTTATATGTTTAGCATATGGGGCAATTCTAAATTAGTATATTTGATTAACGTTGTATGCTAGTCCTTTGAAATTCTGCAGTTGGATTGTGTATATATTGTGTATAATGTTACCTCTTTTCCGACTTCATGAACCTAACATTTAAAGTGGAAACAAATGCACGCATGTGTTAGTGTTTAGTGCAGCAAGAAAGCACGGCCCACCACTTCCAAGAAGTGAGTCGTTGCATAGGGTGCCCCGTCCTCAGAACATTGCTCATTGTTCATTTTTTATTCCTCAGCTCCTTAGTTCTACTCAAAGTCTAATATTAGTTTAACTACCAAATGGCAGAAACCAGAGTACGTTGTACATTTTTCTTGAAGGATACAACTGGAAAAAATTTTGCAGAGGCTCATGTGATGCTATTTTCCTTCCGTGGTGACACTTAGAATTCGTTTCACATTGCCTTTGAGAGAAACGAGGAGGGGGGAGAAGCCTGTATTTGATAGTTTTGTATGTTCCTCTAAAGAAAGAGAGTGCTTGAAAAAAGAAAGGCAGGCTTTCAGATGTTGTCTGAACAAAGCTACGGAAATGTGAGACGAGAGCAGCATCTGGAGATTTTCAAACACTGGAACATGGGCTGCACGTTTCTTTTGCTGTTGGAGGAGTGAAAAGCTGTTTCCTGTCATTTCCCATCTTGTCACTTCCAGAACCAACATCTTGCTACTTCTTGCACCAGCTGCTGCTGCTGTTGTTTTTTTTACCCCCTCCACAGACAGATGGTAAAAGAGCTTTGATAATCCTCGCCCAACTTCCCCAGTTCTAAAGAAGTTTGCGGTGTGGTACCTTTATACAATGATCACATGCCCTGATACCTACTGTAGCCTGTTAATAGAGTTGGGAACAGAGCAGAAGGATGTGCTGCAGACTTTTAATGTCTATGGCATTCTTTGTCATGTCTCATGGGAAATGCTGTGCACAAGCCCCATCTCTGTGGATGCTTCGATTTAGCTTCTGAGGTTATATTTAGAAAAGAGGAAGTTGTGGGGAGTACCTTTGCTTCCATAAGAATTTGAGATTTCTGATCAAGATTTCTCTGTACATTGAATCCAGGATGGGAGTTGCTCTTGATATTCTTGTTCGTATCCCTAGGTTTTCGCAAAGCAGAATTAGGCATATTGGATATACCATCTTTTCACAGGGCTGTTTATCCTTAATTACTTTTTTTACACCTATTTCTTCCAATATTTTTCTTGCATTACCTAGTGCAAACAGGAACTTAGAAGTTAATGCAGAAAATGCCGTATGCATAGGAAAGATATTTGATGCAGACAACCTTGGTTTTGTTTTAAGTTTTATTACCTTTATTATTACAAACTAAAAATGATAACCTCAATGAGGGAGCTTAGCCTTTCTGTCCCCCCCTAAATCATGGTTGCTTTCCTAAGTATAAAAGTAACATACTCATTGTAGAAAACTTTGAAAGTAGAAAATCTATTACAGAAAATACAAAGTCATCCATAATTCCTTAATAACCACTCTTACATTTGGTATATTTCCTTGTAGCTTTTTTTTAGAGTTATGTGTGCCTGTATTTCTCTTGTATACTTATAAACTTACATTAATATTGTGGCCATTTTCCAGAATGGATCTGGTGGTAGTAGTAGTGGTGATGATAATGGCATAACCTAAAATTTATTGAACATTTATTATGTGATAGTCACTATGGTACGTGCTTTACATATATTACACATTTCATTTCTCACATCAGTTCTATAAAGTAAGGATTATTTATTTTTATTTTAGACATGAGAAAAGTGAGGCTGAGAAACATCAAGTAATTTTCCCAAGGTCACACAGTGCGCAATAGGTGAAGCTGGGATTTGAACCCAGATAGTCTGTCTTCAAAGCTCATGCTGTTTGTCATTTGCTCATCTATGTTTAAAAGGTCTGAATATTTTTTAAATTATTGATACATATAGCCTAAGATTTTCTATTTATTCAGACTTTTCAGTCATGAGAGTACTTACTGCGCTCTCACCATCTTCACATATCATCAAATATGTTTTACCTTTATAGGTGTTTGGGGTGAATGATTGCTCAGTTTTTACATTGGCCTTTCTTGATTACTAGATTGATTGGGCATTTTCCATGTGTTATTGATCATTTTTATTTAATCTATAAATTGTTTATGTTCTGTGTGGCTGCTTTTGTTCAACAGTTAATTTTTTTGTATACAAAATCATCATGTGTTAAGTATATTAACTCTATGTTGTGTTTGTTTAAAACATGTCTCCTTCTGTTAACTTGCTTCCTTATATTTGAAGAAAATTGTATGAATGTTTTAAATATGTACATATTCATATTTTTTCTTTATAATTCTCTCCCACAAATCAGTTATTTAGCCTATGTTTTCCTTTATTTTATGGTTTTTACTATTTATAACAATTTTTAAAATCAAATCTGAAATTTATTTTAATATATAGCATGCTATGAGACTTTGAATTTATTTTATTGATGGGTAATACTTTTTGTTTTTGTTTTGCTACTTCCTTTAAAAAATATTATGCATTATATATTCCACTCTTCTGTGGTGGCATTCTTTATTATATATTTGTTTATTTTGTCTACCAGCGTCTCTTCAAGCAATCTTTCTGTGTCAGTGGCCTGTGTATGGGTATGCCTACAGACATTTTATGGATAGTAAATTTGTAAAATGTGCAAGAAGTTTTTTGTCTTAAAAGCACCCAGACTCAGCATCAGAAGGCCCATATCCAAACCTCAGTATAACCTCATGATTGACTTGTGACATGACCGCATGTAGGCTTAAATGCTGTCAGGAAAATTAAAGGAAGTAAAACGTGAATTGAGAAATTTGGAGATTTCTGAAAATTTTGAAAATTGAGATTTTGCTGTTAATATCACAGCCGTATCACTAAAATTTCCACAATCCTTTGAATTTGTGAAATCTATATAAACATGATTTAAAGTACTTATGATATTGTCCTTTTTTTCATATTACCCAAAGTATGGAATTTGTGGCAAATAAATAACCAGGTATATATGGCCCATATAGATATGGTTTTTATCCTGCACTTCTTTTGAGATAGCTGGGGGCTTTACTAGAGAGAAGAAATAAAACAAGATAACTTTGGCAAGTATAGATGAAGTTTGAGAGGTGTCTTATTTCATTTTGTGTTGCTATAAAAGAATACCTGAGAGTGGCTCATGGTTTTGGAGGCTGGAAATTATAAGAGTATGGTGCTGGCATCTGGTGGGGGCTTTTTTGCTGCTTCATTCCATGGGAGAAGGTGGAAAAGCAAGAGAGCATGAGAGCAAGAGGAAGCAGAACTCACTTTAATAACAACCCACTCTCGCAATAACCAACCCAACTCCAGTGTGAATGACGTTAATTCACTCATGAAGGCAGTGACCCCACGATCTAATCACCTCCTGTTTGGCCCTACTTCCCAATAGTGTTGCATTGGGGATTCAGTTTCCAACACACAAACTTTGGGGACATGGTTAAACCATAGTAAGAGGGAAGTTTAACATTTGTTTAACGTTGGTATCGAAAGGAACTATTTACGTTGCAGCCCCGAAAAGACTACAAATAATATTGGTTAAAATAGAAGTGGGCTGTATTCTTTTGCCATTGCAGCAAGCCTTAGTAGTGACCTAGATTCAAAATGTTACTTTGATTTTATTTAAAGCACTGAAGTATTGCATTTTTCCTCGTGGTTTTATGCACCTACTAAGTGCAGCTACCAATGACAAAGATCTTCTATAATAAAAATGATGTTTCCTTATTTTTGGGTCTTTTTTCAATCTGAAAAATGTTTCTTTAATCGGATTCTCATAATAACCCTATGCAGCCATATAATCTATGGTATTATTATCTCCACTTTGTATATCAGGAAAATGAGACTCATGCTAAAATACTTGCCCAAGGTCATATGACTTGAAATGGTGGGACTAGCCTCTGGCTTAGCTCTAGTGAGACCTAAAATAATACTCTTTTGGTTTGGTGAGTTCCATCCTTTCTTTTTTTAAAGAATTTGCATATCTACCTTATCCACTTTTAAAATGTTTAAAGAATTTATTTCAGGTGCCTGTCCAGAGTGACACATGTCAAAATGTTTTTTAAACAGATAAGTACTATTCAAATACAAGGCTTTATCTTTCTTACTGCCTGGGGTAAGATACCTGTCTTCCCTGTCCCAAGTTATATGATGCTTATTTAAAAAGTTACCTGTGAGCCTTGCTTATTAAAGTATGCCTCAGCTATGTCATGAGGATATTTTTTTTTAATTAATTTTTTTTGAGACAGGGTCTCATTCTGTTGCCCAAACTGGAGTGCAGTAGTGTGGTCACAGCTCACTGCAGCCCTGACCTCCTGGGCTCAAGTGATCCTCCCACCTCAGCCTCCCAAGTGGCTAGTACTACAGTCGTGTGCCACCACATCCAGATAACTTTCTATTTTTGGTAGAGACTGGGGTCTCACTCTTTTGTCCAAGTTGATCTCAAACTCCTGGTCTTAAGCAATCCTCCTGCTTCGGCCTCCCAAAGTGCTGGGATTGTCAGCATAAGGCACTACGCCTGGCTGAGGACATTTTTAAAGGTGTATACTTCACCATATTCTCTTTTCCTCTACATGAAGTTTAGCAATGTTCAAGATGGTGGCCACTCCATCCCCCTTGATGACTGAGTGACTGTGATGAGCCGAGCACCTGCTGACTCACAACAGCCATAGAGACATAAGAGTGTGAACAAGAAATAAGCCTTTGTTATTTTTAGCCATGGAGATTTTGCAGTTGATACTACAGCATTATGTAGCCTATCCTGAATGAGGTAGGATCATAATAATATGTTTGTTATGCATCACACAAGTTTTTGGGTTGTTTCAATCTAAAGATCTGAAATTATACCCAAACTAGATATTCTCCAGTATCACCAAACAGGATCTATCCATTCTACAGTGCTCACCAGATTGCTTCTGTCATACTTCACCTGGACATCTGTGGATTCTGGATATTAGAAATTGGAAGGAAAAGCTTGTAAGGGGATCTCAGTGCCCAGGGTCAAAGCTTCATTGTTGGGCAGCCAAGGAAGAGATTTGCTTGACTTACTTGAGTAATTTTTGACACATACTTGATTTGGTCATCAGGCATAAAGGATGGCCAGATTACTAGTAACTTATTGGAGATACACTTTTAAAATAGGAGTTAAGGCTACTTATGTGTTGATCTGAAATTAAGAAAAGGGCAAGATTTCTCCCTGTGGCCTGATTTTCAACCATGACTAAATAAAGCCTGAGGGGAGCCACTGAGGATGGAAAAGGTCACTCAGTCTTTTTTGCTGATGAAAAAATCGAGTTGTCTAGCTCTGGATTGACATCCAGCACTGACATGCTTTAGGAAACAAATCTTTTGATGGCAAAACTCTCACTAGCCTCACCTCTCCTCTCCTTTCCTCTCTCCTCTCCTCTCCTCTCCTCTCCTCTCCTCTCCTCTCCTCTCCTCTCCCTCATTTTTCCCTTTTCTACTCTCCCACTTCTACCCTCATTTACTTATTTCTCAATTTAGCTCATCAGGGCTTTTTGTTACAAAAAAATGGTGTGTAAGTTACTTAGCTGTAACTTGGAAACTGTTTTCCCATGAATAGATGACAGAATTACTACATGCCAAATTATCCCAGAATAGGTGGCTTAACCAATTGTATAATTAAGTTACTTTAATAATTACCAAGAGGGTCCTGAGCCCCATGGAAACCTTCACTGCTTGGAGGATGTATAAATGGAAGGTGGGCAGCATGAGTCTTTTGGACTGGTGGCCGGAACAAGCAGTTCTTAGCTTTTTTTAAAATCATCTTTCATATTTCAGAGCAATTCTTTGCATAATCCAGATTGCTTCTGTCATCCTTCACTTGATCATCTGTGGATTCTGAGCTTCAGGGTGGCCATGCGACCTTTCAGCCCTTGCTGTGGAAGGTGGAGCTCCTACCATCTCTGCCTGTGTTGGGGCTAGACGAAGTTTCCCTCTGACTGCCTCAATCTTTTCACTGTCATGTGTCCTGGGAGCCTCCTACACAGTGGAGAGGAGGGAGTATGAGTCTCAGGAACCATTGAGTTTTTTCACTGTGAGGTGGGACAGGCCTAAATTTCTCCCCTTAGGCCTGCCATTCACTGAGGGTGTGCAGTCATCATGCTAAGTTCTCTTTCTTGCTCCATTTTCATCTTCACTCACCCCTTACTTTCTGCAAAGCGTTGATGGTGTTGGGTTCTGACAGTTACCAGTTGGGGCATTTGTGATCTGTGGAGAAGGCAGAGATAGTTAATGAGTAGGCACATTTGCTAACCTCCTTGGACAGGAATAAGTTCAAAGGGGTGGACAAGCAGGATTGGCTGGAGGAGGCAGGTCTCCACATTGTTCTCTCTTGCCCCTGGGCCCTGGCGTCCAGGGTAATTTTTGTCTGCCTTTGTGGTTCATATTTTTAGCTCTCTGTAAGAGGCCCCCTTGGTAAATATGTCAGTTCATTGTTAAACCTAGACATGAGTTTGACATCTATTTTGTGAAACAAACCATGTAAAAATATGGGTCTTTATGGTGTTCAGTGTTCCAAAGTCAGGAATTTTTTAGTTTCTTTTGTCTTCACTTCTTGTTATTCTCTCACTTGCTTTACTTCTTCCAGCCTTTTCCTTTTCCACCTCATCTCCTGCTTCTTATTTCCTCATCTCTTTTTCCTTACCATTTTTTCCTCTTCCATTTCTCCCTTGATCTTTTCATTATATTCAATTCATTTCATTCATTGAATGGTGTTAGAAGAGGCTTTGTCTTTGCAGTCAGAAGGCTCAGGTGAAGCTTCATATTTCAAAGCACACTATGCTGACACTAAGAAAACATCTTGCCCGGGCACTTCAGTTGAAGAAAACTATATGATGTGATCAGTATGTGATGATGGCTTTTCAGATCAGATAGCTGGGTTGTATTTATAATTTATTTCTCTTATCAGTGAAAAAGATAAATGATAATGTAGTAACAGGATTTTCTAGAGTTTGGGTTGTAGAGAAATAAGTGCTCATGAATAGGACCGCATATGTGTGCATGTATGTGTGTTTTGGGGGTATGGAGAAAGAGGAGGAAAAGAATATTTTATAGAGAAAATTTCCATATGGTTACCTTTTATAGGATCTAGCACATTTCAATGAAAACACACTTTGCTGGAAGAATTCAATTCTCTGTAAAGTTTGGTGCAGCAAGGGGTGAAAATGTGGGGACACAGCTGGAAACTTATTTGTGCTGCAGGCTTGCAGCTGTACCTACCTGTGATGCGATGAATACTATTTGATTGTTAATGTCTTTCTGTTACTGAAAGCTTGCTTCCTTTCCTAAAGCTGATGGTAACAATTTACTGACTGTCTAAACCTTGAGGACTAACTTGGGCTGGGAAAAATAAATCCTGTCTCCTGAAATTTACATCTTATTAAAACTCAAAGCAGCCAGCAGAGATGAGAAGGATCTCCAGCCTGGGAGCTGGAGGTGGGAATTCTGCTCAAGTCAAGATCGCTTTTAGCTTTCCTACATTCTCCTGTGAAGAACCATTGGATTGAATGATGGTGGCAAAACTGGTGTGACTTCATTCAGTTTATCTCTATCCCATTTCCCCTCTCCACATTTGACTGTCAGTCTACTAATGAGACCCAGTTATGGTCCTTGGAAGGGGAAATGGAAGGTGGACATAGCTGTGGGGGATGAAATGGAGGAGTTTTTAATATCTTAGCTTGCAAATTTACTGTCTGCCATAGCTGAAGACCATCTAGTACCCTCTTTAACTTTTGCCACTTTGGAGTTTCCTCTCTACCGTTACTTATTCAGCAGGTTTTTGTTTTTGTTTTTTGAGACGGAGTCTCTCTCTGTCACCAGGCTGGAGTGCAGTGGCGCGAACTCGGCTCACTGCAACCTCCGCCTCCCGGGTTCAAGCGATTCCCCTGCCTCAGCCTCCCAAGTAGCTGGGACTACAGGCACGTATCACCACGCCCGGCTAATGTTTTGTATTTTAGTAATGATGGATTTTCACCATGTTGGCCAGGATGGTCTCGATCTCCTGACCTCGTGATCCACCCACCTCGGCCTCCCAAAGTGCTGGGATTACAGGCGTGAGCCACCGCGCCCGGCCTCATCAGTTATTTTTTAATTGGCTGTGTTTTCTTTCCCTGTAAACACACTTGTTCAGAAGGAAATATAATATCACTATAATGAGCAGAAGGCAAGTATCACATGCCATAAGAAAGTAACTATAAAAATGAGTGTAATACAATTAAAATATTATGAGGCTCTAGTTAGATACTGTTCCCTATGGAAGATTCCGAACTTGAGGCCTGCACTCACTTCTGTCTCAAGTAGAAAGGGAGCTTAAAGAGGCATACACTTTACATCTAAGGAAGCACTAAGTGAGGCATTGTTCTTAACTAATTAGACAGATTAAAAAGGAAAGGCCAAACCATGCCATTGTCTTAGCTCTTGTTTTCTTTGATTTTGAAGATGGAAAAAGAGATAACACTTAAAAATAAAGCTTGCCTACTCAGACATAATTAAGGTATTGTCATTCTTTTTTGTCTGTCCTGGTTCTCATTGCAATATTTTGTTCACTGCTCAATGAGTATTTATTAAATTAATGAAGATTTCAATGTTAATGTCTAGTTTCATTTGCCCTTCCTCTAAAGGCTGTATTCTTTTTTTGCTCTTGCTCTCTGTGATTTTTTGGTAGTTCTCTTTTATGTGCTTACTCACACATGAGTGCTTTCTCTAACACACTGGTCCTGTGTTTTGCTTCTTTGTGTGCATTCACGTAGACATGCACACCTCTTCAAATGACACATGCCTGTAGGCAGGATAACAGGTTGAGTTGTCTTGTTAATTAGGCATTCTTTTTCTGGGGCTGGTACAGGATGTTTGAGAATACTGTCCCCCAGAATACTCATCTGGTACACTGGAACTGCCATGGACTAGTTTTCCAGGGCTTATACATACAAGTGGCTTCCAAAAAAGCATTTTCAGACAAGCTGCTTGTTATGTGAATGTGTTTTTCTTTTTAGTCAACCACAATATATGCAGCACAAAGCTGTTGCCATTTTCTTGGAATGAGAAAATTATGAGCATAATGTTTCTTTTACATCTCTGAAAAACGCTAATATCCAGCTGTTGTGGTGGTTGCAGTTGTCAGTTGCTTTTTGTAACCCGACAACACTGTCTCAAGGATGAAGAGAGGAAATTTGGTGACTAGTCTTTCCTGCTCACTCTCCTGAAAGTCCTATTAATTTGCTTTTTTAAAAACAACAGCCAAGTATCTCAGTTGGAGAAGGCAAAGTCTTATTGGTCCTTATATTCTGTGCTTGGATTAGTATCCACAGTAAACCACACACATTTTGTTCCTTGCTTAACGTGAGCCAGGTGTTATACTTTAAAGACATAA
This sequence comes from Homo sapiens, assembly GCF_000001405.40. Classification (NCBI taxonomy): domain Eukaryota; kingdom Metazoa; phylum Chordata; class Mammalia; order Primates; family Hominidae; genus Homo; species Homo sapiens. The sequence continues at coordinate 70,015,312 of NC_000007.14, forward strand.
TCTCACTTAGTCCTCACAAAAACTCAGTGAATACATACTATCATTAGCACCATTTTTACAGATGCCAAAACAAAAAATTGAGGTTAAATAATTGCACAAAATCTGGCAGCCATTAAATGACTGAGCTGGAATTTAAAAGCAGATGTGTCTAAATTCTGAGCTTACATTTGTAACCACTGTATATAATGTAGTATAATAACTTCCCCAATAATTGACAGAGTACTTTACTCAGAGGCTTTACAAGGACAATAAAAGAATTAGTTGAGATAACACAACCCATGTTGTGAGAAGATTGTCTTTTTGATTCACAGTTCATGCAAAGAAATAATATACAGCAGACTGTGAATAATACACAAACGAAATGAAATTTCATTCTTGAATGAATTATCTGTATCTCCTTTTAAGAAAAATTGGTAAAGCATTTAACTGGTCATGGCTCAGGGAAATGTCTCTATTCTGTTTCTGTCTGAATTTTATTCTTTAAATATTCACTTTTTTTTTTTTTTTAGCATCCAGTGGCCACCTAGTTGTTGTTGTTGTTGTTGTTGTTTTTTCCCCCTGTGCTTATGCTTGTGCCTTGCAGGGCTGCATTTCTGCTTGCTGTGAATTCTCAGTTCACAGCTGCAGTTGTTCAAACTTTAAATTTAAAATTCAGTCTATGTTTCTAGTAATTGCTGCTGGGAAACTGAAACAGGACTACTTGGTTTCAGAGTGAGGCTGTTGCTTCATATTGGAAGAAAGGTTTCATTAGCTTGGAAAGCAAATCTCGGGATATCAAGAAAACAACAAAGGCTGTAAATTAATGCAGAACTCACCCTAAAAAGGGTCAATGATGAAAGAAGGGAGAAAGAAGAGACAGGAGTTTCAGTGGTCAAGGGAATATTTTCTTCATGATAACAGTGACCTGAATTGGACAGAAAGCAGAAGGGAGTGTGTCATTTTAAGAAGGTCAGTTTGACAGACCGCAATATTCCAGGTTTCTATTATTATATATAATTGACATTGTTAGCTAAGGGATGGATTTTCACTATTTCCTTCTGTAGTACCTCAGTCCCTTTTAAGTAATTTTTTTTTTCCTGACTTCACCACCAGGATCGTGTGATGGTTTAGGAGGAGATTTGGGGGATAGAGAGGTGATTCTGAAGATAAACCCACTTTGGCTGCCTCTGTGGTCTAAAGCCAGTTTGGAGAGCGCACTACAGAAACAGGGAATTCACAGGGGATGAGTCAGAGAGAGGGACTGGAGCAGTTTGTCTTGTTTCACTTGCTCTTATCACACAGTTCACTCCTTTCTGCTCATACATTGTGTAGTCCACCATGGAGAGAAAGGGAGAAGGTTGCACAATGCCTTGACAGATTTTTTTTTTTTTTTTTGAAACGGAGTCTTACTCTGTTTCCTGGGCTGGAGTGCAGTAGCTCGATCTCAGCTTACTGCAACCTCCACCTCCCCAGCTCAAGCAGTTCTCCTGTCTCAGCCTCCCTAGTAGCTGGGATTACAGGCATGTGCCACCACGCCTGGCTAATTTTTGTATTTTTAGTAGAGACAGGGTTTCACCATGTTGGCCAGGCTGGTCTCGAACTCCTGACCTCAAGTGATCCACCTGCCTTGGCCTTCCAAGGTGCTGGGATTACAGGCGTGAGCCACTGTGCCTGGCCTCCTTGACAGACTTTTTAATGATTGTAGGGATAGAGAATGGTATACAAGTAAATATACTACTACTGTTTTTGAACTGGCACAGTGATGAAGACTAAGCCAGTAATGCTATGAAACTTCAAGTATTAAATTTCTAAATATTTGGCATTAGGCACCAATCTAAGTTACAGTTTAATGCTTTTCATCACTTGTAACATTACCAAATCAGAGGAATGAAATAATATTTATCCAAATAAAAGATGTGTTAACTTCGCCAAAGTGAATGCACATTTTTCTTTGATTTCCCCATAATACATCTTTCTTTTTCGGGGAAGACAGAGGTTGGGAATGGGAGGGAGGGAGATTATTGTGAATCTCAGATTATATTGATCAGAACCAAGTTTAGCTTGTTCTGGTATGTAAATTAGAGATTTGTAGTTAAGTGAAATTGATTTTGCTGAGACTAAATTAATCACAGTCCTTAATCACTGTAACCTTTAAACATTGCAGTCTTGGCCACAGCTGCAGGGCAGAGCAGTGCTCCTCCGAGCTTTATGCTGTCATTTCATGAAAGGCTGAATGCCCGTGACTTGTGCAAACAAGAATTCCCATGTACAGGCTTCAGAGCTGGTTCCCTGCCCTGCAGGGGATCAGCTGGAGCATCTCCCACAGGGCCAAGAGGCTGCTGTGGCCTCTTCAACCCAAGAAGATGTTCTGCTCAGACACAAATATTTTCAGTCTTCCTCCAGACATCATCAAACTAGCCATCACTGCGAAATGCTCACAGGAAAGTAGTTGTTAGAATTAAAATCAGAAACAACCAGTTATATTGTGATAGTTTTTTCTTTAATTGTATATGTTTATGTATATTTATAAATATATTTATATTTATAGATTTCTTTTATATATTTATATTATATTTATATATATATGTTTTACTGATCACATTTTGAACTATTTGGAAGGGTGATGTTGACAATTTTGAAAGATAGTGAGGCATGGAGAGGTTAATTGACTCTTCAGAACTAATCCTGAGAGCCTAGAAGGAGGGTCAAGAATAGAAACTGGGTTTGGTTTGGTTTTGATGGTCATTTCAGTTCTTTGGTTTCCGTTTCATGAAGCATCCCAGAATCAAACCATCATTAAGCCTGCCATAGAAATGCAAATTACTTTCCCACTTTAGTTGGCATATTTGAAAATAGTTTTGTGTGATTTTTTTTAGCCCCTTTTGTAGTCTATTCATGAAGTTTATACATGTAGGACTCTTTTTTTTTTAACGCCTTTAACTACCAATCCTCCATTTTTCCTTTAACTTTTCTATATTCGCTGACTTTTATGTTCAGTTGAAGGAATTCATACACATTCAGTATAATAAAGTGCAGCTGGATCAATCATTTAAAAAAATCAGTGAACATCTGTATTTCACAAAATCACACTTTATCAGGACTGAAGGGTATACCAGGATCTAACGATCAACTTCAACCACTCAGTTTTGTAAATGAAGAAACCAAGAGTAGTTAGGTGAAATAGCTTTCTCAAGGTAATTTACTATAGCCATTCTGAGGCTGCACCCTAGCTAATTTGATTCCTGTTTAACACTCTTCTCTATGACATTGACTGTTTTCTCTGTAAAAGAGATCCCGGTTATACAACTATTTCACAATCCGATTCCTTATAAAAAAGCAAGTAGTGCTCAATAAATTTGACTTAAGTTGTACTTTATAAGCTAATGTAAAAGGAGATTTACCATAATCTGCCGTGGTGAGTTGCTTATAGTAGGAGAAAGAATATCTTAAAACTTACTTTACAAAAAATAACAGATGCTGGTGAGGTTGCTGAGAAAAAGGAATGCTTATACAATGTTGGTAGGAATGTAAATTAATTCAACCATTGTGAAAGACAGTATGTCAATTTTTCAAAGACCTAAAAACAGAAATAACAGTCAACTCAGCAGTTCCATTACTGGGTATATACCCAAAGGAATATAAATTGTTCTATCATAAAGATACATGTCTGTGTATGTTCATTGCAGTACTACTCACAGTATCAAAGGCATGGAATCAACCTAAATGCCCATCAATGGTAGACTGGATAAATAAAATGTCATACATATATACCATGGAATACTCTGCAGCCACAAAAAAGAATGAGGTCATGTCCTTTGCAGGAACATGGATAGGAGCTGTAGGCTATTATCCTTAGCCAATTAATGCAGGAACAGAAAACCAAATACTGCATGTTCCCACTTTTAAGTGGAAACTAAATGATGAGAACACATGGTTACATAGAGGGGAACAATACACACTGGGGCCTTTTGGAGGGTGGAAGGTGGGAGGATGAAGAGGTTCTGGAAAAATAACTAATGGGTACTAGGCTTAATACCTGGGTGATGAAATAATCTATACAACAAACCCCCATGACACAAGTTTACCTATGTAAGAGACCTCCACATAGACCCCTGAACTTAAAAGCTAAATTAAAAAACAAAAACAAAAAACCAAAATACTTACTTTAAAAACAATTTCTGTGGTTGTCCTTCTCTTTTTTATTGTATATTGGTTTGTGTAGGTCCATTTAATTTGTTTACTTTTCGTAGTAGGAATACAATTGTCAGTGACATCTAGTAGATTGAACATAGGCTCTGAAGCTGAAGCCTCAGGTCCATCTTTGGCCCTGACACTAGCCCTGTTACCTTTGTCATTTTACTTAACAGCTCTCTGCCCTAAACCATAACACCTACCCCATAGAGTTGTTGAGACAGTTAAATAAGTTAATGAAAAGTCAGGCTCTTAGAATAGTGCTGGGCATATATGAATGTTCATTGGATATTATCTAATATTGTGGTCATTATCAGTTGATTTCTTCTTAATTTAAAAAATTTTCGTATGTGATTTCATGTGGTTTTAGGGAATGATAAATGTAATTTAGACTTTTTATTCCATTGGGTCTGTTACAGCTTTTTTCTCAATGAAACTGATTTGGTTACCTCAGTTCTAATGCTGGCTTTGCCTCTGCTTTTTGATCACATTTAGAATACAGCACTCAGTTCTGGGTATGTCCAAGATAGATAGGGGAGAAAGGTAAAAGAGAATATTAATGCAACTTGATTGTGCAGCTGTTCTTTCCACAAATATTTATTGAATGACTGCTGTTTGTCACATGTTGATGCATAGGGACACGGTGCACACCTGAGATTCCATTCCTGTAGACAGGACATTTGCCTGCTTCCTGGCACTTATACCTCTCCCCAAATTGACACCAAGCATTATTTTAGAAAGGCATTTAGTAGAATGCAATATCAGCAAATGAAAATTGTAGAGTTGTATCTTGAAGAAACTTGACCCCACCCCCCACTCTCACCTGCATCCCCACATAGAGCCAGGACATCTCTTAAGACCCACCTTCCTGGGTTTGCTCATAGTTGGCACTTAAAACATTCTATTGCAGTTACCTATTTTTGATGGACTCTGCAAGAGAGAGACTGTCAGTTCACAAGGGCACTGATGTTTGGTTCTTCATTTTATTTACAGTATGCTATACAAAGGGATAGGTTTTTGTTGTTTTGAATATATCTTGAGTACTCCTTTGGAAGGATAGAGTCCAAAGGCATCTTACCTGAGCCAGAATTCATAGGGGTGGTTCCCTACCGTTTCTTCTTTCCTGTACACACTCACCACCCTCAAATTTCCGCTCAGTAGAGGATGCTTTAGGACCTTTTTTCTTCTTTCTTTCTTTCTTCCTTTTCTTTTTTTCCTTTTTCTTTTTGAGGTAGGGCCTCACTCTGTTGCCCATGTAGTGGCACAATCATAGCTCACTGCAGCCTTGATCTCCCAGGCTCAAGTGATTCTCCCACCTTAGCCTCCCAAGTAGCTAGGATTACTGGCTAATTTTTTCAGTTTTATTTTTGGCAGAGACAAGGTCTTGCCATTCTGCCTAGGCTAGTCTTGAACTCCTGAGCTCAAGTGATTCTCCCACCTTGATCTCCCAAAGTGTTGGGATTATAGGCATGAGCCACCATGCCCAGCCTAGAAACTTTTCTTTTCTTTTCTTTTCTTTTTTTTTGAGATAGAGTTTTGAGCCCAGGCTGGAGTGCAATGGCGTGATCTCAGCTCACCGCAACCTCCGCCTCCTGGATTCAAGCGATTCTCCTGCCTCAGCCTCCCGAGTAGCTGGGATTACAGGCATGCGCCACCACACCTGGCTAATTTTGTATTTTTAGTAGAGACGGGGTTTCTGTATGTTGGTCAGGCTGGTCTCGAACTCCTGACCTCAGGTGATCCGCCCGCCTTGGCCTCCCAAAGTGCTGGGATTACAGGCGTGAGCCACCATGCCTGGTCAGAACCTTTTCTTGACTCCACTTAAGCTCTTCCATTTGAACTTTCTTTTAATTATCTGGATTTTAACTTTATCAGAATTAGTCTGCCGGTAATCCTGTTTTTAGCTAGAAGGTTAGGCTTTGAGAAGTGTGAAGCTGGATGGGAGGGAAGGAGGCCAGCAAAGGGAAAGGGACTAGCTGGGTTGAAGAGGCCCCATCTGCTATTCCAGATGGGGCATCCTGAATTCATCACTCCTAAAACTTTGCTCTATGTGTTTTCTAGGCTGCAGCATCCAGACAGCAGCACACCCTTCACATGTTCACTGTAGTAAAATAACGTGGAAAGGGTAGAGGTATCTGGCAGATAAGAGAGGTTATTTCGTAAGGCTGTGATGCCCAGCACATAGGTCTGTACATCACCTCCTTCCTGCTGCTCCTCAATCTGCCTTTCTTTGGTCACTGCCCCCTGCTAGTATTTAATTCTGTTGAATTTGTTCAAATTGACTTGTTTAAGAAGGTTACCCAAATCTGCATACAGCCTTCAGCATTGCTTTGAATCTCCTTTAGGAAAGGAAATGTAGATTCAAATACACAGGTTTATCTCTCTGACCTTTAGCTAATTATTAGATTGAGATAAATGTGTGTAAGTGACAAATTGCCTTTAATGACATTTAATCTGCATCCTGACATTAATGTCTGGTTTAGTGTCCCAGTTCCATAGAGGCAAAGAGCATGGACTTTTGTCTTAATTTGACCTATTTAAAAGGTGTTTGTGGTGAGAGTCAACCTGTGATTAACTTAATAGCATGTTTTACATGAAAAGCAATCAAATATTGATGTAAGAAGAGGCTACTAGATGACATATTTTCCAGTCTGTCATAATTGGCAAAAACATCAGAGAAAGGAGAGAGTTGTTAGTAACTAAAACTGAATGAAAGCCTCATAGCTGCCCCAAATCCAATACTGGTGAGCACATTGATAGTATCTGAAGAAAGGAGGCTCTTCTTGTTGTTTATTGTCACAGAGGCCATTCACTGAACTTTGGTGGGTGTTAGACTAATAGATTTTTTTTTTTTTTTGAGACAGAGTCTTGCTCTGTTGCCCAAGCTGGAGTGCTGTGGTGCGATCTTGCCTCACTGCAACCTGTCCCTCTTGGGTTCAAGCCATTCTCCTGCCTTAGCCCCCAAGTAGCTGGGATTAACAGGTGCACACCACCATGCCAGGCTAATTTTTGTATTTTTAGTAGAGAAAGGGTTTTACCATGTTGGCCAGGCTGGTCTCAAACTCCTGGTTTCAAGCAGTCTGCCCCCATTGGCCTTCCAGAGTGCAGGGATTACAGACATGAGCCACTGCACCTGGCCTAAACTAATAGATTTTCACACCTTTTTGATTCACTAAAGGACATCATAGGGGCTTATTAAATAAGTGAGCTATTTTTAGGGAGTGAGAGGTCTGGGAAGTGGCATTCTTGGTGGATTTGTTGTGTGCTAGTCAGGTGCTAGGTGCTTTGCTTTTTGCATTCTCATTTAACTCCTAACTACAAAAACATTTGTACAGGCAACCCTCTAACTCGTGATACCATCTTTTTGAATTAAATTAATTTTTTTTTTTAAATAAGGTCTTGCTTTCTCGCCCAGGCCGGAGTGCAGTGGCATGATCACAGCTCACTGTAACCTCAAACTTCTGGGGTCAGGCAGTCTTCTTGCTTTAGTCTCTAGAATAGCTGGAACTACAGGCACACGCCACCATACCTGGCTAAATTTTTTGTAGAGACGGGGTCTTGCTGTGTTGCCTAGGCTTGTCTCAAACTCCTGGCCTCAAGTGATCTTTCTGCCTCAGCCTCCCAAAGTGTTGGAATTACATGTGTGAGCCACTGTGCCCAGCCTCTAATTGGTGACTTCTCAATTAACTTTGACATAAGTGTGTGTTTTATAAGATCATTATCACCGATAATAAATGCAGCTTAATTTCTAATCAATTGGCCAAACAGGGAAATTTGAGTTGAGTGAGATCATTAACAACTTTCTTTAGCGCTTTAAGAGCTAAGTGATAGCTTTTCCAGTTCTTTAAACATTACAAACTGCCGTTCCTGGTGAATGTCATTTTCTCAAATTCATTTTCAGAGACTGGAATGGGTCTGTGCTACTCTATATAATTTTGTGCTGAGCGGATGGTATATTGATGGGAGGAAGTAGGAGAGTAGTGATGGAAGGGCACAGGCATTGGAGTCTGTCTCCCAGGTGACTCTGTAAGTTTTTCAACTTTCCTATGCCTTGATTTCCTCATCTGTAAAGTGAGGATAATGAGTTAATGAATGTAAAGCACTTAGAAGGGTGCCTGTAGTAAGGACTTACAACTGTTTTATTTATTGTTTTTGGAGTTTGGTTGGAGGATTCAAAGCAACATTCATTAAACTAAACACTCACTAAATTCACTAAAATGGTTTCCAAGTGAAATAATAAATATAGCAAAGGAGTCTCTCCTCTGCTATGGAGTAGCTGAGTTGAGTGCATCTGGGTGTCCATTCTGCTGCAAATCCAGGCCAAGCAAATACAGTTTCTGTGCAATTAAATGGTTGTTGACTGGCAAAGAAAAAAAATGTAAACCATAGTTTTTCCTTCTACCCTGTAATCTGTGGTGTCTTTATGCATTACCTTAAGAGCAACTTCAGTGACTTGATTAGAGGGAGGTTTATAAACTGCTTGGAGGCAAAGCACCGAACTCTTGACTGGCACACAGCAGGTCCACAAGGAAAGCCACTTCCCAGGGTAAGAAAGCACACACAAATTATTCAGGGACAAATGTAATGGTTACAAGGGTGTCATAGAAACAGATCAGAATACTTTTATACTACTGCCTGGCTTCTTGTTCCCCCATTCCCCATTATAATTCTGGATTCTTAAGTTTATTTTAATGACAAACATTTTTGCCTGTCTTTAAGTAAAAGAACAGAAAAGAAGTTACTTAAAATGCAGTCCTAATTATGTCCTAATGCAATTTTGATGCAGCAATATGCTTTCAAACAAGCAGGTACTGGGTGGCAGATTGACACAAGTATTTAGTGAATTGAGAACAACATGTGTTACATGAAATTATAATCAAATTACAAACAATGGAATGGATTGTTGCTTTTAAAATCCTCTGAATGTTGGTTAACTTCATAGGGCAGTGCTGTGACTATTTCCATTAATTACGGAGTAGTTATACTGGGACTTGACCAAGCTCTTTTAATAGTTCCATCTGATTTATGTTTTTCTCTTCTCTATTTTTCTTTTCTGTCTCTTTATTTCTTTTTGTCACTATTTTTGTTGACCTGTATGTGTGTTTTTTTCTCTTTCTGTATCAGTTCAAGTTCTCCAGAGAAATAAAACCAATAGGAGGAGTGTGTGTGTATAAATCTAAAGAGATTTATTTTAAGGAATTGGCTTACTTGATTGTGGGGGGCTGGCGAGTCTGAAATCTGTAGGGCAAGCAGTAGGTTGGAAATTTGGCAAGAGTTATTGCAGTCTTGAGGCAAAATCTCTTCTTTGTGATACCTTATTTTTGCTCTGAAGGCCTTCAGTTGAATGGATAAGACCCACCCACATTATAGAGGATAACCTCCTTTACTTGAAGTTAACTGATTGTAGAAGTTAACCACATCTAGAAAATACCTTTATGGAAACATCTAAATTCATGTTTGATTAATTAACTGGCTGCCTGCTATTGCCTTGCCAAGTTGATGCATAAAATTAATCATAACATTGTCTCATTCCTTTTTCCCTCACTGTGTGTTTCTGTCTCTCATCTCACATGCACACAAATGAGGTTATGGGACAGCATTAGTGTTAATGAATTTCAGGTAACAGGATAATGATCATTATAGCATCTACCAGTAATTGGATACCTATTATGTGCTGAGTCTTGTATTTGATGCTTTGTATTTCTGATCTCATGTAATCCTCTTGACAATTCCATGGATTGGACAGAATTAATTTTATTTTATGGGTGAGGAAACTGAGGCTTAAAGAGCTGCTAGCTTTTATTTAGCCATGTAGAGCTCAAGGTTCAAACTCTAATCTGCCTTTCCTGCAGATATACTCTCTTCTGTATCTGCTTGTTTCTCTAATATTCCCCCATCACTGTCATCACTGGCTATTTTTCAGTGTTTCACTTGGATGAAAAACATATCTACATACTTTTTTTGTTTCCTTTTTTTTTTTTTTTTTTAAAGACAAGGTCTCGCTCTGTCACCAAGGCTGGAACGCAGTGGCTGGATCTTGGCTCACTGCAACCTCTGCCTCCCAGGTTCAAGTGATTCTCCTGCCTCAGCCTCTCAAGTAGCTGGGATTACAGGCATGCACTACCATGCCTGGCTAAGTTTGTTTTGTATTTTTAGTAGGGACAGAGTTTCACTTTGTTGGACAGGCTGGTCTTGAACTCCTGATCTCTGGTGATCAGCCCGCCTTGGCCTCCCAAAGTGCTGGGATTACAGGCGTGAGCTGCCATGCCTGGCCTGCATACTTTTTTTTACTAAGCTTTTTTTTTTTTTTTTTTAATAGGATGCTGAAGGAGCTGAGGCAGTGCTGAAGGATGTTAAAAGCACACACAGTGGAGAGCTTATTGTTGTTCCAAGGCCTAATTGGAGATCTAGGTTGGCATTTCCTACAGCTTTCAAAGTGTACAACTAAAAGACTATCCTAAGAAGATGAGATAGTTTCTGAACTAGGCACGAAAAGCTGTAAGGAGTGTCACCTCCCAGTGCCCTCTGGCCTATTTTTCTCACTGATGGATTGCTTTGTTATCTGCTGCCAGACCCCTTAATGTGCTGGCTCAGCCTTCACAGGGATTAGTCACAGAAGATGGGCGCTGCAGCTGCAGGTCTGGCTCCAGAGGCTTTGGGTGGTACCTACTACTACTTACTTAGCCCTTAGCCAGATATTCCCTAGAAGGGAAAACGCTCCTTAGTTTCACTGAGGATCTGGCCTCATGAGCAGACACTAGTTCTAATAATACTCTTTACCTTCTTTGTAGCTCCCAGCCATTGTCTTCTACCTTCCCTTGCCTAGCTTTAGTCACTGCCAGCAGCTATTTCTAGGCTGTTGGCACTTTGAAGTGGAATTGGGCAGACAGAGGTGAGAGCAGGCTGTGAGTTCCCTCTCTGGAGGTTGGCTCCTTACAGCACACATGGGAGGCAGTGCTGAAGGATGTTAAAAAGCACACACAGAGGAAGAGCTTACTTGTTGTTCCAAGGCCTAATTGGAGATCTAGGTTGGCATTTCCTATAGCTTGGCATGGAACGATTTGAATGTTTGTGGATGGTGCTTGCCTCATACCTTGCCAACTCAAATTTTGGGCAGATCAGCTTCTGTGAGTTTTGTCTCGACAAGTTGGGAAAGTTTCCTAACTTTAGATGACTGTGTGAATCTTTGAGGAGCTTGATAGTTAGCAGGTGAGGGCTGCTATTTTGAAGGAAATAGACATTAATATATTCTTCTTTAATATATCTGAATGGGTATACATATGTGCTCCTTTGTTTCTTGTAAATGGGCAGTACAGGAGGGAGAAACTGAAGGAGAGGACTTGGTCAGGAGATAAACCCCCACAGATGCCAAGATGTTGGCTTGTTGAAGCTTATTCGTGGTTAGTTTTACTGTGATACTATGTGCAGATGGTTCCTAAGTTATAATGGTTTGACTTATGATTTTTTAGTTTTATGATAGTTTTGGTGCAAAATCATTTTTTTTTTTACGTTTAGTACAGTATCCAATAAAGTGTGACATATTCAGTACTTTATTATAAAATAGGCTTTATGTTAGATTATTTTGCCCATCTGTAGGCTAATGTAAGTGTTCTGAGCCCATTTAAGGTATGCTCGGCTAAGGTCAGGTGTATCAGATGCTTTTTTGACTTTTGATATTTTCAACTAACAATGGGCTTATTGGGATATAACCCCATGATAAGTCTAGGAGCATCTGTATTTGTCTGTGAATTACTTAGGGACTCTTTTGATGTCTTCGTTTTGGAAACTCTCTGTTGTTGGTTTTTGTTATTTTAGCCTTGTCGGGTTTTCCTCATACTGGTCTAACTGCTAGTATCTTTTATTGGCCCCTCTTTCTTGGATATCCTTTACATGTTTATATTTGTTAGTGTTTCTTCCTTGACTTGTCTCACTTCTCGTGTTTCCTTGGGTTTGCCTCCATTACTAAGTCTTCATCCAGCCCCTATGTCATTGGTTCTCAAAGTGTGGTCCCCAGACCAGCAGCAGCAGCATCACCTGGGAACTTGCTGGAAATGCCTGAACTAAACTTAAGACACTATATAAAACAGGAAAAGGCATTTTACATTTTGATACACATTGTCAAAAACATTGTACTGGTTTCATGGTATGCATTATAAGGCATAAAGTAGATCAAGCCTATGTTCCTAATGCATACATTTCTATTGACCTCAGAGAGTGAACTATCATATAATAGAAATAGGATTATCATTAGTTTAATGAATGAGAAAGACTCTTCATGTTTGTTCTTTACCTAATCTATGCAGTTTAAACCTAGATCGACCTCAGGGAAATATGGGAAATTGTGTTCTCTTCTGGCTTGTTTAAGTACAAGGAACTCAGACCCACTCTAATTTGCTTTAAGTGTTTTTTTTTGTTTGTTTTGAACAGTAAGAAACTATTTAGGGTGGAGAACTTTATTTCAGTAAGGCCTCATGTGAAGTGGAATTAAGACAGTCATAATGTCCTTTTGTGGCTTGATCTTGATGAGGTGATAGGCTTCTGCACACATTCATCAACTGTTCATATTCTTTCCCGCTCTGTCCGCCCCCCCCACCCTCATCTTGCTTGCACACACGTGCATACTTTTGCATGCTCTCTGACTCTCTCTCTTCTTCCCTCTCCTTCCTGCCAACACAGCTGTATTCATCTTCATTTCTTTTTCACCTGGCTTCCTCCCTCTCTGCTCTGTGTCTTTTCAGGTCCCTCCCAAGTTTAGTTCACGCATTACTCATTCTATGAACCTCTTAAACTTCGTGCATTCTATCTTTTATCCCTATTACTATGTCACCCTGGCAGTTTCATAATGCAGATTTCTGAGTAGGAGTCCCAGTGGGACAGAACCTGGCCACTTGATGGCAGGTCCAGTGTCCTGGTCGATTCCCTTAGAAAGTGCTGTGCAGAGGACTGTTACTTTTTCTTATAGATCATTCTATGTTTTAAGTATTAAATGAAGCCTCAGCTCCAGCATAGCGTTTCTGACAGGCTGACTCACTTCACATTTAATGATTGTATCCAGCATCTTGTCTCTACTCTCCAGCAATGCAGCTCCTTCTTCTGGTGTCGTCACTTCTATGGACATATCCTGTGGATGTTCCCATCCACCTGAGCCCAAAACCTCTGTGCTTGTTTGTTCCTCCTCCTCCTTAGCCCTCACATCTCTTCAATATTTTTCTCTCTCTTTACTATTACTTAATGCTACTGCCATATTGCTTCTTGACTAGATTTTAATAATCTTCTGATTTCAATCTGTTACTTTGTCTCAGTCAGAATAACCTACTTCCCCTTTCACATGAAATACTTATCTACCCTGAGGAATATCCCTCAAGGCTCTCTATTGCCTGCGAATTGAGAATAGACTCCTCTGCTGAAGATTCACGGTCTTCAGCAGTATGCCCCCTACTTGGTTCTTTTACTCCAAACACTGTACTCTAGCTACATAGGACTACTGAGTAATACTCCTCAAAGGCTCCCTCTCTTGGGTACTTGTAAAGTGCCCTTTAGCTGTGTAGCAGAGAATAGGACAGGAGTGCACACTCTGGGGCTAGACTGACGGGCTGGAATCTCAGCCCAGCTTGAAAACTTTGAGCATTTGTTATTTTATCTTTCTGTGCCTCATTTTTCTCAACTGTAAAATGGAAACAGTGATAGTATCTGCCTTGTGGGTTGTTTTAAGAGTTAAATATGGAGCACTCAGAGCAGTGCCAGACACACAGCAAATCCTCAGGTCTTTCCAGGGATACTTTTTTTTTTTTTTTTTTTTAATATTCTCCATTAGACGTGATGTTTCTGTCTCTGCGATGTGGTAATTTTTTCTGTTTTTTATTTTTAAGGGTACCTATCACAGTCTGCTTCCCCCTTTTCAGATTATTTGTGGATTTCAGATGTTCACCTGTTTTTCTTTGAGCTCCTTGAGTATGGAGATGGTATTTTATTGAAACTTATATTATGACATACGGAGCTCAATAAACATTTGTTGAATTGGATTATATCCAAAAGATGCTTCTGCTAAAATACTGTAGTAACTTCCATCTGTCCCATGAATGTTCGTGTTCTGAGACAATAATGTAATTCTTAAAACTAGGTTTTAAACCTTAAAAGTGAAAGAAAGTGAATACTTTGCGGTTGTCATATAGATGTACTGCTACTCAAGTATAGTAAGTATATTGGTGAAATATTTAGAAAAAAACAACTAGTTGTGAATCTGAATCAGAGATCAGCAAACTTTTTGCTACAGAGGGAAAAATATTAAATATGTTCAACTTTGCTGGTCATATTATCTGTGTTGGATCTGTTTACCACAGCAATCGTAATATGAAAAATATGTAAATGGTTGAGTTCCAGTAAAACTTTATTTACAAAAACAGGTGGACTATAATTTACCAACCTCTGGCCTGTGTCATTACTGTGCAAACCACACATCATTTTAGAAGCTGTTTGTTGCAAAAGCTCCAGGTGCTGCCACATCCAAAGATACACACCTGCATGTCTTCTCATTAGGTATAAGGAAACCTTTCCAGAAAATCTCAGCAGATTACTCACAAGTTCAGTGGCCCAAAGTTGTATCACATTCTCACACTTCAAACCAGTTACTGATGATGGAATGAGACTACCATGATTGGCCCAAATACACCAGGAATCACAGGTGTTGTTGTGGATAAGGCCTCCCTATCTGCATCACGTGACCATGTTGATGAGGGCATTTCCTTGTGAAGTGAAAACCATTGAATTGTACAATGAATGTGATACAGCATGGGCTGCCACAGTCCAGTTGTCACCTACTCTTCTGTTGTTCTTCTGAACATCATCATAATGTCACATTTGACAGGTGTGAGGTTTCTTTGTTAAAGCTCAGACTTATTTTAAATTAATATTCTTATCACATGAATAGACCCGTGGTAATGATGTAATGACCTTGGAGGGGCAGGCCAGTTTTCCGCTGTGAAGCATAAAGTTTCCCATATGACATCCTTGGGCTACTCATTTTGGTATTCTCAGATATGCAAAACAGAGAAAACAACAGGCTTCCCACTTCAGAATTCACCATATACCCTTCTCCTTCTTGAAAGGGAGAAACCAATTAGACAAGGACTAGCCTTCTCTTATACTTAATAAAGGCAGGTGAGTTGAGCCTCTTAGTATTTGTCATACACTATGGATTAAACCAGTTTATGGCCCATGTCATTGTACCCAAAACTCTGGTGTATAATAGTAAAACGTTCATAGTTTTCAAATTAGACTTAGAGCTTCTTGGTCTCACTTTAGAATATTTTGACAGCCCTTTGGCTTTCACAGAAAGACCTAGTCCCTCAGGGGTCTTGAACTGAGCTAATTATCCTAGTCATATCCTGTAGAACGGGATCCCACTATGGCTTGTCTGAGACTGCATTGTTGTCTTGGGTTGTATGGGACCATGAGACAAACGGCTGTACTGTTTTTCCACTTGGCTTTTCTGTGGTGTAAAACTATCTTTTAGGAGCCACAAAATGCTATTCTTTTACTTGTTGAAAGATTTTAAGAAAGAAAGAAAGGGAGGGAGGGAGGACTGTAAGGGAAAAGAGACCATTAACATGACATGTTTCCTGTCGCTCTCCAATCTGAGTCTAACCCCAGATGACTGTATTCCCATTGTTTTATTGTGAGGGCATTTGTGAGGGCCTTCCCCTTGGTTGTGTCTTGGTTTACAGTCTATAGAATTGGATTAGACAATGTTAATTCAATTAATGACTGTACTGAAAGTTTGTCTTAGTGTGCAGTGAAAACAGGAGAGCAGCCTCTAATAATCTATGGATTTAATGACTGCAACTTTGAAGAGTGTTAAGCTAAAGTGAAGTTCAGAATGGCTTGTTAACTGGGTTTATTAGCTGTTGACCTTCCCTTTCAGCATAATAGTGGCAGTCAGACCGAAGAGAGCACTAACGTCCTGATTAGCATTTATCTAAAGATAGGCTGCTGCCTGTTACACAGTAAATTAGTTCAATCAGCCATAAAGAGCTTGAGAAACATTTTCTGCTTTATAAAAAGAATTAGATGTTAGAACAGTTCATCTGGCATAGCTCAGTGAAGATGGATTGAGCCCCTGAACGTGCTCATTTGAGGAAGGCGCTTTGAGGATATTGAGTAATTGAACAGATTTTCCTACAAGATTGATCAGGGGCCCTAGATTTCCTGCACAATTGAGTGATGCTCTAATTTTTGCCTTCTAATAAGAGCAGTACATCTGCTCCTGTTTCTGTGTATTCATCGAGTGAAACTGAAAATCAATTTATTTAGCACCTACTATGCACTCTATGTCCCTTACGAAATAAAAGCAATAGGATCTACTGATCACAGTCTATTTGATTGAAGAGATGAAAACTACACTAAAACTTGAAATTCACCACTTCCACTACCACTGCTTCTTTTCTTCTGAAAAGAAGAAACTGTAGAATGAAAGCTGCTACTTTTGGTATATTTCTTGAGATCATCTTATGAAGTGAAGCACATTTTCCCACAGAAACAGTATAGTAGTCGGGGTTAACGTTTCTGACTAAAGTCTTGGCACCAACTAAGTTCTTCTCATAGTGGGTCATAAAAGCAAAAAGGCAAAAATTATAAACCTTTCTAAATCATTTAAAAACTTAAATTATGATCCAGGTCCTTAAAAAAAGGACATAAATGTACTGTACAATTGAATTTTATGAGGTGCCCCAATGTACTATAAAGTATACATAGAGCATATAAAATTCTAACTCCGCTGTATCATAAATTTGACCTCACTGAAATGAATAGGCTCACTGTATGGCAAGCATTAATGAAACGTTTAATTAACATTCCCTTCACTTGCATTTTTAGAATTTTAAAGGGCTTCCTGGGGACTATTTCAATGGCTGAGGTTTTTGCAAAACAAAAGAACAAAACCTTCTCATAAAAACTGATCTCTTTTGCTCAATAACTCCTCCAATAGAGACATTTAATTTAATTAGACTGATGAACCTGAATTTGAATTTTATACCCAAACCTATGATCATCCTTAAAAAAAATAAAACAAAAAATATGGTATTGAGACAGTTAAGCACTTGATGACTTCATGAAGGCTTCCTGTGGACCCTTTAAGCCACTGTGTATACACATATCATTTATGTCCTTGCAGTTTTCCCAAGCTAAAAGCCACAGGGATATGAGTACTTTGTGAGGGACAGTGGTGCAGTGTTAGAATGGATGAGCTGTAGGGCTGTGGGCTTCAGACCCTTTCATAGCTCCCTGTAAGGTATCCTCCTCCTCTAACCTTCCCTGTAATTATGCTATGTTGGTTTACTTTATTGCCTGGTCACTCCAGGAGAAGTCCCCAGGGAGTCATACTTGAATGAACAGATAGAGGCAGAGTAAAAAAAAAAAAAGACATTATGCTAAGTGAAAGAAAAGTCATTCACAAATGACTGCATATGGTGTGACTATATTTGTATTAAATATCCAGAATAGGCAAATCTGTAGAGATGGAAAGTTGGAAAGTAGATTAGTAGTTGTCTAGGGGTGAAACATGAGAGGGATAGGGAGTAACTGCTGATAGGTACAGAGTTTCTTTCTGGGGTGGTAAAAATATAAAATTAGATTGTGGTAATAGTTGCACAACTATCTGAATATAATAAAAACCATTGAGTTGTGTATTTTAAATGGTTGAGTTGTATGTATGCAAATTACATCTTAATAAAGCTATTATTTTTTTAAAAAGGTATTAAGTTTCCTCAAGTTAAATGAAATGACCAAAAGGGGAAAGGTTTTAAGCAGTGAGCACTCCTTGTAATGTATGTGTATAGTGAGTATGCATATGTTTGTAAAAGTATAATGTGTGTGATCCAACTATGAGCCATATGGTGCTAGTCATGATGTGTATACATGAATTCTAGAAAAAGAGGAAGAACCTTTAAGTGAGAGAATGCCATGCATTGGGAAGCAGTGTGGGGCAAGATCTGTGTGGCTCTAGGGTGGCAAATTTAGTTTGAGCTTGTGAATCCTTGCAGAGATTGGCAAATATCAGATACTCCTTGGCAGAGAAAGCAGTAGAGTCAAAATTGAGAAGATTTAAGGAAGCAGAGACTAATAAGGAGAGAATGTTGAAACCTGTTATTTGTAGTTAGAAGTGTAGATGTATACAAAATAGAAAAAAACAAAAAGAATCTTCTGCATTATATCAGGAGGAACTTATTGGTGTTTTAGGACCATTAAGATGGAGAACACAGCTCACTCATATGTGGGAGCTACAAAGTTGAGCTCATAGAAGTAGAATATAACTGTGGTTATTCAAAGTTGGGAGACGTGGAGGGGCGGGGAGGATAGGGAGAATTGGTAAGGGATACAAAATTGCAGCTAGATAGGAGGAATAAGTTCTGTTGGTCTGTAGCATATTAGGGTGAACACCGTTAATCTTTTATTGTATATTTTTTAAAAGCTAGAAGAGAGGATTTTGAATATTCCCAGCATAAGGAAATGATAAATGTTAGAGGTGATGGGTATGCTAATTATCCTGATTTGATCATTATACATTATGTACATGTATCAGAATATCATGCCATAGCCCATAAATATGGTTGCTACATGTCAACTAAAAAGAAAATTTTTAAAAGATGGAAGACAAAAGTAAAAGATAAATGTAGATATTCTTTTAACTGTTTGGTGCTTACCTGGTGTCCTCTGAAAAATCAGAGTCGTGGGAGATGAATAACATTTCCAGAGAGCACTAGATGAGGAGTTAGAAAAGCTGGTTTATCATTCCTACTCTGTCTCTTCCCATGTTACATTAAATAAGTAACTCTGTGATGCTTTCTTCCTCCCTTGAGTTGTCCTTCTTACCCTGAGAGGATGGCACAAGGATCAAATGAGCTGACATATACCTATTGCATTGCACCTACTAGAATGTAACAAATGTTTGTCAGACTGAGGGAGGAAGGAAGGAAGGAAGGAAGGAGTAGAGTGATATCACATGCAAGGAATTGGATTTACTGACTTATTCCTCTGGCCAAGTGTGTCAACATTATGATTGCAATAAGAACTTTTGCATTAATACTATTTATACTTATGGGTATTATTGCTGCATTTGGTAATTCTACGGTAAATTTGGAGGTGCTTCTAGTATCACTGTCTTGTTCTACCAATAGTCTTGTATTTATTGACAGTTTGGTGGTTGTTACAAATGACAGGATTGCAAATAGAAATCAAGCTCCAAAGATGGATGGATTAGCTTCCTTGTTATGACCGTGTTAAGGTTACCACTCAGAACAAACATTGGTAGTTGAGCACGTCTTGAGTGTGAGTGTCATACTCAGAACAATTCTAATTTTTTAAAAATTACTTTTTTAGAGGCTGTCTCACTCTATCATCAGGCTGGAGTGCAGTGGCATAATTACAGCTCAGTACAGCCTGGAATTTTTGGGCCCAAGCGATCCTCTCACCTTAGCTTTCCATGTAGCTGGGACTATAGTCACGTGCCATTACGCCTGGCTCAATTCTACTTTTGATGAAGTTTTTGACATATTGACATTGGGTTTGACATGTCATTCCAATATAATATGATACTGTAGCATTCAACAATTCTCTTCCCAGAGGAGACTATAGAAAACAGAACATTTGCATTTCCCATTTTGTACTTTATGCCACCCACTAAAGAATTCCAAAGTCATGCAGAATGCCTTTGATGATGTGAGCTGCATGTGAATTTCTTATTGCTTGACTTTTAAATCCCCTTTGTTATCTAGGTCCATTACTTATAAGCTGTGTCACATTAGGCAAGTGACATGCCTCTCTAAGTTTCCACTTCCTAATCTGGAAAGGGGGGAAATAATGAGATTGGCCCTGTGGCATCAGGATTAGGCAAAGTACTTGGCATAACACCAGTCTCACAGAATGCAGTTTTTCTTGAGCTGTTGGGTCAGTGATGCCTGAAAGAGGAGGAGTGGAGGTTCTGAGGCATTGCTGTTTTTATCACGTTTGATTTGTTTTCTTTTTGTCTAGACTTGCCATATTATAGCTTCATCAGGATTTTAAAGACGATTGTGAATTATATTTTCAAAAGTTGTATGGACTCTTGTACTTTAGTATAAGCAGCACAAAATTAGGCTTAAGAAACTTAGATTTTAATGTTAGCTATGAGACCTTAGGTCACTGGTGCGTGTTCCTCTCATGAAATAAGAGAATGGAACCAGCTGGTTCTTTATTCTTCCCGGTTCCAAGATGATGTGGTCATAGAGTCTTCATTGCATAATTTCTTGTTCCTCCTCATTTCTTCTTACCACACTCTTGTCTTTAATCTCTGACACCTTTCTACCCATCTCCTTCAATGCTCCTTCTATTCATCCTTTCATACGTCCTAAAAATTGTTATGTCAACTATGAGGCAAGCAGTATATTAGGAGCTAGATATGTAATGTTGAAAAATATAGACATGGTTCCTGCAGTAACAGAATTTACAGTTTAATGGAAGAAGTACAGATAACACAAGTAATACTTACAAAATGTGGTAAGTGCTATGAAAGAGCAGGACAGACTGCTTTGAATGGGGGAAGGGGGGATCCCTGGCAGTTTAAATGACTTTTCTCAAAGCAGGCTGCCAAAAGGTAGCGGCGCCGGCCAGAGGTGGTTTGAGAGGCAAAGCAGCACCACAGACAGGGGTCCAAGGCAAGAAAACGCTGAGCTGCTCTCAGGTGCTGGAAAGCCAGTGTGGCTTGAAGCGTGCTAAGAGTGAGACTGGAAATGCATGCCAAGTTTGAGGCCGAGTTCAGGATTTTGTATTCCATGATAAGTGTAATGGGAAATCTATGAGAACTTTTAAGTAACAACAATATGGGAATCATACTTGACTTGGCTAGAACAATTAAAAGCTGATCTCTTTTAGAAAGTACAGTTTTGTTTTACATTAATCTTAACACAGAATAGTGTATTACACCTAAAGTGAATACTCTTTTAGGCTGGGTAGGGGCTGTCCCGTGGTTTAATATTGTTTCTATCATAGGAGAAGCCTTGGTTTCCTAGTTTCCCACCTTGTTTCTCCTCTCTCTGCCCCACTGGGATTCTAGCTGCTTCTTCACTGCATTTGCTCACCTCTTCTTCTCCACAGTCCTTTGGTCCTTGAAATGCTGTAAGAGCAGAAATAACAGCTATCCAGAGACCTTCAGATAGCAGATGTGCCTTGGGCCTGTGGGTCTGTGGCTCTGGAGGGCTAGGAATTACAGAAGAGTTAAAAGAGAAGGCCTCTGCCAGCAGGAATTCCGAAGACACCAAAACTGATGTCACTGGCTGTGCAGGCACTGAGCTAATTCTTTTGCCAATCAGTTAAATCACCTACCAAGAGTGTTCATTGTAAGTAACACTTTCTTGCCATTTGGTGGGGATGTAGAGGGACAAAGGATGCAAAAGGCAACAGGTTCTTTCCTTGTAAAACTGTAATCTAATTCTGTAAACAAGCCATGTACCTTTGGAAGGTCATTTTGAACTCAGTCCTGGTAAATATTTGACAGGTGTTTTAAAAAAATAATTATATTTATACAATCTATAATGGAATATTATGCAGCTTTTCACAAGGAGGAACTCCTGCCATCTGCCACAACGTGGGTGAGCCTGGAGGACATTATGCTAAGTAAAATAAGTCAGACATGAAAAAAAAATTGCATGATTTCACATATGTAGAATCTAAAAAATAGGATAAAAATACAGAGAGAGAATAAAACAGTGGTTACTAGGATTGGGTTTGGAGGAAGGAAATGTGGAGATTTGAGTCAATGGATACAAAGTAGCAGATATATAGGATGAAGAAGTCTGAATATCTGTACAACATGAGGACTATAGTGAATCACAATGTACTGTATTCAGGATTTTTGCTGAGTGAGTAGGTTATAGCTGCTCTTGCCACAGGCAGGAAAAGTAAGTAACTGTGAGATCATGGATATGTTCACTTGTTTTCCTATAGTAACCTTTTACTATATATATGTACCTGATAACAACATCATGTTGTACACCTTAAATATCCACAATAAAATGTATTAATAATTTTATTTAAAAATATTTTAAAATGTGGACAATTAAAAATTTTTTATATAATTTTTTGGTAGTTATAATGCTCTGTTCTTTTACAAATTGTGAGCTGGATACTCACTACTCTTCTTTTAGCCCAAATTGAGAACATCTGGAGGCATTTTTATGTGATGACTAAAAATACGGTAATTGAGTTAGACTGTATGGGTCTGTACCCTGCTCTGCCACTTCCTGGACATGTCTCAGTTTTCTCATCTGTGTAATGATGATAGTAGCGTCCACTTCTTGTTGTTATTATAGGATTAAATAATATATTACATGTAAAATGTTGAGTATAAAACCTGGCAGATATTAAGCACCTAATAAATGTTAGGTATTAAAAATATATAAAGTATGACTTCTGCTTTCGAGAACTTAACCTATAAATATCCTTTGATACCCCGCCCCCCGCCCTTTCCACCTTGATTTCATTTACACAAGAGCCAAGTGAAAGAGTAGTGAGAGATGAAACTAGGAAAGCAGGAATGAGGCAGTGGGTAGAGAAGGATATGTCCTGACCAATGGCATTGACAGAGTGGTTTTGACAGGTGAGTGTGGAAATGGACTGCGGTGAGGGAGAGTGGAGGTAGTGTTGAGAACCCGTAGGCTCTGGCAGCAATGTGGAGCTTACTTGCAGCATAGCCTCCCTTCAACTTGGAAACCAAGCATTTCAAAGTACCTGGGAACTTTCTTCATCACATCCTTCCAGCATTTACATTGTTTACAAATGAAGGAGGGAATAGAGTATATTTTATTTTCTGATAACTTTCTGGGTTTCCAAAGAGAGAACTGTAAAACTTTGATAAACACATCCATAAGAGTTGCTGCCCACACGGTTTCAAAACTGGATCTCTTGAGCTGGGCATAACTGGTCATAGGCAGAGAAACGTTGACTGGTGATTTATACCTTATACCCTCTCATTAAACACTCTTACCTAACTACGCAAATTAGGCTTTTAAAAATAGATTATTTTTATTGTTTAAATGTAGAAGAATATATCTCAGAGTTATAGGAAATTTGCATGGGTACATGTTTATAATAAAAATCCTGCCACCATTTATCATAAATGGCCTTGGTTTAGGAGTTTACACAGTAGAGAGCTCAAACCACTGGCTTTGCTATGAAATAGACCCAATTCAAGCTCCATCTCTTAAAAAGCCATGTGAGTTTGGGAAAGTGGCATCACTTTCCTGAGCCCTGGGTTTCTAATTATTATTATTATTATTTTTGAAACGGAGTCTCACCCTGTCGCGCTGGAGTGCGATCTCAGCTCACGGTAACCTCTGCCTCCCGGGTTCAAACAATTCTCCTGTCTCAGCCTCCCAGGTAACTGGGACTACAGGTGCCCACCATCATGCCCGGCTAGTTTTTGTATTTTTAGTAGAGACGGAGTTTCACTGTGTTGGTCAGGCTGGTCTCGAGCTTGTGGCCTCAGGTGATCCACCTGCCTTGGCCTCCCAAAATGCTGGGATTACAGGTGTGAGTCACCACACCTGGCCAGGTTTCTTATTTTTCAAGAGGAGTTATAAGACCCACAAACCTTACAATTATTGTAAAAATTGGTAATAATATATATGAAAAGTCCCCAGCACAGTGACTCCTGCCTGGTAAGCAACCCACGAATTTTACCTATTGTCAGCATTGTTTAGATCACCTTTATTTAACTTAGTTATAATGGGGCTTAATTACAAAGGGGATCCATATTCTAAAAGCAAATACTGAAACAAATTTTTACAATTCACTACCGGTTCTTCAGATTAAGGTCTTCTGATCATGGTTCAGTTTGGGTTTTTGTTGTTGTTGTTGTTGTTTTTTCTCCCCAAGATGCAGTCTTGCTCTGTTGCCCAGGCTCAAGTGCAGTGGCGCGATCTTGGCTCACTGCAACCTCTGCCCCCTGGGTTCCAGCAGTTCTCCTGCCTCAGCCTCCCTAGTAGCTGGGATTACAGGCGCCTGACTAATTTTTGTATTTTTAGTAGAGATGGGGTTTTGCCATGTTGGCCAGGCTGGTCTCCAACTCCTGACCTCAGGTGATCCCTGCCTTGGCCTTCCAAATTGCTGGGATTACAGGTGTGAATCATTGCACCCGGCCTGAGCTACTGCGCTTGGGCCATGGTTCTTAATAGTAAAATTATTTAACGAGATTTTTCCCAGTTCTTACTGGTAAAAATGTCCTGTGGTTTAAAAACGTTCAAATTAATTTGTTGTATATTTCACATGACAGTGATACGAGGGATAATTGATTATTTGAGGTATTGATTTGACCTAATTCAGCATAATAATTTACTGATTTTCATTCAGTGCATGCTAAGTACTAAATCCAGTCTTGCTGGGTACAGAGAAACATACATTCATTCAAACATCATCTCTTCTCTCAAGGAGCTCACAGTAGAACCTATTTAAATTTAGGCAGTGGGGAGCATGAGGCTGCAGAGAAACAAACATCCAACTTTATGAAAAGACAAAATTATGGAGACAGAAAAAATGATCAGTGGTTGCTAGGAGTTGGGGAGAGGGAGGAATGGATAGGCAGAGTGGAGAGGATTTTTAGGGCAGTGACTCTGTATTACAGTGGGTACATATAATTTTACGTACGACCAAACCCATAGAATGTACAGCACCAAGAGTAAACCCTAATGTAAACTATGAAAGTTGTGATAATGATGTGTCAGTCTAGACTCATCCATTGTAACTATGTACCAGTCCTGTGGGGAATGCTGATAGGGAGATTGTCCATGTGTAGGGACAGGAAGTACATGGGAACTCTGTACTTTCTGCCCAGTTTTTCTATGAACCTAAAACTGCTCTGAAAAAAGTATTAATTTTAAAAAGTGGTCTTACTGCTTTGGAGCACAAGTAAATCATACTAAGAAGACGATGTTTAAATTAATATACTACAGATACAGTTTGCTTTACTGAAATGCAGTATATGATGTTCAAAACATATATCTTTAAGTAATAGCCATTTTACAAAGGAATTGCATGTTTTTACAGGGAGGTTTCACTGGCCTATTAGGGCATGTTGGCTTGGTGGTACAGCTAAGATCTAATTCCTTCTGCCACCAAGGAGCTTTGTGACCGTGGGACCACCCAGGAACCTCTCTGGCTGTATTCTCTGCAGAAAGACTTAGGACAACAACATGGCATGCTGTGTGGACATGATTTGCTTTGTTGGGCAAACTGGTGGGATTGGTGGGGTGGATACTCTCTAATGGAGGTTAAAGGTCCTGAAGCCACTGCAGGTTACCCTGGGGCGCCATTTCTGTGCTCTGGATTAATTCTTTGCTCAGCTGTTAAATGTCTGTGTCTGGAAGTGGAGATACACAAGATGGGTTGGTCCCCATGGCTTTTTATACCTCAACAATTATTTCATCCAGTAGATATCTATACTAACTTGATTGTAAACATTAAGTTTACATGGGATTTCTTTAACACATCCATTTTCTAAGAAAGTGATCCATGTGTAAGTATAGAGTGACCAATGAGAAAATAGGGTAATTCCCACACACCCTTCCAAACTTTACAAGGAGTGAAATAATATAAATTAGCTTCCTCTAGTGATAAAACTGCAAGAATTTTCAGGCAAAAGAAAAACAGTTTAGTAGCACCATCTACAGGCTACTGAAGAGGAAAACTTCCTATGTGGCTTTTAAATGCAAGGAGTTTGTGGAAAAGGGAATACAAAAACTTCATACTCTCTTAAAAAAATATTATCCATAAAATATACTAATTTTAGTATTTTTGTTCTTCTTTACCATGCATTCAATTCATTTTACAATATGTCTCTAGTTATCCTGAACTAGTGGAATATAGACTTGATTATGTGTTTTCATTAGGATCCCTGTTTCATCCCCATGCTTACAAATTTCTCTCCCTCTCTGTACTAATGATAAGAATGAACTGTGAAATTCACATGAATTCCAGTAGTTTCATTGATAGTAATTCACAGTATAAGACTTGAAGCACAAAGCCTGCCAGCAAGGGATGTTTCATCTTAGCTTATCTGTATACTCAAAGGATTTATTGCATCATTTACTTCCATTATGGGAGGAAAAATAAAAGCAGACACTCTTGGGTATGTATGTATATGTGTTTGCCTTTTTTAAAACAATGAAGTTGATTTATTACCTTCTGGGTTTAAAATCTTATCTGAGCCTTTTCTGCCCCTAAGATTCTGTGATTCTATAATCAGAAATAGCTTGGGGAATGGATAATTATTTTGTAAAGGAATCTAGAAAACTTGTCTTTGAATATGATAACAGTGAAGGTAATATTTTCATTCCCAGATACCCCAGTTTTATTATCTTTTTTTGCTAGTTTTATTTTGTTTTCTTATAAACTATTATCAATTTTGGTAACCTGGAAAATTTTATTGGATTCTCCAAATAACTGGATTATAAAGTATTTATGGAATTATCAGAGTTGTAATTTTCTGTTAGAAATGGCTTATTAAAATTAACTTAATGGCCTCCTTGTAAGTTGTTGGTGGAGTTGCTGTTTCATTCATTCATTCATTTCATTGTGTGTGTTATTGGAAAGTGGGTAAGAGTTACTGGAATGCCTAGATAATAAGTTTTCAGTAAAGCATTACACATTGCAAGAAGCCAATCTGCACCCCCACCCACCCCCCAAAAAAAAATTGAGCATAAATTATAATTATTAGAACAATCTTACTTGAACAGCATTATTTCTTGGAGGAAAAGAGGAATAGAGGAGATACATATTGAAATAGTTTGCTAAACTAAAGAGGAATTCAAAGGATAAAAAAATTGATAATGAGATTTTCAAGGTTCCTGTTGAAACAGATGAGGCAGAGCCTATCAAAACTGGAGCCAGGAGTGATAATGGTTTTTAAGTTTGTGTAGCTTAATTGCTGATGGTTTAGGTTGATGGAAAACTTAGTAATACTGTTTCCAATTTTTTCCTCATTATTTTAAATGTGTAAAAAAATTGTGCATTAAATACTGGAACCTTTCTCTGAAAAAAAGTAAAGCAAGTTCTAGTATGAATAGAGGTTTAAAGTAAGGCACTGCCTCGTCGTCCTATAGCTAATATTTTTCCCTGTTTTTCTTGCACCAGATGGCACTGTTTAGTTCTATTTCACAATCTTATTCTGGAACTTTCTTCGGGAGAATCTGTTTTAGCCCAGGGTCACCAGTGACACCTCTCTATTCTGCATGAAGTCTTTATGAATGCTTGTAAAAGGTCACTGACTCAGACATGAAGCTGTTTATTTGAGGTCTTGTGGTTCTTTCCAGTTGCACATTTGCTGTGAGGTGAGCCTAATAAACCAGCTGATAGAAACCTACATGCTTCTTATAGAGTTCAGCCAGTATTTTGCTTGGAGACATATTGCAACAATATGATTTCAGCATTCTCACGGCCCAGTCTAATTATCTGACACATTTTGGAATTATTTTATATGTAAAAGTAGAGCTATAAGCAGAAGGGCACACTCACTAAAAAAAAAAAAAAAACCTTGCAGAGCTTAAAATGTTTCATGACAGTCTGTTGAACTATAGATTTATCAAATTAACTTGCAAAAATAAAATTTAAAGAACCTTTCCTGACTATTCCCAAGGCTGACTTGGAAGGAAATTATCAATGACCTCTGATGTCATTATGCATAAATGGGGCAGGTCCATAGCCAAGCTCGCCTCTTTGCTGCACATAACAATAAAACATCCTTTTGGAAGATAGAATTAGCTTTATTTAATAAAAATGCCAGGGTCATATTGTAAGACTTATCTCTGTGAGCTTTGCCCTCCCCTCCCCTCCTCTCCCTTGAATAATACAGAAACGTTGGACATAATTATGACACAGATTTCATAAGGCTGCTTCTCCTTTTACAATTATATTTTATGAAGAACAGACAATGTTTTCTTTGCAAATTTTGAAGCTCCTTCATTTTCTGAATGCATTGGATTTGGTACTAAATGCTCTCTCCCGTTTGCATTTCCTTCTCTCCCTCCCTCCTTGCCTCCTTCCCTCCCTTCCTTCCTTCCTTCCTTCCTTCCTTCCTTCCTTCCTTCCTTCCTTCCTTCCTTCCTTTTTTTTTTTTTTTTATTTTTGGTCAGTGTTTCACTCTTGTTGCCCAGGCTGGAGTGCAATGGCGCAATCTTGGCTTACCACAACCTCCACCTCCTGAGTTCAAGCAATTCTCCTGCCTCAGCCTCCCGAGTAGCTGGGATTACAGACATGCGCCACCACGTGCGTCTAATTTTGTATTTTCAGTAGAGACAGGGTTTCTCTATGTTGGTCAGGCTGCTCTCGGACTCCCGATCTCAGGTGATCCGCCCATCTCAGCCTCCCAAAGTGCTGGGATTACAGGCGTGAGCCACTGGGCCCGGCCTCCCCTTTGCATTTCACTGCTCTATGTATTCTCTTGGTGGTGATATGAGTTGAAGGGTGGGAGTAGGGGTGGAGAGCCCTCTCTAGACTGGAGCTATGAGTGCATAAGTGAAATCTCATTATTTCCATCTTTAAAAGAAGGAGTATTGGCGTGTGGTGTTTTTAGCCAGCCCTCCCTCCTTTCCTCTCATGCCCATCCACAGGCCATTGACTGGAAGGCACAACAGCTCCCAGCACAGCCCCTCCTCCTGCCGCTGGAGAGGTGTTGGGACTGGTGTGCTGGTTTCCAGGTGCAGGTCCTCCAGGCTGAGCCACAGCTCTCTGTAGAAGTAAGCATGAGACAGGCTGCTTCCATAAATCAAGCCCTGAATTTTATTACAGTGTTTATGTAACCTCAGTTTATGTGCTATAATTCTTTGCTGTGTTGCCTAGAGTAATTCCCAAAGAGGATGTTTGTTCTTTTTCCCTGGAAATTTTCTAGCATAGGCCTTTTGTTTTGACATTCTCCTTCCCCCCACCCTCTGCCTTTTTTGGGATGGCCTGGGGATGGGTATCACTAACAGTCAATTGCTTTTTACTGAGTAAATAATATAATCCAGCGTGTGTTAGATTCTGTTTGTACTAGATGTTATTCCTACTCTTAAGTGGGAGAAAAAATCTCAAATTAATTTTTACATTTTCAAGATTATAGGGTGGTAGGGTTAATGTGTACTTAATTGATGAGTAAATGAAATATAAGTGAAAACAAATGCCTTTGCTATCCATGGGAGACCCGTTCCTTTTCATAGCCTCCGCCACCATCACAGATCTCATGTTGATAGAGTCAGATTGACCGCTGAGAGAGAAAATACAGACTGGAAATTTTGGGTGATTTAGACTTTTAACTGAAGAAAATGTCAGGGTAAGATGACCAGATTCAACTGTATTCCATGTAGACAACTATGTCAAGAGAGAAATGTTTTCTGGTTGGAAATGAAGACAATTTGACTTAACCGGAGCATGTTTTTAAAGAAACCCATAGCATGTTTTTTTTTTTTTTAACTTAGCTCTTTTTTTCGAACCTTATGTTTGGCCCTACAGAGAAATTAGGTGATGAGACTGGACCTACTGAAAGTGTTACCGGACCTATTCTGCTTGGACACGCTAGACTTGTGAACTGCTGACTGGTATATTTCAGTTAGTACAGTTAATGTTTTATCATCACTGCCATTAGAAGGTATTACATAGATGTGATCTTTTTCATTGTAGTTTAAAGAAGATAGTTAATCCTGGGGCAAAGTTTATGAAGGAAGTGTGTGAACAGAGCAATCTTTTTAGATTTACTTTAACTACAAAACTGGATATTTGTTTTAAAGCTGTGCTGTTTAGGATTGTAGACACTAGCCACATGCAACTGTTGCGCATTTGAAATATGACCAGTTCTAATTGAGGTGTGCTGTAAGTCTAGAATACACACTTGATTTTGGAGCTTGAGTATGAAAGCAAGAATTTATAGGTCCTCTTTAATCATTTAAATTAATTACACATTGTAATAATTATATTTTAGATACATTGGGTTACATAAACTGTATCATCAAAATTAATTTTATACCTATTTTTACCTTGCTTTTACTTTTTAAAATGTGACTCCTAGAAAAACCTTAAAATTGCAAATGTGACTCACATTTGCAACTCACATTATTTTATTATATTATATTTTATTTTATTTTATTTATTTTCAAGATGGAGTCTTGCTCTGTCACCCAGGCTAGAGTGCAGTGGTGCAATCTCGGCTCACTGCAACCTCTGCCTCCCAGGTTCAAACAGTTCTCCTGCCCCAGCCTCCCGAGTAGCTGGGATTACAGGCGCATGCCACCATGCTCAGCTAATTTTCTACCTTTTTTTTTTTTTTTTTTTTTTAAGTAGAGATAGGGTTTCACCATGTTTGCCAGGCTGGTATCAAACTCCTGACCTCATGATCCGCCTGCCTCGGCCTCCCAAAGAGCTGGATTACAGGCATGAGCCACTGCGCCTGGCCTTGCAACTCACATTATTATTGGCCAGTGCTGTTTTAAAGTTCTGTTGTCCAATGAAGGGAATAACAGATGAGTACACTCAGTAAAACCTTCAAAGTTATACGTTTAAAGGAATATTCTATGCTTCCTGATAAAATATTAATAACCAAAATTAGCAACAATATATAGATGAAATTATTGCCTCAAGATTTATGAGGAAATATTGACTGGAATACTGTCTATTAAAATATTCCTCTTTACTTGTCAAGTCTACCTCTCAGTATCTTAAAGGAAAGTTCTCATCTAATAGGGTGTAGAGGTTAAGAGCATGAACTCTAGGTTGGAATCCCAGCTTGGTTGTTTACTGTCTGTATAATAGGAAGTAAGTTATTTAGCTTCCCTGTGCATCAGCTTCCCTACATGTAAAATGGATACACCTTAATATCTTCTTCATATTAAATAAAACAAAGTGTATAAAGCACATGCTAGGATTCGCACATACTACATAAGTACTATGTAAGTGCTAGCTATTATAGTGATAGATGTTATTGTTCTTATCTTGTTAAAATACGTACAACTTTTTGATAGATTATTCGAACCTGGACTCTATTCTCAAGCAAATGGAAGCTGTTGGCTTTCAGTAATTAGTCTGAATTTTGTTGAAACTCAGAAACAACTGGCAGTAATTAAAAATGGGAAAGTAAATGAGCAAAGAAGGGAGCTCATTTATTGGAACATATGATGAGAACATTCCATAAAGTAAAACTTGTAGTAATTGTCGATTAAACCAATTTTCTACCTGATATAAATTCAGTAGTACTATATTTCTTTTTATCATGTTTCTTTGTCACCAGGTATATTGGTCTGCAATTTTGAGTCTTTGGAAGTTATTTTTGTGTTTATTATGCTCTGATAAAGAGATGATGACCTCTTAATCTTGTGTCCAAGAGTGGTGGTGCTATATTGTCCTAGAATTGTTTGAATTTTAGAGCAATGTGTATGTGTGCATTTAAACCCAAGTTTAATAAGTCATTCCATTGTGTTCTTAATAGGGCTAGATAACCTGAGAACCAGTTGGTTTTTTATTGTGCCGAATAAAATTTGTAATCTGGTTTAGACTCTGTACAGCACTGTAGGTATAACAAGTCTTTTATGCAGTTCGGGGGTGATCTGTGATATAAGTTTGTTATGGTGGAATTGATGTTTGTGATGGGATGTCTAGATGAAATTACCCCATGGAATATAATCTTTTTTGAGTAGAGGATGGTATTTAAGAAATATGTCTTCAAAACTCTTATACAGGCCAGTACTGCCTCTTTAGATGTAAAAGTTTATAATTTTAATTGCAGGACCTTCTTTTACTTGGCTTTTAAAAGTTATTCACTTAGTCAAAATTTATTGAACACCTATAGTATTCCAGGCAGAATGC
Organism: Homo sapiens; assembly: GCF_000001405.40. Classification (NCBI taxonomy): domain Eukaryota; kingdom Metazoa; phylum Chordata; class Mammalia; order Primates; family Hominidae; genus Homo; species Homo sapiens. The sequence continues at coordinate 70,047,331 of NC_000007.14, forward strand.
TAACCCTCACGGAGCTCACAGGGGATACACACTAAGGGATATATATTGTAGTACAGCACAGTGCTGTATTAAATAGCAATTGCAGAGACACTTTCCCTATTTTTTATGTTTTTACTGCCACTTTGCCTTTATAACATGAGGTGATTTTAGCATAGAGCTGAACCAAATGTTGGGATATTAAAAAGCTGAAGCAAAGTTCATAAAGAGCATGACTTGGGCTTGGACTTTGCATTTTACAAGGTGTGCAGTGTGAGCTTACAGAGGCTTTGACAGCAGGGAGTGAGTGGAGCGTTGGGCTTTGTTATTTGGAGAGATCACTCTTAGTATTGGTATTGGGACATAGATGGTATAATAACAAGGAGAGACTGTAAGAAACTTTGCAGTATCTAATCAAGATATGGGGAGAAACTTACACTAAAGAGTGTGTGCTAGGTGAAGAAGAGGTAGGATTTTAAGGAAATTCTCCAAGTTTTAAGTGCAGAAGTGTGGGAGGAAAAAATGTAAGATGATGATGGTTCTGGCTTGATTTTCCAGAGTAGAGTAGAGTAGCCTTCAAGATTTGATACAACGCTTGACATAGGACATCTTAAAGGGGAGCTCTTAGACTTCAAGGAGAATATGGTAAATATTAAGTACACTATTGGGAGCATGGGTCTGCTGTATGGGAGAGTGTCTTGGCTAGAGGCTTACTTGAGGTAGTCATGATCTAAAGGTGATAGCTGAAGGCATGGGAGGTAGATGGTATAAAATAATAAGCCTCTCCACTGTGCTTCTGGGGGATTTCCAAACACCTTAGCATGCCTTACAAGGCCCTTTAGGGTTTTTTTCTGTACTTTGTTAGTCTCCTTTACAAAAGTTAATGCTGTTCTCTCTCATGCAACATGCATTCCTCGTGTCTCCAGCTGTTTGCTGTTCTCCTCACTTCCCGGGCTCTTCTGTATCTCCATTACATCACACATGCTGTTTCCTGTGTTTGCAAGGCATGGCTCCTCTTTGTCCCCTTAACAAGCTCTGGATTTTTCTTTAACACCCAGTTCCTGAACCTCCATGGCCCAGCTAATAGCTCCATCCTTGAACCCATAAGATTTTGTACATATTTCTATTAGTACTTATATCTCACTTAGAGTAATTATCACTTGCCTTTCACTCATTCTGTATAGACTGTGAACTCCTAAAGGAAAGAGAAGTAACTTTAGTCATTTTTACATCCCCAACCTCAAAATGGCACTTGGCAAATAGATGCTCAGAGAATGTGTTTTGATTGAATTAATTCATTTGTGTGTGAGCTGCAGGTGTCACATTAGTGGCTTTTGGATGTGTCCAGAAGTATACCTATTATACGTTGAAATTTTGCAAATCATCATATTTGCAAAGGTTAAATGTAAACAGGAGAAAGGTGAGACCTGAGGTCCTTGTCAAAACTGTTTTTCTTACTGTAATATCAATGTGTATTGTTTGTGGAAAAGTTGATTGATAAATAAAAGAAGAAAATTTAAAATATCCATAGTCTGACCACCCAGTGATATCTTGGCTTAAATTGTACGTACCCAAAATAGCAAAAATAGGATCTATCTGTGTATATTGTCCTTGACTTTTTTAAAAAACTTACTATCTGTGCATCATTAAATATTAGTAAGTAGTCATGTTTTGTGGGGTTTTCTTTTAGTTTGAGATGAGGCTGGTCTTGAACTCCTGGGTTCAAGCAGTGTTCCTGTCTCAGCCTCCAGGTAGCTGGGACTATAGGTACACACCACCACCATCCTCAGTAGTCATTTTTGAGTGGGCTAGTTAAATAGACGACACTCCCATCATGCATTATTTAACCAGTTCCTTGCTGTTGGACTTATAGGCTGACTTATAGGCTGTTTCAAATTTTTAATTTATATAGTCACATTTCAATGAACAATCCAGTAGTGTTGTCATATTCATTTTTATTTAGAATACTTCGGTGAAAGGAAGTATATATCTTACTTTTTCCAACTCTATTAGCAAATCATCTCTTGGACATTTTTTTTTTTGGAGACAGAATCTCACTCTTGCCCAGGCTGGAGTGCAGTGGCATGATCTCGGCTCACTGCAACCTCCACTTCCCAGGTTCAAGTGATTCTCCTGCCTCAGCTTCCTAAGTAGCTGAGATTACAGGTACCTGCCACCACGCCTGGCTAATTTTTGTGTTTTTAGTAGGGACAGAGTTTCACTATGTTGGTCAGGCTGGTCTCAAACTCCTGACCTGAAGTGATCCTCTTGCCTTGGCCTCCCAAAGTGCTGGGATTACAGGCGCCCAGCCAGTCTCTTGGAAAAGTCTTAACAATTTTTATTATCACCAACTGAATTCTTCTCATCATATTTTTAGGTTTTAAATTGTCTGGAACTTAAAAATATATGAAGATAGGCCAGCCACAGTGGTTCATATCTGTAATCCCAGCACTTTGAGAGGCTGAGGCAGGAGGATCACTTGAAGCCAGGAGGTTGAGACTAGCCTGGGCAGCATAGCAAGACCCTGTGTCTACAAAACCCAACAAACGTGTGTGTTTGTGTGTGTGTATGTGTGTAAAACATATATATGAAGATATGATATATGAAGATACATTACGAAGATAATTCAAATATATATATGAAGATACATAGGAAGATAATTTAGCTTGCTGCAACAGAAATTCCAAATTTAGGGCTAAAGAAATTATCAAACTGAAGCCTTTTTGTAAATTTAAGTAGTTTTGTTGATTTTAGAAGTAGACTTTTCTGGCCAGGCGCGGTGGCTCATGCCTCTAATCTCAGCACTTTGGAAGGCTGAGGCAGGCAGATCACCTAAGGTCAGGAGTTCAAGACCATCCTGGCCAACATGGTGAAACCATGTCTCTACTAAAAATACAAAAATTAGCCAGGAGTGGTGGTGCGCACCTGTAGTCCCAGCTACTCAGGAGGCTGAGGCAGGAGAATCGCTTGAATCCATGAGGTGGAGGTTGCAGTGAGCCGAGATCGAGCCACTGCAATCCAGCCTGGCGACAGAGCAAGACTCTGTCTCAAAAAAAAAAAAAAAAAAAAAAAATTAGACTTTTCCAAATAATGGTCAAGGTTTTTAAGTATGAGAAAGGAGTTTCATGGTCTTGGGGATCAGGGTCCTCTTGGCATGGAGTGGGTGGTGACGTGAAGGTGAGCCCTCCAGTTCCAGCTCTGTTATTAGCCTTCTTGTGCCTCTTGTGTGGCTGTTTCCCAGCTCCAACCCAAAGTTTTATTAGGATAAAGTCTTGGATTTAGGCATATGGATATTAAATATCAGTAGCTGAATTTGGGGTTTGAAATAATTGCTGCTTACTTCTAACTTCCCCATCCCACTCCAGATTCTTTTTGCCATCCCTATCTACATTAAATAGCTAATTGAAGCCAGGCGCGGTGGCTCATGCCTGTAATTCCAGCACTTTAGGAGGCCAAGACGAATGGATCACCTGAGGCCAGGAGTTTGAGACCAGCCTGGCCAATATGGCGAAACCCCACCTCTACTAAAAATACAAAAATTGGCTGGGTGTGGTGGTGTGCTCCTGTAGTCCCAGCTACTTGGGAGGCTGAGACAGGAGAATCACTTGAACCTGGGAGGCAGAGGTCGCAGTGAGCTGAGATCATGCTACTGCACTCCAGCCTGGGCGACAGAGCGAGACTCTGTCTCCATCAATCAATCAATCAATTATTATTCATAAAATGAGAAGAAGCTCCTCCGCCTTCCCCTGCCAAGGGGATGAGCAAATGTGTGTTACAGCTCACTTTGAAGAGCTGTCCAGGCTTTTGAGTGAAATGCAGAATTTTTACCTCTTGCTTAGTAATTTGCTCATTTTTCAGACTACTTTGCACAGATTTAATGATTAAGGAAACAGGATAGGCAAAGGTGCCAGCGTTTGATATTATCTTAAGGCCTAAACTGACCTTACGGTGATGAAATGAACTTTTTGAGTGCGTTTGTCTCCTGAATAAATCTGTAACAGTTTTCTTAACTGACTCCCTCTGTCTCTCAGCATCAGAAAGAAATGAGAGAACATTAAGCCACAGAAAGCAAATAATGGTCAAAATAAAGATACTCTTTTGCTGGCAAACTTAAAAATTCACTTGTGGGGCTGAGCGTGTTGGCTCACACCTGTAATCCCTGCAGTTTGGGAGGCCGAGGCAGGTGGATCACCTGAGTTCAGGAGTTCCAGACCAACCTGGCCAACATGATGAAACCCCTTCTCTACTAAAAATACCAAAAAATTACCCAGGCGTGGTGGTGGGCACCTGTAATCCCAGCTACTCAGGAGGCTGAGGCAGGAGAATCACTTGAACCCGGAAGGTGAAGGTTGCAGTGAGCTGAGATCACACCACTGCACTTCATCCTGGGCAACAAGAACAAAACTCCATCTAAAAAAAACAGATTCACTTGTGGAATCTAATAGCTGTAGGCAAGGGATATTTATTGAAACCAAGATTTAAGTGTGGTTTATGATGTTTATGGAGTAGTTTAATACTACTTTTCTTCAAAATGAGTTTTTAATTTAGGAAAAAGAATTCAGATATGTTCCCAGAGTAGAGATGACTGACCATCATGGGAGTGGTTAGGGTTTGGGGTTTGTGTGGGTAAGATTCTGTTTACCCACTACAGCCATTGTGTGGATTTAAAAGCTTTCCTGGATGGAATTTATGGAGTGAAATTTGAAACTAGTGTCCTGTGTACTACAATATATGGTCACAACAAGCAATCAATTTAGAAAGAAATGGAACGGAGAAGATACAGGTTAAATGATGAGTATTGTGCAGTGCAGCAAGACATAGAGTGATCTTAACAGTAATGTGGTATGTCACCATCTGAGTTCTGTTATAAAGCTCCTAGGCAATGACTAAATCCTAGAAATCATTGCCTACTTTCAGTGGCAGACAGAGTATAATCCATTCATGATAGGGGGTTCCAGGTACATTGATATAGAAGACTGGCCAAGGGGGAATGACAGGGGTTACAGCTAACATTTCCTAGGTAATTGGTTCTAATTTCCAGGCTCCAAGCAAGATACTGTATCTCTTTTACCCTGTTTAATCCTCCCCAGCACCCAGTGAGGTACAGATGGTATTGTATCCATTTTAGAATTGAGATGACTGAAGCTTAGAGAGATTTTCCCAGTCATATATATTCACGGTTCCTGGATACAGCTGTACAGGTTGTTCACTGCATGAAGGTGGCTGGCTGAGGTAGCAGGCAAAGGATTTGTTTGCTCAGCAGAGGCAGCATTTTCTAATTTGCACTAAAACCTGTGTAGGCCAACTGTAGCCCTACTCATAAAGTTGGTTAATGCCTGAACTGGGAGTAGAGGTGAGGCAGTGTTGAAGTGGATAGGTAGATTCTGAGAAGCTTATACTATACCTACTGAAGTCCTAATCTGTAGGCTGTCTGCAAACTGGTTTGTTTTGCTACCATCCTATCCCAGCATTTCCTCAAAGATCCCACAGTGACTTCTTTATTGTGGATCTGATGGTCTTTGGCAGCTATACAGACATTCTTAGAGTCACAGCCAGGATTAAAGTCTAGGATGCTTGTCTTCAAGTCATGCATGCTTTCTGTATGAGATAATATACAAAAAGATGGTCAAGAAAAGTGATTTTGAGATAAATAGTGGCCTAGAATAGCTAGACTGAGATTGTTCAAGCACAGCTATTAATTTGCTTACTTGCTCAGCACTCAGGCTGTGCTATTTGCTTCAAGGGATATAAAGATTGCTGCTTTCTAGAAAATTATAACTCAATTAGGGAAACCAAATCAATATATATTTCATAATATAAAATAAGAGAAATTACAGATAACAATAAATAATAGCCAAAATACCTTTCTTAACTAGGCATGTCTATGTTTCTTTACCTTGCTTTAGTGCTCTTAGATGTCCCATTCCAGCCTTTGAGTTGGAGTGGGGAAGGTGTTCCTTATTAAAGAAGCATCTACTACAAAAAATCTAAAACCAGATCTGAGGCCCATACTAGACCCTTCTATTAGTGGTAATTTTAAAAAAGAATTTTCCATCTAAATTTAATAGCTTTCTTCTGTAGCTACCCTACCCTATCCCTGGGCCAGGCACCAAAGTGAATAATAATGTGCTATAAAATCCAAACCAAAATAGTACATCTTCTTTGGCATTTGAAATTTCAGTGTTTTTTGCGTGTAGCTACAAATGTCTTCCATTGTGGCAACCACTGTTTTGGGTGGTTTTTTTTTTTTGGAGACAGGATCTCACTCTGTTTCCCAGGCTGGAGTGAAGTGATGAGATCATGGCTCACTGAAGCCTTGCCCTCCAGGGCTAAAGTAATCCTTCCACCTCATCCTCTTGAACAACTTGGACTACAGGCATGCACCACCACAGTCAGCTAGTTTATTATTTTTATTTTTGTAAAGACAGGGTCTCTACTATGTTGCCCAGGCTGGTCTCGAACTGGGCTCAAGAGGTCCTCCTGTCTTGGCCTCCCAAAGTGCTGTGGGATTACTGGTGTGAGTGAACCACCACAGTCAGTTTTGGGGTTCTTTTGAATAATCAGAAGCTGAAATCAGAAGCCAAAAATAGCAAAATGGGAATTCTGTGTGCTTTTGTGATATGATTATATTTGTGTTCCCAGCCTCCAAAGAAAGCAAATGTAATTTATATGGTACTCAATAAACTATGGCAGTCAAGAAAACCAAAAGAAAAACCTTTTTCCACTTGGCACTGTCCAATAGAGCTTTCTGTGCTGATGAAAATGTCTTCTATGTGCACTATTCAATTCGGTAGCTACTAGCCACATATGCATTTGATATGTGGCTAGTGTGATCCTAAGGAACTGAATTTTGAGTTTTACTTTCATAAATTTAAATTTGCATAGCCATGTGTAGCCAGTGGCTACCATACTGGGTAGCACAGGCATGCCACATGCTGTTTCTCTCTTAAGTTGGCACCTTTAATTTCTGTTTTAAAATTCATGTCTCCTTTACTTGTCCCCTTCTATCTTCTCTTTCTCACTCACTCCCTTCCTTTTTCTCTTTGCTTTTTATTTCTCCTTGCTTCTTTGCTTTCCTGTTTTTTCTCAACCTTCTGTGATACTACTAGGCTGACCGTAACCCCATTAATTATAATTATTTATTATGGTCTTTCACCTAGTTAGACTTGCCTGCCTGTGTTCTCCTTCTGTCCCCAAAGATGGGGGCATTCGCGGATATGCAGTGTTTACCAAAAGCTCCTGATATACTGGTTACTTAATAAAAACAAACAAAAAAATAAATGGGATTTTTCTGACAAGATGGTTTTGGTGAACCTATGCTGATTCCTGAGATCACGGCTTCTTTTTCTAAATACACAAAAAAACTGCTTTGGTAAATCATTCTAGAATTTTGCACAGAATGAATCAAAATCAGTGGTATTACATAATCCTAGGCTCCATAGTTCTGATTTCCAGAACTATTGACTAATAGTAATCAAAACACTGGAATACTTCACTGGAAGACTTCTCTGTCCTTACTTTTCAGTAGGGGGTTTAATCTAACTCCTCTCCAGTCTTTCTTCTAGAGGAACTCTGTAATTCCAATCTCACTATTTTGGTCTTCCCTTCTCCTCCTCCTTATCTCTTCCCCCTTTCTGCTTTTCCTTCTCCTCCTTCTCCTGATATAACTTACTTCCTTTCTGAGAATGCCACTTGTCTCTTTCTAACTTTAGGTACTTTTGCCTACTTCTTTCCTTCTACTTTAATTCACATAGAAGTACCGTGAGACTATGTAAACACATCTACTTTAAGTTAAACATTTCCTCTATTCAGAGTCATGCCTTTTTATATTTAAAAAAAAATTCTAGGCTGGGCACGGTGGCTCACTTCTGTAATGCCAGCACTTTGGGAGGCCGAGGCGGGTGGATCACCTGAGGTTGGGAGTGCAACACCAGCCTGACAAACATGGAGAAACCTCATCTCTACTAAAAATACAAAATTAGCTGGACGTGGTGGCACATGCCTGTAATCCCAGCTACGTGGGAGGCTGAGGCAGGAGAAGCGCTTGAACCCAGGAGGCGGAGGTTGTGGTGAGCCAAGATTGTGTCATTGCATTCCAGCCTGGACAACAAGAGCAAAACTCCATCTCAAAAAAAAAAATTCTATATTTGATTTCAAGCCTCAAATAACTTAAGTAATAATGACTACCCATCTGTAAGAGTCCTTGCTTTGTGATACTGTTACACTCTGTTGTATTGAGAATGCTCTAAGTCATATGTTACCAACATGCTGTGGACCTTTAGCTTTTCCCAGTTTCCAGACAGAAGCAGTGGTCAGTCACTTAACTGCACTAGACAGAAAAGCAGTTTTTCCCTTCTGAAGGTTAAACAGGTTTTTACACCACTGGAGATTTTTAAGGTGGGTATGGGTATTAAGGTGGGTATTGTTAGTCTTTTCCCTCTAAGTTTCCCCAATGTCCAAAGAATTAACAAAATTTTAAGGGTTCTGATTTATATGGTAACACAGTCTGTTAGTCAGATGTACCAAGTTTCTTCCTATCTAATTTTTTTTATTTTTATTTTTTTTGAAATGGAGTCTTGCTCTTGGTCAGGCAGGTCTCGAACTCCTGACCTCGTGATCCACCCACCTCAGCCTGCCAAACTGCTGAGATTATAGGCGTGAGCCACCATGCCCGGCCTTTTTTATTGTTATTTTTTTCAGAGACAGTGTCTTGCTCTGTCGCCCAGGCTGGAGTGCAGTGGCGTCATCTTGGCTCACTGCAACCTCCACCTCCCGGGTTCTAGCGATTCTCCTGCCTCAGCCTCCCGAGTAGCTGGGATTACAGGCGTGCACCACCGTGCCCGGCTAATTTTTGTATTTTTAGTAGAGACGGGGTTTCATGTTAGCCAGGCTGGTCTCGAACTCCGGACCTCAGGCAATCCATCCTCCTCATCTTCCCAAAGTGCTCAGGATACAGGCGCCCAGCTCTTGCCATCTTAGAGTCTTTGCAATTTTTACTTTTATAGCCTAAAGTGGCGCTTTGCATGCCTAGATGTATCTTCAGCCTTTATACTTTAATCATTCTGAGGGGGGTTTTCTGTGTCCCTCCTTCATCACCTTCACCCTGTTTACTCCCTCCATATCATTCATTCCTCAATACTTATTTCCATGTTTCCCTGTCTCCACCACTGGGATGTAAGGATTTCTTATCACTTGTTCTGTGCAGTTAATCTCAGTGCTCGGGCTCACAGCTGGGAGCTGATAAGTGCTCAATGAATTCAAGTGTTTAGAAGAATGTTAGTGCAGAGTAGAGATTGGGCAGGCAGTGTTAGTAGGTTAGTAATTATTACTAGAACCAGGTAGAGTTTCTACAACCTGCATTGAGGCCCTGAGCATGAAGAATGGAGTGTTAAAATGAGCCTTTCAAAGGCAGGATTGGCAACTGTGTGAGGTGACACCACTAGAGACATGGTTTGGACAGCGCTTCCGAAGATGGAATACCAGATAAAGATCAGTGTGGATGGTGGAGTCCTTAACTGATTCAGTTTAAGATATTTGATTTTGATGCATTTGGGAATAGGGTGCTCTTGCTGAGAATAGGGGTTAGGGCTCAATTTACAAACCTTTCTGTTCCTACATTCTAGGTTCCTATGATTATAATGATTCTTGCTGATAATATTTTCTCCCAGCATTATTTCTTATATATAATACGTGACTATAAAGGCTCGTTCCTGTTTCAAATGCCTTTGCACATGCATGATTTGGATTTTTTTCCAGCCAGGTCTCAGGGGCCATGTTTTTAAAGTCTGCTGCTCTTTGGGCTGATATTGTGGCTTCTTGAATCGCATACAAAGCAGGTTTCTTGAAATCTGCTCATCTACCATAGTTTACCAGTTATCTGTATCCTTGCGGCTCTGCTTGAACTGAAGCTTAATCTTGTTCTTTGTAGGGCCCAGCTATTTTTGCTTGTCATTCTATCACATGCCGTTTACCAGGAAACATTCAAATAATGATTAATGATGCCAAAACTTTAAACATGGAGGAAGCTGGTAATACCAGCTCCGCTGTGGAGATTTTCAGGAGCATCAATGCCGGCTGACCGGACTGGTATTTGAGTCTCGGATAATGGAGTAGTAGGTCTCAAAAAGTTACACTTTTCTGGGTAATTGTCAGCTTCCCAGAGTACTGTTAAATTCTGTCCCTCAAAAATGATGAAATTGCAAAGGAATGGTCACTGTTACAGGTATTCTATCTTCATTATCTGATTTAATCCTCAAAAAAATAATTGATGTGGAATAAGTTTTTTCATTCCCATTTTAATGCTAGAAAATTGAAGCACAAAATCTACCCACCAAATTGTGGACTGTGTTTTCTGTATCTCTTATCAAAGCTCTCCAGGGTCCCTAGACCCTCTGTTGTCCCTCTGTTCTAGCCTTTCAGATTGGCTTCTTTCACTTAGTTATTATACATAAAATGCCATGTTATAAAATGCCTCAGTCAGGATAATGGGGAAAGTGTTCTTGGGAGACAGTGCACATAAAGACCTTACAGTGCTGGGTGCTCAAAATGTTACCATCACTTTTATTGTTAGCCTCTTCCCTCTTAAGTTTCCCCAGTGTTTAGGAAATTAGCAAAACTTTAAGGGTTCTCATGGTAAGACAGTGATACGACTATTATGTATATGGTAAGGGGGTGATATATCTATCATGGTAAGTAACAGGACATTGAAAAGACAGTCATGGGAATAAAGCTAAGTAAACACATGTTTCATTGGAATAGCTTCTATTAGTGACAATACCTCCTATATTTTGGACTAATTCCCAGATGAAAGATTTTGCTGAAACTAGGCATTAATGAAACTAAGCCATTCAGTACAGTGTGATTTTCTTTTTTTATCTTGTGATTTGAGAAGTATATTCTAAAAACCCAGTAATTCAGCCAGGCTGGACATTCAGTTAAATATCAGTGGAGCCAGCTGTGTAAGGACTTATTGGCTTTGTCCTATACATGTGGTATGTCTGGAGTTTTGGAAACAATTCATGGCCTCCTTTTATCGGTTGAGTAGCATTGAGGCCTCATAAAAAATAGTAACTTGATTCTAAGGTAAATTTCCCTGGAAAGTATGAAATGGGAAAGTTAGGTTTCCATGTACCCCCCCGCTACGCATAGCATTATTTCAATTCCAAGAGGCATTTGTAGTCAATTTCTATGATGATTGGAAAGGAGCTTAAAAAATTCTTACAATCTCTTTAAAAACTTTTGAAGCAGAGGAGAAAAAATTGGTAATTTGTTTTTCAGGAAGAAACATACCTGGATTTATCTATTGCTACATGTAGGTTTTTTTTTTTTTTAACTAACTAGAATCACAGCATCTTTTTCTTTTTAAACTAACTTGAATCACAAAATCTTATGTCATACTTCATGTCTTTCCTTATTAAGGATAATTAGTTTATGGAGGATTCAGTTATGATGGTGATATTATTAGAGACTTATCTGAATGAAATCAGAAAAGTGTATCCCGTTTTATGTAGAAGATTTTTACATAAAATATTTACACACACACATACACTTCATTTTTTAGAGCAGTTTTAGGTTTAACAGCAAAACTGAGCAAAAAGTGCAGAATCCTCCCTACCCCCACCATACCCCTCACCCTAGCATCCCTGACTATAAGCTTCAAGACTGCACCAGTATGGTACAGTTGCTACAGTTGATTAACTGGTATTGGCAAAACATAATCACCCATCTTACATAGTTTACATTAGAGTTAACTTTTGGATTTGTACATTCTGTGAGCTTTCACAAATATAAAACGGCATGTACTCACCATTATGGTATCACACAAAATAGTTTCATTGCCCTAAAAATCCTTTGTGCTCTACCTATTCATCCCCCTACCAAAACCCTGATCTTTTTACTTTTTCCATAGTTTCGCCTTCGCAAGAATGTCATACAGTTGGAATCATACTATATATATGTAGCCTTTCAGATTGGCTTCTTTCACTTAGTTATTATACATTTAAGGTCCTCCGTGTCTTTTAATGGCTTAATAGCTCATTTCTTCTTAGCACTGAGTAGTACATTGCCTGGATGTTCCACAGTTTATTTTTCCATTCACCTAATCTTGGTTGCTTCCAAGTTTTGTCAATTATGGGAAAAAGCTACTGTAAACATTTATGCGCAGATTTCTGTGTGGAGATCTTAACATTCACATTGGTTACTTTTTTTAAATTTCAGATTTATCAATATTACAGAGCTATTGCAAGAGTCATATGAGAATCGAGGATCTGGAAATTCTGTATGAAAGAGGTGCCATCTGAGTAGGGCCTTAAAGGATGCGCTGATTTGGACACATAGATTGGAGGAGGTACATCGTACTGTGGCTGGCACAGTATGTGATTTTCTGTTTGATTGGAGTTCATGGTAAATGTAGGAACACGGTGTTATGTTTTCGATGCCTTCGATGCTAGGCTAAAGAAGATAGGCTTCCTTAGTGAGGCCATAGGAACCCATGGCAGATTTTTGAGGTAGGAAGTGATAAGTAATGTCACTCATTTATTTAAGCAGCTAGTCAAGCTCGCTTAGTTCCAAATAGCTGCTTGACCTTGCCTAGTTCCAAATAATTGACTTAAAATTAACAAGTTGACATTTATTAAACAGTACTTTTTACAGTTTAATTGTTCACCACTTTAGACTAAATTTTTTCTACAGGTGGTGCAAGTTAATTAGATTTTCTTATAATGAGAAAGAAAAGCATTTCAGTACAGTGTCTTCTGTTCTGATATTCAAGGTCATTTCCTATATAAAAGTAAAATTCTACACAGCATAAAACCATCCTTTTTGACATTTAGGGACCATAGGTTTTAATAACATTGAACAAAGGGTTAAATTTTTTAAAAAGTTTTTGTACACTCTTTCTTTGGTATGCTTCATCTCTTTCATTTGAGCTGAACAGCTTTAAATTTCACTTAAAGAAATGCTAGATAAAGAGAAGAACATTGTATAAGGGCAACTAAGTGAACAGGAAGCTGTGCTTCTCAGAATGGGGAGATTTTAAAATAGAGGAGAAAGCTGTCAAAGCAAAAGTATAGCAGCCTCAGCTTTACTTGGGAATTTATTAGAAATGCAGATTGTTAGACTCTACCCCAGAAGTCCTGTGGGCGGGGCTGGCAATCTGTGTTGTAAGCGAGAAAGACTAATCTAAACCACTGATCAAGGGAGGGGGATGTTAAGACTTACTGCAGAAAAGAGGTGAGAAATTGTACTAACAGTTACTGTTAATTCAACACTTACTTTGTAATGCACATTTTACAGATACAGCTTATGTAATCTTTTATGTCAACCCTAGGAAGTATAATATTACAATATCTTACTATATAGATGAGCAGAAAAGAATGGTTTAAGAAGTAGCATTGCAAAACTTCCGGCATGGAAGGTGTCTTTGACTCTATACTCTGACCTCTTTAAATCGTGCTAGGCCATGCAGGTATGTTGTTTGTCTCCCAGAAGGCAGCGGTGGGGCTAAGGCAGCACCCACCTCTCTGCTCCCTCTGCTGCATTCCCCAGCCTCCCTGACTGAGGTAGGTATTTCTTCCTTCCTGCATCCAGGTGGAGCCTGCCTGGTCCAGTGAAGGAAGCAGAACAGGAATGGCAGGAAACCAGCTTTTTCTGTTTCTCTGGAGTTCTCTTAACAAACCCTGTGACCCTAGGCCTGTCTCTTGGTATCTCTATGCCTTATTTATTTTCAGCGGTAAAATGAGGACTGGGATAAATCTGTAGGTTCTTTCTGAATTTTATCTGGCTCTAGCACTTAATTAGAGACAGATGGTCAAACTAGGTGACCTCTCAAGGGTTCATTCTGGTTCGTGTTGAGAGGAGTTTGATATTGGAAATAATAGATTCTTGTTTATGTGCGAAATGGAGACAGTACTTTCTGGAAATGGTGTGATGCAAAGTGAAATCATGTCTGTGAAGTCCCTAGTAGCCTGCCTGGCATACATGGAAGGTGCTCAGTAAATGGTAGTTCCTCAGTCCCCAAGAGGAAAACAGCCGCATTCCTGATTCTGGTGTTTTCTTTCCTTAAGTTTTAACAGGTTAGTATTTTAATTTTCCTCTCAAGGAGGGAATAAGAGGTGCTAGGTTTGTATTAAAATATTAAGTTAATTAAAGCTTCCTATTAAAATTTTAAGAGAGAGGAAGAGAATGGGGCAACATGACCACAATAAATAAAGCAAATAGGTCATTATGTTTCCAAATGGCATTATCCCTTGACTGTTGGTAGCTTTCCTAATAATAATAGGTTGAAAAAATGTTACTGTAACATAAATAATAAAAGATACTTATGGTAGTACTCTGCTAAGTACTATATAGACATGAGATACTTAATAACTTTTAATATCATGGTTTGGCAAAAGAAACTTCACAATGGATTAACTATTTATTTGGTGAACTTAACTTGGGGCAGGCTTGTGGGTGGAATTTAAGGGTTATTTCTTCTTTTTTTTTTTTTTGCTCCCCCGGAGACGGAGTTTCACTCTTGTTGCCCAGGCTGGACTGCAATGGCGTGATCTCAGGTCACTGGAACCTCTGCCTCCCGGGTTCAAGCAATTCTCCCACCTCAGCCTCCCGAGTAGCTGAGATTACAGGCTCCCGCCACCATGCCCAGCTAATTTTTCTTATTTTAGTAGAGATGGGATTTTGCCATGTTAGCCAGGCTGGTCTCAAACTCCTGACCTCAGGTGATCCACCCACCTCGGCCTCCCAAAGCGCTGGGATTACAGGCGTGAGCCACTGTGCCCAGCCGAGTTGTTTCTTCCCTAATTTCTCTCACAAACCTTCCTTTTATATAGAGAAAACATTTTTACTTTTCATTTGAAATATTCTTATTGTTGTTTTTTTCTGATCATTACTGATGTACCTTCTATAGAAATAAGACACATATTTGGCAGGGCACAGTGGCTCATGCCTGTAATCCCAGCACTTTGGGAGGCCAAGGAGGGCGGATCACGAGGTCAAGAGATCAAGAACATCCTGGCCAACCAACGTGATGAAACCCTGTCTCTACTAAAAATACAAAAATTATCTGGACATCGTGGCACACGCCTGTAGTCCCAGCTACTCAGGAGGCTGAGGCAGGAGAATCGCTTGAACCCAGGAGGCAGAGGTTGCAGTGAGCCAAGATCACGCCACTGCACTCCAGCCCAGGTGACAGAGCGAGACTCCGTCTCAAAAAAAAAAAAAAAGGAAGAAATAAGACACATATTTATCCCAACGTACATTGTTTTTCACAAGTTGCAATTTGATATCCTTAGCTAGTTTCATCATTCTACCGTGACATTTATCCCCATTATGACATTTCTAAATTATAGTGCTTCTCTCTCATGTTACGCATGTTTCTAAGCTCTTGGTTGGAATCTGTAAAATAGCTAGTTGTTAACATTTAATAAAATTTAGACTTACCTCACCTTACTCTGTTAGCAAAGAGTTACATGAACTCTGTTGTTTTGAATTAAGAGGTCAGTTGTGGCAGTAAACCTGGGTAGAATTTGGAAAGGAACTAGGCTACTTCCTTTTTGATTCTTCCTTATTAGGTCATTTGTCAAGTGGATACATTATCTTCTTTCCCTGAGGGCAGGAGACCATCTTAGTTCCCTTCTGTTAAAGAGATCTATGATTCATTACTTCCAGTGTGAAGGCCAGGTGCTTTTGCATGAGTTGTAAACTGCTAAGCGAGCCCTTTTGTGCCTTGTTTGTGTATGAGAGTCTTTCTCTTCAGAGTGTAGGGCAACCTGTCCCCAACCAGTCCCCTTTCCCAACATCCCCACCCACAGTGTGATGGATGCTGGCAGTCATACCACATTCAACATTTCCAAGTGGGACTTGTTTTTATTGGATATGATCACCAAAAAAATTTGAATTTAGATGAGAAACAAATCAAGGGGTGGTTATTCACATTGCCGATGGGTTTTGGGTTTTGTTTTTTTTTTTTTCCTTCAAAATGGTTCAGCCTAGGGGTTCTTTAAATAGCAAGTTGCTCTGCTAGATTTAAATGGGATTTGATATATAAAAATCCATTTACACATTTAACAGGATGTTATGTTGGTATACCAGAATGATGAAGAGCAAAATTCTGGAGTCTTAAACCCAAGCAAGTTTAGAATCCCAGCTTTCTCGTATCCTGGCTTGTGTGATCATGGGCGAGTTATTTAACTTCTCTCAGCCTCGGTTTTCTCACTGGTAAACCAGAGATCATAGCACCTCATAGATAGCACTTCTGGAGTGTTTTGAATGGCAGAAACAGAAAGTGTCGTGTAAGACAACACATGCATTGTGTAAGGAAAGTCTTAGATGTCTAACACAGCAGTGGCAGTGTTCATTTTCAGGGCCATTTTGCCTGAGTTTTTGTTAGGCCCTTCTCTCTTTTCTTCTTTGAATGTATTTGTAAACTTGAAAAGAACACCGCGAAAAGAGCTCAGGATCCTGCTCAGCCACACTTCACCTGCTCTCCAGCTTGGCATGATTGATTGTCAGGAAGGCATAAAGAACTCAAACCATGAATTACCCTACTCGGGGTAATCACAATGGTTTGGATGGCATCTCCTTAATTTTTGCTTTGACTTTTCTTTCCTCCGGGCAAGAGAGAGTAGAAGGAGTGGCAAGAGTATGCCTTTTAGTTACTGAGTTCTAAATTCTTGGAATGAGCATAGTCTGTTTTCTCAGGATCAGACTAGAAGGCGTCATTCTATTACAGAAGAGCCAAGACTTGTCCCAAATGGATGTGGGTTTCAGCAAAGCATCTTTAGCTTAAGGAGCGAAGGATTTGGACTGTGTTCAGCATCTGTGCTTCGCAGGCCACTCTTTATCCTTTTAGTGAGTCCCGCTTGTCTGTCCTCTGTCAAGGGCTCGTGTACACCATGCTGATTTAGTGCTAACTGGGGAGATTACAAATGCCTTGCCTGGCACTGTCAGCTAAACCTGAATCATTGTCTGTGTACTGTGACCCGACTAGTCAGAGGTTTACCCTTTGCTTTGCTGCTCACTCTTATAGGCAGAAAAGCCCAGCTCACCCCAGCTTTTATAACGGGGTCAGCTCCAGAAATAGCACCTTTAACTGGGAATAGAAGCAACACAAATCCAGCAAGTAGATAGTATACAATGGCTGCTTTTTGGCCTTGGAACAAACAAAAGTGGTTTATGTTTACTACATACCACTTCCAAAACTGCTGTCTGTCATTTACTAGAGAGTTTATCATTCCTGAGGGCCAAGGTCTAGGTTTTCTTCACACAAATGCCCTCCAAGTGGGAGCTGCTTGGTGTTGGTCATTGTTTGCACCCAGATTTATAATTTGGGGTTAATTAGACATAAAGACTTAAAGGCAAATGTGGTACCTGATGGACCATGGGTAGATAAGACACCTCCCAAAATGGATGGTGAAATTCTTTTTAAGAGTCATAGTATGGAGAAAGTCCCCTTGTGAAGCTTTGTGTTGGAGCCTAGAATTGTAATGTATGGCACTATTAGACTTCCAAAACCAATGTGAACTTCAGTCGTTTGTATCATGATTTGCTTTATCCTATGTTCCTATCTTTCCCGGTAGTAGGTATTACTTTGTCTGTGGGTTACATGTCTTTCTCCTCTAAGATTTAACCTGGGGATTATTACATGCATATTTATATGCCCAGAGACAATAGTAGGCGCTCATCAATTGTTGAATAAATGAATGAATGAATGACCAAATGATTGAACAAACAAAGGAGCAAGTGAACAAACAGAGATGTGAAGTGGTGGGGGGCATTTCTATATGATTGTGTGTAAAGAGCACCCTAACACAGCATCTGAACAAATCACTCTTGGAAATCTGTTCAATCCCACCACCTTCACTAGCTATTCCTGTGAACCCCAACCCTCCCCTAGATACATTTTGGTGATATATTAGATTATTTTTTCTTTGCCTCCCTCCTACCATGATAAAAAGGATATTGAATGGCCAAACCAGTGCATTACAGTAACATGAAAGAAATGTTTATCTTTCATCTACCAGAATTCAAGGAAAAAAACCACAAAACTTTGTCAGCTAGATACTTTCCTGAATTGTTTTTTAAAATTGTTTAAAAAATTATTATTATTGCCAGGCACGGTGGCTAACACCTGTAATCCCAGCACTTTGGGAGGCTGAGGCAGGTGGATCACCTGAGGTCAGGAGTTCAAGACCAGCCCGAGTAACATGGTGAAACCCCATCCCTACTGAAAATACAAAAAATTTAGCTGGGTGTGGTGGCACCATGCCTGTAATACCAGCTACTCAGGAGGCTGAGGCAGGAGAATTGCTTGAACCCGAGAGGCGGAGGTTATGGTGAGCCGAGATGGTGCCACTGCACTCCAGTCTGAGCAACCAGAGTGAAACTCCATCTCAAAAAAATATATATATATTATTATTTTTAATAGGGTCCCACCCTGTCACCCAGTCTAGAATGCAGTGGCACAATTATAGCCTACAGCAGCCTGAAATTCTTGGTCTCAGGGAATCCTCCCACCTCAGCCTCTTGGGTAGCTAGGACTGCAGGTGTATGCTACCATGCACAGCTATTTAATAACAGTTTTTTTTAGAGAGGGAGCGTTGCTTTGTTGTTCAGACTGGTCTCAAATTCCCGGCTTCATGCGATTCCCCTGCCTCAGCCTCCTTCTCAGGTAGCTGGTATTGTATGAATTGTGTTTTGAATAAGAAGAAATTAAGGCTTATAAGATCAGTTGTGTGTTAGCAGCGATGTTGCTGACTGATCTTTGCAATCTGTAGGACTATTTGGTGCTACAATAATAAGAAATTAATCAGTTTGATAATTTTGCCATCATTTTTAAAAAATTTTGTAAAATAATTGAAAATCATATGTGCAATATCTTATAAATTTTTATTTTCAAAGCACATTCCTATATGGCAATTGAAGTACAGTTTGAACTTACTTTTGACTACCTTCTTAATAGTGATTGATCATAAATTATAAAATTTTCACTTACCAAATTATGTTTAAAAAGCTAAATTTAACATTTTCTTTTTAATTTTGGAGTTGAATGGTCCTTTATTCCAGTCTTTGTTTTTGTTTTTTTCCAAGGGAAGACAAATATTTAAGTTCAAAGTCATGTTTAATAGAGGAAATGAATGAAAAGTGGATGTCTGTTATCTGTTTGCAACAATCATCTTTATGTCCTAGTAAAAGTTTAATTTTAAAATCTAACTTTACAGATCTATACCCAGTAAATTTTTTTTTTTTTTTTTTTCAAACAGAGTCTTGCTCTGTCACCCAGGCTGGAGTGCAATGGCGCTGTGTCGGCTCACTGCACTCCGTCTCCCGGGTTCAAGCGATTCTTCTGCTTCAGCCCTCCTGAATAGCTGGTACTACAGGTGCATGCCACCACACCCAGCTAATTTTTGTATTTTTAGTAGAGACAGGGTTTCACTATGTTGGCCAGGCTGGTCTTGAACTCCTGACCTCAGGTGATCTGCCTACCTCAGCCTCCCAAAGTGCTGGGGTTACAGGCATGAGCCGCCACTCCTGGCCCCCAGTAAATAATTTTAAGAATCTTAAAGTTACTCATTTTTACTTAGACTTTATGAGATTAAGCTATTTTCAAACTCACTTCTATTTGTCCTCCCCTGAGAGCTATTTACAAATTTGTATAGCACTCTGGAGTGTGATAATATCGAAGTCAATGCACAGTCAGGAGGCTTGTTAACTTATGTGATGATGTCAGTTTTGATAAACATCTTTCTCATTTAGGCATTTAATGATAATCATTTCTTCAAGAAAAAGTTCTTAGTGGGGAAAAAGAGGCGAAAAGTACAGTGTGATTAACTTATGATGCATTTTGGATTACAGCCTTTTAACCAAAAGAGAATCATCATTAAAACAATAATTCCTCAGAAGGCTTGAGGCATTTAACTTCTCTTAATTAAATTAGCTCAGTTTACTGCCAGTCAATAAAGTCTGGTTTGGAATGATGATAGAAATTAAATATCTAAGAATGCAGTATACATAATAGTTAAAGAAATGCAATTAAAAGTAATAAGGAGGTACTACTTTTCACTTAGGAAATTAATAATGATTTATAGAAGTGAGACTACTAACTTCTGGGAAAAATATAGTGAGACTGTCACTTTTATACACCACTAGAAAGCCCTTTTATAATGTTTGTCAAGATTCTTCAAAATACTAATAGCTTTTGATCCATTAATTCTTTGTCTAGGACATGCTGAGTTGGTGATCAGATGTGAAGAAAACTTCAGGCCAGGCTTGGTGGCTCACGCCTGTAATCCCAGCACTTTGGTAGTTCAAGGTGGGAGCATCGCTTGAGCAAAGGAGTTCAAGACCAGTCTGGGCAACATAGAGAGATCCCATCTCTACAAATAATTTAAGAAATGAAATTAGCTGGGAGTGGTGGCACATGCCTGTGGTCCCAGCTTACTTGCAGGACTAAGGCAGGAGGATCACCTGAGCCTGGGAGATTGAGGCTAAAGTGAGCCCGTGATCACACCACTGCTCCCCAGCCCAGGTGACAGAGTGAGCACCTGTCTAAAAAAAAAAAAAACCTGGAAAAAGAAAAACTTCATACAGCCAAAATACCCAACATCATGCAAATGCATGGTTGATTTATGTTATTTTCTATTTTGGAATATTATGCAGAGGTTAAATAATAAGTGCACATAATATTTACTACAAGGCAGAATATTTGCTATATCTTAATTTTACTAAAAAGTGTAACATATAATAATATTTGAATTATGTATGGAAAAAGAGAGTGAGAACAAGAATGAATTGAAAACAGAAAGAAAATGCACCCAGATGTTTACAGTCAGTGATTATGTTCTGACTGGCAAAACATAAGTAGATTTTTTTTTTCTTTTTTTTTTTTTTGAGAGAGATGGAGTCTTGCTTGTGGCCCAGGCTGGAGTGCAGTGGCGCCATCTCAGCTGACTGCAAGCTCCCCATCCCAGGTTCACACCATTCTCCTGCCTCAGCCTCCTGAGTAGCTGAGACTACAGGCACCTGCCACCCCACCCGGCTAATTTTTTTTTTTTTGTATTTTTAGTGGAAACGGAGTTTAACCGTGTTAGCCAGGATGGTCTTGATCTCCTGACTTCGTGATCTGCCCGCCTTGGCCTCCCAAAGTGCTGAGATTACAGGCGTGAGCCACTGTGCCCGGCCATAAGTAGATTTATTTTCTAAAATAAGTGCATATTACACTTATGATAAAAATTATCATCATGAAAGATTTTATGTTCAAGGATTTCATATAGCTGCTTTGTATTTCTTCTGGCACATTACAGTCATAGTGGCAGTGACTTGTAGGGACATTGTCCTGATACTTCGAGTGCAATTGATGATATTTGTTTAATAGTGAATGTAGCTTAAGAAAAGAAAAGCAATCAAACAACAAGGTGATTAATGTAGCCACTTCAACTCCTCAGATCTTTGGCTGACATGTTTTCCTAGCAAAGCAGAGGTACTTAACTAACCACAGAGAAATGCTCACACATGTCAGAAGGAAATCCAAGTGATCACTTGTTTTGCCTTGGGCATCTGCACTTTTTATATAAGTATGACTTTCAGTCTGTGAGACCTTTCGATAAGTAGTGATAATCCAGAAGGATTGATGTAGTGATTCTGGACTTGAGATTTCTTTTCACCACTAAGACATTTGACTGTCACTTGCATCTTAATGCGTCCATATAATTTTCTAAAGCATTGGGGGACTGACTAGGTAAAGTCACTGTGGCCTTTTAAGTATGTGGCCAGCTGATCTCATGGCCTACCAGGGCTTCCAAGTGATTAGTGGGGATTGGCAAGAATTGACCTCTTTGGAGCCTGGGGAGGCAGAAGTACCTCAGTAATAGGGTTCAGGGAGACCATACATGGAGCATAGCTCTCTCTGACTTTCAAGTGGATAGAGCTAGTAGGCCTCTACTCATTGTGGTGTTTGTGATCAGACAACCCTTGCTTTGGAATCACTCTTCGTTGAGAGATACTGAGTCCAGGATGTGCCAAGCAAGATTGTAGATACTCTCACAGATGAATTCACCCATTCATTTATTGAGCACTTGATTTTTTAGGAGTACAACTTCATCATTAATTTCCTAGCTGTGTCATACAGGATCAGTTAGGTTAGATTCTCCCTTTGTAATTAATCCTAATTGCTGGGACTTTCATGTTTCTAATAAATGTCTATTCCCATAATCCTGTCCTACATTAGCTTTCTTCATGTTGTTCTGTGAGATCTATAGTAAGCAGATGACACTGCTTATTATAGATTAGCTACTTCCTGTGTAATAAATCAATTATTCCTCTCAATAGGGACAATCTTGAATTAAAATCACATTTTTTTCTTAGAGAATTCTCTGTCAAATTCTATCAAAGGCCATGGTTTTTTTTGTTTTTTTTTTTTTCCTGTCCAGAGACACCTTATTAATGACTTGATTTTATCCTTATTTCAAATTCTAATTCATGAATATCAGGGTATAAAATATTAAATATGCTGGTTCAGCTACCAGCTTTTCAAGCATCATTGGGGAACATCCTGTTATATAATAGGAAAACATTTGGTATGGCTTTTGGGATGTAGATCATTTTTATAATTATTATAGGGAGTAAAAAATGCAGAATAAAAAATAATTTAAATATAATTAGAAGTGAGAGCAGGTCAGTATGACCAAGAATATAAATCATAAATCTCTCTATTTTTGTGTTCCTTTATTTCATGCAGAGAAATACCAAACCTTTGTTTCTAAAAGGGCACCAGGTCTTTCAGAAAGCTGTGGTTCTCAGCAGCAATTTTAGTTAGGTTTCGTTTCATGTTTTCTGGTATTCTGGGCCTCCCAATAGCCATTTGTGCCTAAAAGAGAGAGAGGATGAGGAGATTTGGGTTGCTTGTACTGCCAGCCTGGTGGCACTCTGGGGATATTAGATGTGTTCTGAGGATATATGTGTTTATTTAAATTTAAACAGAAAGTATTTCAATGGATGCTGGGCGCAGTGGCCTGTAGTCCCAGCACTTTGGGAGGCTGAGTTGGGTAGATGACCTGAGGTCAAGAGTTTGAGACCAACCTGGCCAACATGGCAAAACCCCGTCTCTTAAAAAAAAAAAAAAAAAAAAATTAGCCAGGTGTGGTGGTGCATGCCTGTAATTCCAGCTGCTCTGGAGGCTGAGGCAGGAGAATCGCTTGAACCCGGGAGGCGGAGTTTGCAGTGAGCAGAGATTGCGCCACTGCACTTCAGCCTGGGCGATAAGCAAGACTGTGTCTCAAAAGAGGCTAGGCGCAGTGGCTTACGCCTATAATCCCAGCACTTTGGGAGGCTGAGGAGGGTGGATCATGAGGTCAAGAGATCGAGACCATCCATGGCTAACACGGTGAAACCCCGTCTCTACTAAAAATACAAAAAATTAGCCGAGCATGGTTGTGGTGGCACACACCTGTAGTCCCAGCTACTCGGGAGGCTGAGGCAGGAGAATCGCTTGAACCTGGGAGGTGGAGGTTGCGGTGAGCCGCGATCAAGATCATGCCACTGCGCTCTAGCCCGGGCGACACAGGGAGACTCCATCTGAAAAAAAAAAAAAAAAGAAAGGGAGAGAGGGAGGGAGGGAGGATTTCAATGGGACAGAAATTCACCAGGTACATTAGAAAGCCTTAACACTTGAGAATGTGAAGTCTTAAAAAAAATTTTTTTAATAGTTTGGGTTACTTAAAATGAAATACTGTACTGAAGCAGATAGAAGGACTCTTAGGACCTTTCTGTGTTTCTTCTGTACCTAATGGCATATAATAAATTCACTGTTTTGTTTAAATGATCAGTTGACTTGAGCTTTCTGTCATCTGCTCAGAAACACTACTTTAGGAATCTTATTCCATTTGGGAATTCTGACTAGAAGCTCTCCCAGGGTCATCATATGAATGAGTAACTTACTTCGCAGCTCTCCTCTTCCTCAGTAGCTGCTTCTCTGTAGGGCTGGAGGGAAAGAGAGTCTTCCATGCAGTCTCATCAGCCAAGAGGAAGGAGATGCTGGTACCTGGTCTGCATCCCAACAGACAGCACACCCTCATGCCTTCCCCTTGAATGTACCTTTTTGGCTCTTCCTCATTCCTGGGGAAATGTAATAGTTCTTGATTGTTCACAGTGTTGACTGCTCCCTACAATGTGAGGTTCCCCCTCTCCTCTCCCACAGATGGCACAGAGAAAGTGCTTATCATCGACACAGTAGTGGGGAAAAAAATGGATTCTCATTTTAGCAGGTGACTTGAGGGTGGTTGGTTGTCAGTGTGCTTTTTTTCATATTGGCTTGTTGCTACAGGGTCTGATGCTGGCAGATTACAACTTTGTAGCTAGTCATTTTCGATTTATTTGAACCTATTTCTCCAGTCTACTGAGCTTTCACTGGCTAGCATCAATTCAGACACATTGCAATTCTTCAGAATCTCTATCCCCATCAGATGGTTCGATCTATGAGAAATTTAGCTAGAGGCGTTTAGACAAAAAAGAAATATTGTGGCTGGGGAAGCATTTAAGTTAGAGGAGGCAGCCAGGGCTGTTTTATTACTTAGTCCTGTGTCACCTGTGATGACCCATGAGAGTGGAGAATATTGATCGCTTGTCACTCAAGGCATTCAGCAGATTGCATTGACAAAGCTTGGCAGGTCTCTAATAGCAGGGTTACTGGCCTTGCTGCGGCCCAAGGGAAAACTCTGCAGGCCCTATTACTTGGCGGCCTTTAACTCTTATAGAATTGGGAGAGAACACTGACAAAAGCGAGGACATGATTTTACGGTTACAAATGATTTTTCTTGCTTGCTTTCTTCTCACCCTTTTTAATTTTTCTTTTCTTCTTTTCCTGTCTATCTTACCTTCCCTCCGTGATCCCTGCCAGCCCCTCCTTTCTTATTATAGCTGATCATGGCAGTATTGTTTTTTTCTGGGTAAAAATCAGAGTGGATTAGAGAAAGCTTAGCAGGCCTAGCATGAGGCCTGAGTTATTCTCTCCTTTTAGGACAGCTTGTGCCTGACCACATTGTTTGGAATGTGCCTGTGGATATATATACAGTACTTGAACTTGATGTGTAGGCCATTCACAGCTGTTGTCCTCTAGTAGAATAAGAACTGCCACTTCATGACAGATGGGTTTCTCTCGTTTTCCATTTCCTGGTAGCCAGGCTTGGTTCAAGCCTTTGACCTTACATAGTCCCGAGGTTCAGCTGAAAGTAATGTGCTGACATCAGAGAGATAATGGCACTAGTGCAAAACAGGAATGATTCTAAAAAAACAGTAGAGAGGATTCTATCTTTCCTAGACACTGCCTGATTTATGCACAGGTTCGAATCACCACCATTAATGACATTTTCATTCCTAACATAGGTTGGCCTCCTGTTGGACACTGTTGTGTAATGAGCGTTTCTGCATGGCTGTCATTTGCTTTATGAAGCATTCTTTTTATTTCTATTTTCTGTGTACCTTTCATTTAAAAAAATATCGTGTTTGTTATCTCCATTGTCTCTTTGAGGATGAGAAAGACAAATATCATTACCCCCATTTCAAAGAAGAGTAAGTTCTAATCACAAGTGATTTAAATGTTAGAGTTTCATTCAATATTTTCACTAAAATTTCTAGTCCTCTAGTAAATCAGATATAAGCAAAGATCATATGTCTATTTCAGCCTCTAGGTAGGCTGGCCAGCTTTCTTGCTTTCTCCCTCTCCCCTCCCCTCCCCTCCCTTCCCCTCCCCTCTCCTCCCCTCCCTTCCCCTCCCCTCTCCTCCCCTCCTTTCTCCTCTCCTTTTTTTTTTCTGTAGTCTTGTACTGGTCACCCCTTCACTTCCTCTTCCTTTGCAATGCTTTAGGCTGCCCAAAAGGTTCTAGCCAGATGAACAGAAACAGAGGAGAGGAGAGCTTCTTAAGAGGCTGGTAGGCCAGGTGCAATGGCTCATGCCTGTAATCCCAGCACTTTGGGAAGCCGAGGTGGGCAGATCACCTGAGGTCAGGAGTTCGAGACCAGCCTGACCAACATGGTGAAACCCCGTCTCTACTAAAAATACAGGAATTAGCTGGGCATGATGGCGCACACCTGTAATCCCAGCTACTCGGGGGGCTGTGGCAGGAGAATTACTTGAACCCAGGAGGTGGAGGCTGCAGTGAGCTGAGATCACACCACTGCACTCCAGCCTGGGTGACAAAGTGAGACCTCATCTCAAAAAAAAAAAAAAAAAAATGGGATGGGTCAGCCTTGAGTAGTGGACATGGCCTTTGCATTTATATTCCAACATTTTGCCACAGATGAGTTATGTATTATTGGCAGATTACTTAATCTCTCTGAGCCTTTGTTTCTCCATTTATCGAATGGAAGGTAATATTGTTTACCAAAAAAAGTGAATTATGTGGTATATGGATTATTTCTCAATAAAAAATATGAGTTGTGTAAAGTTTCTAACATAGAAATGCCCTCCTTTGCTTCCTTCCTCCTTATACAACTAAGGGCCCACAAAGGCAGAATGAGAATTACCATCTAGGCCAATACTGGGGAAATATGTGCTACTACTGGAGACAGAAATGTGGAAGTATTGCAAACGAATGTGGACCTATTAATATTCTATAGCACTTTGAGCCACTTTGAATTAAAATACTTATCTGTGAAAGGTTTTATAATTTATATGACCTGAAATAATTTACACCTAATTAGATTTTGTCAACTGAATAATTCTGTCTCATGTTGCTTCCACAGAATAATTTAAGCAACTGCATTTTATTCTCAAAATAGCTGTAAATGTCAAATTAATTTTGTTGACATGATCAACATGTAGAAGAGCTACTTGGCAGAATTGTTTGTCAACTGAATGTATTATGCATCTTTACAAAATATGTAGATTGATTATGGTTTAGCTGACTTTTGCAGTTTGTTGGTCTCCTGGAAAGAAGTAACGGGTGGTGGTTACAAAAACCGTTATGGCATTTCTGTTCATCTGGCTAGAAACTTTTCGATATCTGTAAGTTTTCCTTCACTTTTCATTATATAGACCATGTCTTTCCCTTGGGTGTTATCTTTTTTGTCTGGGTGAGACTGGATCCCACGTAACTGCTTTGGTGTTTGTTATACTCCTCATTAATTTTATGGGGCTCTTAGTTGACACTGGCCACATAAAAATGATTGTTGAGTCTCACTCTTTTTATTTTGGACCATTTCTTTCATGTGGGAGCCTCTTTATCCCTCTCCTTAAAAACCCTGTTTAAGGATTAGTGTCCTTGCAGTTTAGTTGTAGCTTACTCAAGTTATCCCATTTATTCCAAAATCCCTTTTCCACTCCATTATACCCTGTCTAGTCCGGTCTTCTAGCTACTAAGATTGAAGTCCTGTCATCTTCAGGTTTGGTTGAATCCAGTGCTTCCCAACCCTGTCTCATCATGGCACATGTAGAAAATGATATTATTGTACAGCACACGGAAGTAAATCAAGACCTTTTGCTGTGGAGGTACCTGGCTCAGAGGCCATGACCTGCCTTAAGTAGGAGGGAATACATGCATACTATCCTGTATGTTTTGGTGTAACCAATCCCCAAATTTGAACCAATCTTGGCAGGTATTAGAAATTTGCTTATTTGGTGACATCTGGAATTTACCTCCTCTTTTGAGCTCAGTATTTCATGTACTTTAAGGTCATTACTGAGCTTTCTACCAAATCATTCCCATTTGTGTCTAGTCATTAGATAATTCAGATTTCTACCTTGGATGCCTTGAAGTGATGACACCTTACCCTTGCTCATCTCTCTCCCAAGGGAATAAACCTGTATTTTGCTTTCAGCTTCTGCTTAGAGGAGCTGGCTCCATCCAGAACAATTCCCCTCCCACTGGACATCAAAAGATTGCATTTCCATTGGCAACAAGTCTCAACATAGCTCAGAAACTACTGTTGACTACTTGTCTCCCCTATAACAATATTGGATCCATTGGAGAGTGAATCAGTGTCTCCCTCAAGTTCAGCCCACTCATTTAGATTTTTCATTTTAGACTCCGTGGGAAGGATGTCCCAGTGCAGAGTTGGCCTCTGTACCCCTGATTATGTTTCAGCTTTCTCTAATTTCTCTGCTAACCTGCTGTTGATGCCCCTAAAGGCACTCAATATTGAGTGTGCTTTATAAATACATGAACTACATGTATTTTATGAAAACATAAACTACAAATACGTTAAAATATACTGTAGATTCATTACTAAAAGGCATTATCTATTCAGTATCCTTAATGTACAAATAATAAAAGAGATATGAAACCCTGTGTCTAGAGCTAAAAATATACCTTGACAGTACAAATACACATGGCTAAAAGGCATTATCTTTTTAGTATCTTCAATGTACAAATAATCAAAAGGTCTGAATACTTCTGATTTTCATAATGGAGAAGGGGAATTGTAGAAACTGTAGACCAATTAGCTTGATGTCAGCTCAGAAAAGATTCTAGAAAATATTATTAATGAATGCTTTCTGAGAGTTTAATAAAAGAAGTAGTCATCACTGGGAACCTGTGGAGGTTCACTTAAAATGTTATGCCATCTATATTCCTTCTTCTGCAGCAGAGATTGCCAAACTTTTTCTATACATAGCCAGATAGTAAATATTTTAGGTTTTTTGGGCCATACAGTCTCTGGTACAGCTACTCAACTCTGCCACTGTAGCAGGAAAGCAGCCACATAGGCAGTATGTAAACAGATGGATGTGGATGTGTTCTAATAAAATAACTTAATTTATAAAAACAGGCAGCAGGCTGATTTGGCCAATTGGCCATCGTTTACCAACCCCTGCTTTAGAAGAATATCTTAGATAATGTGTACCTGATATATTCTATTCTTCTTTCTGATGGGAAATACTTTCTCTTTTTTTGGCGTAAAGACGTTTTATTTTCTTTGCTAATAAAGAGTTGGCATAAAAAAAAGCATCGCATTAAAATCTTCATAAAGGACATGGAAAAGGCTCAAGTTAATAATAGTTTACAGTAAGTTCTCACTTAATGTTGTCAGTCATTTCTTGGACACTGCTACCTTAAGCAAAATGATATATAATGAAACTAATCTTTTTTTCTCACCAACATTGTAGTGAAAAGATGTTGAACAAAAAGACGTTATCCAAGGATGTAAATCATTTAATTTAAAGTTGCAGTTTCCAAGAACCTATTGACTGTGCTAAGTGAGGACTTACTGTAGTTAGGTAGAATTATAACAGGTTTAATAATTATGAAACATGAAGAGTGGTCTGTGGTTGCAGGCCACAGGCTGTGTGCTCTTGATTCAATTATGTCAATATTTTTATTAGTGACTTGACTGAGGTTGGAATTGACTTGTGGATCAAATGTGTGGATAGCCTGATGAAGAGAGAGATCACTTACACTTTGGGTGATAGGAGTAAGATCCCAAAAGGCCTTAGGATAGCAGCTGAAATCTTTCAGGCTTAAATGTTGAAAACAGATAAATGGGAAACCCTGTGTCTGGAGCTAAGAATGTATCTTGACAGTACAAATACAAATTGTGAAAACATAGTTGAATAGCAGCCTGTTTGAACAAAGCTAAGAGAGTATTTCAATTAGAGTGCTTGCAGAGAAAGTTATCCAGGTGGTTGAAGGGACTCAGAATCATGTCCTATTAGAAATGGTTGAAAGAAGTGTAGATATATAGCCTAGGGGGATATATGATAACTGTCTTCAATTATTTAAAGGGCTGTCATGTAGAAGAGGAATTAGACTTATTCTGGGGGGTCCTGGAGGACACAGGGGAGAGCAGTGGGTAGAAGATACAGGTAGATTCAATATGTAAATAGGAACTTTCTAACAATTTGAGCTGTCCATTAGAGGGATGGGCATTATTTAGAGGGTTTAAGTCACTGGCAATATTGTAGACATCTGTTGCTGACCTTGTGGGGATGTTGTGAGAGAATATTAGCTTTGACTCATTATTGGATGGGATGGTTCTTATGGTCACTAACAATTCTGAGAGTGCGTAAAAGGTAGGCCGAGGGATAATGTGCTGCGCCCTACGTCCCAGTAGTTGGCAAAGTCCAAACCCAGATGTTTTGAGTCTCCTGCCTTGTTTATATGGTTGAAATGCTGACTTTACACAGTGTTCCATATATGTATCTGTACCTGTCATCTTTATGTGATTGGCTAGAGACCCTGTCACGTTCACTTTTGTAATCTCACAAAGCTTGACAAATGCCCTGTACATAGGAGGAGCAAAGTGTTTGTTGACCTAAAGTGAATTACAGAACAGCTGAGACACATCTAAATATTGTTCTTTTACTGATCCTGGTTCCATAATGAAAACATTTGGAAGTTGACCAGAAATTATACCTGGGGATTCCTAGTAGAATGGTGATGTAGATGGAACGGCTCTCTGCCTTTGTTTCTGTCTGTGGTACACCACACACAAATGCCAACACTTCACCAAGAGTGGAAGCCATCAGGCTGCACTCTCTGACCAGGATTGTTTTACCCCTTCTGGATGGCAATACATCGCTCCCTTTCTTTTTCACTGCCTCCTGTGCATACCTCCGTGCTAAATTAAACTCCAGACCCTGGGATGTCTGGAATATATTTTCCAGTCTTCTGAATTCTACCACCCTGAAGTAGTCATTTGCTGTCATCATAATTCTGGAAGATTTAATATTCAGATTGACAGTGGATATGCCGGTCTCATTCTTTGATGTTTGGTACATGGGCAAGTGGTCAGGTATCCTGGCCTATTTATCACCATATTCTCCATGGCCTGTACTCAGGGTCAGGCATATGGTAGGTAGTCAGTGAATGTTTGTTTTTGTTAGTAGGACTCTGGTTTAGTCCTTACAGTAGTCCCTTTTATCCATGTTGGTATGTTCCAAGACACCCAGTGGATACCTGAAACTGTGGACAGTACCAAACCCTTTCCATACTGTTTTTTTTTAATATGATAACCAAGACAGCTACTAAGTGACTAACAGGCAGGTAGCATATACACCATGCTGGACAAAGAGATGATTCTCATCCTGGGTGGACAGATCAGGACAACGTGAGAATTTCATCTTGCAACTCAAAATACTGCCTAATTTAAAATGTATTGACGAATTGTTTATTTCTGGAGTTTTCCATGTAATATTTTTGGACTGTGGTTGCTCATGGGTGACTGAAACCACAGATAAGGGGTACTACTGTACTTCTGTTTCATCCTAATGAAGTAAAGTTTCTTTGTTCATCAAGGCAGTATTTTCTTTCTCTTTTGTACCTACCATGCTCTACCTACCTCATGTCTTCATTTTCTGTGCCACTTTCTTGCTGTGTTTTATTAGGATAATGTTTTAATAGAATAAAAGAAGGGCAAAGGTATAGTAATTGAATGTCCTTCACTATCAATCCCCCCAACCCCTGAAGGGAGAAAGGAAGGAGAATGTGGGGGAGAGGGGAAGGAAGAAAGGAAATGGTGGAGAAAGTAGAGAATGAGAGAAGCATCCTGTTTCATACTGAGAAGACTTTGGTATTGAAGAATTTTGACTTTGTTAGTGCCATATAACTTGTGTGTTGCTTTGTTTAAA
The DNA here is from genome assembly GCF_000001405.40 of Homo sapiens. Lineage (NCBI taxonomy): Eukaryota > Metazoa > Chordata > Mammalia > Primates > Hominidae > Homo > Homo sapiens. The sequence continues at coordinate 70,078,859 of NC_000007.14, forward strand.
TTCTCGTCTGCTCTCATGTTTTCATTGCATTCTGTGGATAGCAGCTAAGAGAGCTTTCAGACACATCTGTATTAGAAGTAAAATAACTGTTAATGTCAAGACTATATCTTTGCTTTTTTCTCCCTCAGCTTCTTTTCTCGATTGGTAGAAAACATGGAATAATGGTGCCAGGGTTAGCTTTGCCTGGAGAAGAGTTCTGTTTGCCAGCCCTGCTGCAGATTGATAACCATCAAGGGAAGGATAGCCCAGTCATAAGTGACCTTGTGGACTGCGTATCTTTATGTACCCCTTACACACTAGTAGGAAGAACCCAAATACCATCTGCCAATGACAGTGAGGCAGGAACCTCACTTTTGTGACAAAAGGATTGTACTTTGCTCTGCTGGAACTGGCTCGTTAACAATTCATAAGAACCAATTAAGTTTTCAAGAATTTTGTGAGCTGGTTTTTTAGTAAAACCTTTATTAGAAGTTAAGTTATATTAAAAAAAATAATTAGATGGGTATGGTGGCAGGCTCCTGTAATCCCAACTGCTTGGGAGGCTGAGACAGGAGAATTACTTAAACCCAGGAGATGGAGGTTACAGTGAGCTGAGATGGCACCACTGCACTCCAGTCTGGGCAACAGACAGAAACTCCATCTCAAAAAATAAAAAAAAGTTATGTAAACTTACCTGTGCTTTTAATATAATTTACTTAATTGTAATCAGTATTCAAAATTCATCACTTCCTTATTAGCTGCTACATTTTACTAATATCCATGACCTTGAGGTTATTTACATCTAGTATATGGTAGAAATACTACAAAATGATGTGTTATTGAGCCTCTTTTCCTAACTCTGTATTCAATGACATCACTTTAGTAGCCATGGTGGAAGTATTTACACCACAGAAATTGGTAAACAGGATGTCTTATTCTGTTTTGTTCTGCTGTAACAGAACACCGCAAACTGAGTAATTTATAAGCAATAGAAGTTTATTTGGCAGATGGTTCTGGAGACTGGGAAGTTCAAGATCAAGGGGCCATATCTGGTGAGGACCTTCTTGCTGTATCACAGTGTGGCAGAAGACATCACATGGTGAGAGAACATGCTCAAGAGAGTTTGAAGCTCTTTTATAATCAGCATTAATCCATTCATGAGGGTAGAGCCCTCATGACCTAAACATTTCCCATTATGTTCCATCTCCCAACACTGTTGCACTTGGGGTTAAGTTTGCAACACATGCTTTTGGGGGGACACATTCAAACCATAGCACTGTACAAATCCAAATTTGGTCATTTGTTTTGTTGATTGTCTACACTTAAAAGAATGATGGAGGAAATGTTATTAATACAGATTAAATTTAAAAGTATGTTGTATTTGCATCCATTACATTGTGGATAGCAAAACAATTAAGAGAATATCTTCTTGTATTTTGAAACTGTTTCCAACTCAACAAAGAAGTTATTCATGTCCTCGAGGAAGGAAACTGTTTATATCATTCATGTCTTAGGTGTTCCACTTTAATTTTACTGGTTCAAAAACATCAACCAGGTTTTACAAAACTACACTCATTCTTCAGGTACAACCATAGGTTGGCTGTAGATATAAGAATTGCACATATTTTAACAGAAGCATTCTGTGAATGTTAATTTTCCCATTTGGTTGGAATTCACAGTAAAGTTTAGCATGTACTTTGTTATTATTTGTAAATTGCTTGCTATACATGATTTATATCAGTAAATTTTATAATAAATAGGTGTACATCTATACATACATACTTCTTTTCCCAAGGAGCTGGTTGTTAAGTATTACCAACACACTACTGTTTACAATCCAAATGAGAATGTAGCTCTGTGTCTTAAGGTAGTGATGATCTTGTGTAAATGGTGAGATTTTTGCCTTCATCATAGCAAAAGGCTCAAATGCACTATAGGAAGGAAACCTTTCTGATTATGGAATATGAAGTCAGGATTTTAAATGCCACCAACTGTCGAACACTTAAAGGACAAAGTGTTTGAAATCTTAAAGCCTGCCTACTCTATTTAAAAGAACATTAGAGGGCGTTGGAAAGAGGTGATAAATATCATTAGGACCTCAGCAAGGCTTTGGAACCCAACACATTGAAAGATAATTGAGTGAAGAGGATCTCTGGACACAAAGCAGGCAATTTAGTTATCCAAAGCATTTATGTCAAGCAGCTAATGCGTGAGGATTTATTTATTTGTGTTTTTCTCTCAGAGCTTAATCCATGAGGAGTACAGAGTGGTGGTAGGGTGGAGGCTAGCCTTTATTTTGCATTGCTCTGAGAAGTGTTGCGATAATGGGAGAAATTTGGTGTCCTAGAAACGTTATTATTATAAATGAAAAATCTTGAAATACGAGGAAAGTGAATTTTTTAAAACTGGGATTAGAAACTCAGAACAAAATGAGCTGGACGCGCTGGTCATGCCTGTAATCCCAGCACTTTGGGAGTCCAGGAAGGGCGGATTACTTGAGGTCAGGAGTTTGAGACCAGCCTAGCCAACATGGCGAAACCCCGTCTCTATAAAAAAAAAAAAAAAAAAAAAAAATCAGCTGGATATGGTGGTGGGTGCCTGTAATCCCAGCTGCTCAGGAGGCTGAGTCAGGAGAATCGCTTGAACCCGGGAGATGGAGGTTGTAGTGAGCCAAGATCATGCCAGTATACTCCAGTCTGGGCAACAGAGCAAGACTCCATCTCAAAAAAGAAAGAAGGAAAAAAAAGAAACTGAGAACAAAATGGTCTTTTGCCTCTTTCTACTTAAATAAGATGGCTCATGCAAAACTATATTTTTGTGTGAGATTTTTGGTTAACAAGAAGTTGTATTTCCGTTCATCAGTTAGACTCAGTGTGGAGGAATGTTTTGTTTAACCTACTTTAACTAGAAACAAAATGTATTTGCAGAAGTTTATAGGTAGAATTATAAGGTGATCTAATAAACTTGAAGGTTACTTTCAGCATATGGAAATCAGAATTTTGTTAGTGGAATGGCAAATGTGAAGAATGAAAAATCCAGTTGATGCCAGTTAACATTAACTTTTAGGAAAGAAAAAACGGTAGATTTTTCTGTGAAGAGTGTGTGTGTGTGTGTGTGTGTGTGTGTGTGCGCGCGCCTGTGTGTGTGTTTAAATTAGATTTTTCTGTGAAGAGTGTGTGTGCCTGTGTGTGTGTTTAAAATTTAGCTCATCTGGTTCTGTGTTGTGTGTTTTCTCTGTGTGTGTTTGAAAGGGGACATATTATGAACGTTATGGTTCCCTACCTCTAAGATCCATTCCTAAAATAGTTTTACTAATCCGAAGAATGACTAAGAATGTAACTATGGAAATAAAATGACTTTTCAATCCTGTGTTGACTACGTGCCTAAAATGTTGATTTGCTAAAACCTGGTACTTCCAAATTAAATTTCATGGTATATGGATGATTTATTGTAATCTCTTGTGAGGAAATTCATCTTAAAAACTTTTTCGAAATCATCCTAAGTTTGGGAGAGGAGAGCATTTCTAATTCAAAGCAGGAGTCAGGCTAAGATCACATGTCTCCCTAGAGGAAAGAGGGGAGGTTTTACTTGTGCATATGTTTTTTAAATATTTATAGATACAGCTGGACTTTTAGTACTTTAGTTCTGGTTTTAATGATGGAATTCCCAAAGGACTAAAATTGTTCCAAATGTCTGAAC